>NC_000003.12:67585757-67888787 GCF_000001405.40 Homo sapiens | reverse complement strand
GGGTTCTTGGTCTTGCTAACTTCAAGAATGAAGCCACGGACCCTCATGGTGAGTGTTTCGGTTCTTAAAGATGGTGTGTCTGGAGTTTGTTCCTTCACATGTTCAGATGTGTCTGGAGTTTATTCCTTCTGGTGGGTTCATGGTCTTGCTGACTTCAGGAGTGAAGTCGCAGACCTTCACAGTGAGTGTTACAGCTCTTGCAGTGCATCCAGAGTTGTTCTTTCCTTCCAGTGGGTTCGTGGTCTCGCTCACTTCAGGAGTGAAGCTGCAGACCTTCCCAGTGAACGTTACAGCTCATAAAGGCTGCATGGACCCAAAGAGTGAGCAGCAGCAAGATTTATTGGCAAAGAGCTAAAGCACAAAGCTTTCACAGCATGGAAGGGGACCCAAGCGGGTTCCCGCTGCTGGGTGGGTGTCCAGCTTTTATTCCCTTATTTGGACCCGCCCACTTCCTGCTGATTGGTCCATTTTACAGAGCGCTGATTGGTCCATTTTACAGTGTGCTGATTGGTTCGTTTTTACAGAGTGCTGATTGGTGCATTTACAAACATTTAGCTAGACACAGAGTGCTGATTGGTCCGTTTTTACAGAGTGTTGATTGGTGCGTTTACAAACCTTTAGCTAGACAGAAAAGTTCTCCAAGTCCCCACTCGACCCAGGAAGTCAGGCTGGCTTCACCTGTCACTTACATCATCATTTTTAGTGCTGTCACCTCTGTCCTTCTTTCTTCATCCCTAAAGGCATAGTTGGCTTACAACCTGTGCTGTATTGACTCTTCCCTTTTTCTCCCCTGGGTTTTTTTTTTTCCCTCTCCCTTAATTTGCTCCCAGAAAATACCACGTGTCAGGGCTGGGTAAAGATGCAAGTGTCCAGTTTGGTCAGTATTTAGAAGATGAGAATAATTGAAGGGTAAGTCATTTTTAAATTATTTTTGTTCCCTCTAAATGGTGATTATTTAACTATCTTGATATTTACACTACAATAAAACTATCTACCAAAGCACACACATTAAATGGCATTTGTGTCCTGACACTGAGAAGGAAATGCATAATGAGACCATCACCTACCAAAGCACACACAGTAAATGACATTTTTGTCCTGACATTGAGAAGGAGATACACAATGAAACCATTGCAAATGCTCAAGCTGATGAATACAGGTTGACTTCTTCCTTTTTAATCACATCAAGAAATACATATTTTCTCTCATATGGTCTTCCCCACTGATAACCCAACTTTCAACTTTGACCCACATTTACCTTTATCTGGTAGTCAATTTCTTTAAAAAGCAAAGTTGCTGTTGTTTTTTTAATAAATTCACAAATGTTACTAAATATAGGAAAGAGTCAAAGATATCAAAGCCCCATTGAGATCTTGATGTTGGGCAGTTATCTAGGTTTACTCACTAGCTAAGTGACTTATGACTTATTCTTTCACCTTACCCAAGAAATTTGAATGCTGTTATCTGTTACAGACCTTTGAGGTTACCAGGACATAGCTTAAACTGTGAGCTTTTGAATAATAAGGACCAAGGCTTCTATGCAAACTTTGGAGATTTTTTATAGTTGCTTTCTAGAATAAAAAAGCCAGTAATACCTAAGAGCAAAAGTAGCATCACCAGTTATTTTCTATGTCCTTTCCAGTCAGACTTGACCTTTTCTTCAATGCTTCCCCAAATTCCAAATTATTTTCTGCCTGAGGGAAGGAAAAGCATTGCCTCCTGCCAGAGACAGCCAAGATGCTGCAGAAGCAACAGCTGGCCAGAAGTGATTTTCTGTGATTTTCCCTTCCTGTGGAGCATGCCAGTCATAGAAATGGAGCATTATGTTTCTAGGTAAGAATCCCAGATTGGTAATTCTTTGGGCTTTATTTAACTTCTTTTGTTTGATGAACATTACCAAGCATCTCTCTATACTCAAAGGTCTAACATTTACAGAGCATAACCAGAAAGACATCTGACCAAATAGAATGATGGAAATTATTTCAATTGAGGCTACAATGACAACATTAAGACAAAACTCATGCCATAGTACCTTACAGCAATGAACTCACAAAAAC
This sequence comes from Homo sapiens, assembly GCF_000001405.40. NCBI lineage: Eukaryota > Metazoa > Chordata > Mammalia > Primates > Hominidae > Homo > Homo sapiens. The sequence goes on along the minus strand of NC_000003.12, from coordinate 67,886,730 downwards.
AAGACACAATTTAGGGATGGTTATGGTCCTGAGGTCTCATAGGCAGTTGGGAAATGGGAGCTTGTGTTTCAGTATAAGAAATTATTCACTTAATGGAAACTCGGTGTTCCAAGTTTGGCCAGGTTTTGGTCACATTAGGAAATTTGTTTGCCATTTATTTCCTAAATATTTTGGTTTAGAGACTTTGAGTATTTGTTTTCACATCTTGGAACTAAAATGTGAACAGAATTTGTTGGTTGGCTTTTTAAATCATTATGTTAAGAAAGAGCCCCTATCCTCTACCCCAACTGGAGAATAGTTCAGGCATTTCCTAACTGCTCAGTGAGGCTACTTTGATCTGCCAGAGACAAGGTCACTTGTAGAAATGGTGACTGTTCCACTGGACACATTTGTCTGCCTCTGAGCATGGCCTGAAACATCTGGCTGGGACAGCAACTCACAGCCACTTTGTTCACTGTTACAGACAGATCATGAATGATATGGGTCTGGGGAAGGGAACACACACAACAGTGTCCTGGCCACTTATTTTAATTCATGAGGGAGATAAGGAAGTAATAACCTTGCTCTTAATGTGAATTCCAAGGAGGGAGCTAAATAAATCACCTCTACTCTATGCACACCATTATTAATCTATACAAATACTGGTCAATTAAATTAGACTACACTTGAAAAGTGCTTGGCATTGCAGCCTGACACATAGTAAGGCTTTTTGTAAATCTTAGTGGCAATGAAAAATAAATCATATTCTGAACTACTTAGTGTTATGTTGCATGCACTTAACATTCCAACAGAGAAGATGACAGTGCAAAGACACAAGACACAGTGCTTTTTGTAAACTCATTGGGCATCATGTAAGATTTCATATGTCTGAGAGGTCAGATGTTTGGCTTTTGAACATGAATGTTATGTGGGTGTGTATTTGGGAGGAGAGATAGAGTATCAGCAACTATGGATGTGAGAGGTTTCAAGAAACACAATTAATGAAGGTGTAATGTGAATTGTCTGACACTTACCTCCTTTGTGGACACTATGAATAGCCAATGATCCAATAACATTCAAATCTTTGAATGTCTACGGGTTAAGCAATAGCATACTACTTTGTTTCAATATCCTTTGTGTAAGGACCCTCAGTTAATTTCTGCTTTGAGACTTATTTCAGGAAAATCACTGTCTTTGTAGATTAATATATCTTCCATTTTCAGAAATCACACTGCTTCACTTGGCATCTTTCTTTTGTTGCTTTAGCCACTTTATAGTTATACCTCACTTTATCACCCAGGTGGGTAAAATCTGCTCAACCAATATGTGGAGTGCTAAAAACAACAACTCCTTCTGCTTTCTCCAGACGGTTTAGAGATATCTAACCCTATCCAGTGTTTGAAGTTCCTTTAAGCATATGAAAGTATAAAGAATAGCATAAAATAGCCTTTACAAGATAGCATTTATAAGAGAGCAATGTGGTACTATGGCAGGTTAAGTGTGATTCTCATTCAGAGAGCTGCGGTTCAAATACTGTTTCCACCAATTACTTGCCTCTTCAACTTCTCCATATGCCATGGCTCTTTGTCTTTGTTCCTTTGGCTTACCTAGCCAGAATGCCTTCCCCTGCTCTCCTCTTACCTAAGCCTGGTCATCAGTCAAAACCTTTCAGGTTCCACGTCCTCGGCAGATCCCTTGTAGATAACTCATATCAATCACTGTATTTCTAGCCCTCCAAAGACAGTGAATGGCTCAGGAGAATGTGTGACCCCAAATAGTCTCATCGAAGCAAAGTGCTTGAGTGCCTAGGATTTGCACTGAAACCATTTGAGGAAGAGGAAAAAAAAAAAAGGAAAACTAACAGGCCACAATCATAGTGAAAACCAGCAACACAGTAGCCGCTGGAAGGGCCACTGGCAGAATGTGGTTGGAGCTTCTGCAAAGACTCATTTTCAGAGAATTGTTATTATATAACCTTTTTGGTGGTTCAAAAAGGGGCTTGCTGGTGGCCATGTTGATACCCAAAAGGAAGAAGTTCCCTGAAATTAACACTAGCACTAAGGAAAAAAGCTTCAAGAGACAGAGACAACATACACCTTTGGGTATTTAGATCCAGTCCTGCTTGAAACCATGTACAAAGAGACTTTGAAGGTATTGAGTAATTAGTTATCTTTTGTGGTTTAGCCTGTTTCAGTTGGATTTCCCTACTGAAATGCTGAAAGCTGCTGCTGAAAGCCTACTAACTAACATGCCCACAGCATGCACAGTACTAGGAATTCAACAGTAACTAAAGTAAATGTAGCCTCTGCCTCATCAAGTTAACATTCTTGTGAAATATGTTAAGACGTCAATGAGTCATAATAACTGCTAATGATGGACACATACAGGGGGCTGTGGGAGCACTCAGAGGAGCACCTGATCCAATGTAGGGGAGCCAGGGAGAGGAAGACTTCTCCGAGGAAACACGACCAGATTAATTCCCTGCCAACTGTTCCTCAGGGTTAAATTAAATATATTACATTTTTGGCCTCAAATTGAGTGCACAGTGAGTAATAATGTTGACGCCTAGCCATAGGTACCATTATTATAACTCTAAAACTATAGCTTTACCTTAAAATTCCCACCCAGTAAGATGTCATCCCTTCCTTCTATTTTAATAGCTAGATTTGCATTATTCATGATTATTGCCTCAAAAACATAAATTATCTCAGCTGTTCAGCCATCATATATATAGTTTCCAACCCTACCACCCACTCCCAATCAGAATTTTGGCCATGGCCCCAGTTGTTACTAAGAGAGAACACATAAACGTTAAATACTATAACAATCTGTGGTAGAAGGGAAAAAAATCAGCAACTGACAGTGCTGCAAAATGTAACCAGGAAAACAAAAATACCTCATCCAAATGCCCATTTTTTTTAAAGTGATACACTCTGACACAGCAATTCTCCGTTAGGTTTAGTAAACCCATCAAAAAGCTGATAAAATGGACTCGATAAAACCTTTTTTATGGCCCTTTTCCTGAGAAAATAGTAGAGCTGGTGAAGGCTTGAACAGTAGATTAAATATCAGCAACTCATGAAGGACAACATGAATTTCCATGCATTATATACATATTAATTACATAGCAGAAGTTGTAAGAACTGAACATTTAACCCTTAGCTAGAAATTTCAAAGGACCAATAATATTAGAATGCTCAATATCTGGTCTGAGAGTTTTTCTTCCTAATCCGTGTGCCCTTTGATAATTAGGTATAAAAGGTTTTCTCAGTAATTGCACACTAAGAGATCCAGGATGGAACGTTATCAAGCTGTTCTTCAAAATACCTATATAAAGAATGAGTTCAAATTAAAAAGTACAAGAGAAAAAAAACACACACTGAACTGTAAAATTATGCAGAAACTCTCTTTGATCAAGATATTTCAAACTTGGAAGAATATGTGAGAAATAAATCCACAAGGGTAGGACTGATCAGATGCGGTGGCCAATGTCCAAGGCAGTCCTCAATGATTCTTGCTTCCTGATGTTTATTCTCTTGTGTATTCCCTTCCCACAGCGAATAGGGCTGGTCTGTGAAACCAGCTGAATATTGCAAAAACGAAGTGTGACTTCTGAGGTCAAAAAAAGGTGTGGCTTCTTTCTTTTGAATCAGACACTCTGGGGAAAGCCAACTGCCATACTACAAGGACATTCAAGCAACCCTCTATAGAAGGCCAAGCCGGGAGGAATTGGGACTTCTCATCTGCGGTCAGCACCAACTTGCCCATCATGTGAGTGAGCCGCATTGGAAGCAGATCCTCCAGGCTCAGTCAGGCCTACCAACAGCTGCAGCCCTGGCTGACATCTTGATCAAGACCTTCTGAAACACCCTGCATCAGAACTACCCAGCTAAGCCACTCTAGGATTCCAGACTCACAAAAGCCATGAGATAATAAATGAACATTGTTGTATGAAGCCCCTGTATTAGGCTGTTCTTACATTGCTATAAAGAAATATCTGAAGCTGAATAATCTATAAAGAAAAAAGGTTTAATGCAGGTTGTACAAGCATGGTGCCAGCATCTGCTCCACTTCTGGAGAGGCCTCAAGGAGCTTTTACTCAAAGTAGATGGTGAATTGGGAGCAGGTACATCACAAGGCAAAAGCAGTAGCAAGGGAAGGTAGAAGGTGCCACACTTTTAATTGACTGCATCTCATGAGAACTCAGTCACTATCACAAGGACAGCACCAAGCCATGAGGGGTCCTCTCTCATGACCTAAACATCTCCCACTAGGCCCCACCTCCAACAGCGGGGATTACAATTCATGTGACGTTTGGCAGGGACATATATTCAAACTATACCAGCCCCTATATTTTTGGGTAATTTGTTATGCAAATGATAGATAACTAATTCACTAGACAGATTACCTCAATTGTTTCTCTAACTTCTAGATTGTAAAGTGATTATTTATTTAATAATAGAAGACATATTTATTGTTCTAAATATCCATCAATGGCTGATTACTACTCCATCTGCAAGGAACTGTTTGGTAAATGATGATTATACACATCCATTCATCTAGAATATCTCCCTGCACCGTGGCCTTCAAGTAATTGTGAAATAACAAAACTGGCAAAAGACCATGAACATCCTTAAATCCAATCCCTCTTCAACATGCTGGCTCTAATTTCCCCAAACTAAGCCTAAACACCTTGAGTGAGAGGAACTGATTATTCATCAGAATTCATTCAAAATCTCTCAAGCAAATGAACTCAAGCAAAATCTATCTTCTTGTGAATTCCAAATACTGACCTCGGACACTAAGTCTTATTCTTCCCTGGTCAGTCTTTTTAGATTACCGAAGAAAATGTTACCTTCCAATTTGAGTTCTCTCTTACATAGGATAAAGTATCCAGCACTATCTCATAAGATATCATTGAACCCCTGACATCCCTGATGCTCTGAACTTGCCTCAGTTTGTCTATAATCAGAGCCCATTAACTAGCAGGCTACAGATTTGTGGACCTTTTCTTGTGCTTCTGTTTGCTTGTTTCCAGAGATTTGAACTTGGACACTTTTTGATTCAGCGTGGTCTTTCCAGTACCCATAAGCCCCACAACTCTTTCCTTTTTGTAAATCTGTTCACTTCACCCATTTCTTACCTTTCTGTCCCAGGGCTCCTAGAATATAGCAACTATTTCTGACCTACAATAGCTTAAAACTGCTGCTACTCCTGTTTCACATGCCACAAGTGGGGTTGATTCAGAAAGCTTTCCATGGTTATTGGTGGGATGAAATCAGGGCTTCATCACTTTCTTGGCTCATTCTTAGGCATATTAAGTTAATAAGTATTTATTAATTATGTCCTGAGTGCCTCAAATCAGAAGGTATGTTGAATCATATAGAAAACAGAAAACTCGGCCGGGTGCAGTAGCTCACCCTGTAATCCCAGTGCTTTGGGAGGTCAAGGCAAGAGGATTGCTTGAGACCAGGAGTTTGAGACCAGCCTGGGCAACATAGTGTCTCTATAAAAAAATTTTTTTAATTAGCCAGACATGGTGATGCACATCTATAGTCCCAGATACTCAGAAGACACATGAGGAAAGGGAGAAAGCAAACAAACATGCTATACCAACTGAAAGATGGAGTCAACAACCAGCAAACCTCAACTGATAAAATATAAGCAATAAATACTTGACAAATTGAAGCAGGGGGACATTGTCTAAGCTTCATATGGTTAGAGGAGGGGACATGAAAAAATATGAATTCCTTACTGGCCAACTGTGATTCTGCTCAGTCCATAGTATGAGTCTCTTTGAAGAACAATCACTCTGAGTGTGTTTAATCATTGCCTGGCAAAAGCCACCTCTGCCTTTGCTCCCTGGTGCTGGCAACCTTAAGGACTAGATTTTGTTGTTGTTTTTTGCTGTGTGATTTAGTGATTATATAAATTTGGGAGAGTTAGCTCTAAAGTCCTTTTACCTTTCTATTAAGGAAAAAGTTATAGTGGATCAAAAATGTAGGCTGTGAATTGTTCTCAGTAAGGAATATGAGGGGGAAATAAATAATCCATGGCAGACCTCAAGAGGTCTGTCTTTATTGTCTGTTTCATGGTACACACATCCCTCAAGCCTCAAGTAGAATAATTACTTCTCTAAATATCAGCTGAAAGGGGGGACCAAACTCAGCACACAATGGCACACGACTTTTAATTCCAGTGACAGCTAAAACACCATTAAACTGTACTTCAAGTCTTTGAAGTACTAAAAAGTTCAGTTAGAAAATAGTACATGGCCATGTATCCAGTTTAATAGCTAATGTAGTTCTCTCTCTGTGTGTGTATGTGTGCGTGTGTGTGTCTCTGCAGTTGAGAAGACATTCAAAGTACAAAGGAATGGTACTGGAAGCTTTAAAGACCCAAAGTAAAGTAGCAAGGCTTTCAGAACAAGTTAAAAGGGATGTGGAAATTATAACCTCCCCTTCTCACTTCACTGTCATTATCCAATCATATTGTATAGTCTCGAGAGGCAGTAGGGATTATTGATTAATGGCATAAGCTTTCTATGAGGTCAGACAGACTTCAGGTTCCCTCCTACTCTGAAGCCTAGACAAGGTTGCCCTAATTCAACCATGTAACTCCTGCGACCCTCAGTTTTCTCATCTAAATATGCAGATAAGAGTAGTACTTACCTCGTAAAGTTTTTAGAAGAATTAAATGAAGAGATATATGGTAATCATAACTGTCAGCCATGTATTGAGAGCTTACTATGGACCAAACTCATAGCCAAGTGTCACATTGTCTCTTTTAATCCCAACAGTGGTGCTTCTCTTTACCAATATAGAGAATAATGAAGACAAACAAATAGGAGAGAGAATTACATGGGATTCCATTTATGTATTTTATTCTATTTATGAGGAAGTGTCAACAGGCCACAGGAGGAGAAAACATGATCTCCACATCTGAACAGTCTCTCCAGATCCTCCTTAGACAAAGCCGTCCCAGAATTTTCAACTTCTCTCACCTGTCAATAATGTCCTTAAGAAAGGAGTCCATGTTCTAGATATAACCTGATAATATTGTGTGAAGTGACTCAAGGCGTGCAGTTGAGGTCACATCATCTGTTTAAGCAGCTGTGTTCTATAGGCAGCACTTGTCATCTAGGACCTCTATTTTCCCCTTTATGAGCAGATTTTAATCCAGATTACCCTGATATTCTAGGAAATTTTGTGCTTCTGAACTTTTATTGTTATCACATCTACACTTAATGGAATTCTCTCCCCCATTTGAGCTCATCCTGTTGGATTTTTATTTGGATTTTGGCATTTTTCACATTAGCTTTCCCTTCCAACTTTGATATCACCACTGTACTGTAAGGGGTCTTTCATGATGATCTTTAAGCCAAAAAAAAAATGGCAAAAAAAAAAAGAAAACTGAAGCCAAACAAACAAAACATCTTCATTGTCACTATAAAGAACATGAAGAAGCATTTCCAACATTACCTAGAGTCCAGCAAATGACATACCATGTCCGACTCTGTCCAATGTGCAGCAACTGACATGCTGTCTATGTTACCTTTCAGTATGAAACATTTGTATATCCATACTCTAGTACTTTAATTCTCAAGCCATGAAAGAAAATTTTCCATAGAAAACACTAGAAACTTTTAAGTTACAATTTACTACAGATACAAAAATGTGCAGTTATACAGCAACAAGTTGGCTTCAGGAATTCTCTGAATTTTGAGAGTCTAACTTTGTGCAAAGCAACGTTCAGTTACTGAAACTGGAAATTGCCAGTGAAAAATGCATTTCATTATCAGGTTTATAAGTTATTCCTGTGCATGTTGAAACTTGTAGAATTAACTGTTCTATTTTGGATGTGACAAGATCCTTTCATGATATTAAATACATACCTCTTTGTTTCCTGTATTCTGACACAAGAAATGAAGCAGGAGGGTTTATCAAGAACTACTGAAAAGATGCTTTTCATACCTCAAAAATGTTCATGTGAAATGTAAACAGCTAATAACTGTTTATACTGAAAGAACAGTTTCCATTTTGTATAGAATAATAAAAGTATTACATTCATAGCTACTATATAAGGTTAAAAATTATTTAAAATATGTAACCATAACTCACTAAATATTGAGAAATAAAGCTATGAATGGGTTATAAATATATATAGTTGTAAAAATTTAATCAGTAAAATTACATATAGAACATATCGAAGTTATTTTTAAACACAGAGCAAAACAAATGCCCAGAAGTTTGTCTACAAACTATGAATTTCAGAGAATGTTCATTGTCAAGGACTATTATAGGTTATAAGTTTAGAAATCCACATGGACTTCTAAACGGTTTGTTGGCTCCTTCCTATAATAACCTGTAGAAAAGAACTGACAAATCTTGTGGCGTATCCTTTTTTTTTCTAAAAGCCATTATTTATGACATTTTTCTCAAATCATTTTCCTAAGAGTGCGTTATGGACCAGATCTTGCCCACATCCTTTGGGCTAAATGGATAGTAGCAAGGTTTTATATTCAGTCGCACCTAGGCTTGACTACAAGCTCTACATACAGCTTCTTAACTCTGTGATCTTTGACTCATTACTAATTACTAATTACTCATTCTCTGAGCCTTGGTTTCCTAATCTGTAAAACGAGGATTGAAATGGTTTTAGAATATGAACATTCACAACATTTTAAAAAGGAGAATTAACTCCTTTTTCTTTTTTCCTTATGAATTCTGAAGATTAATTTTAAGAATTTCCCTTTACTTCCTGGCATCATTTAAAGTTTAGGTTTTTGATTTTGAAGTCAAACTTTAAAAAAGTCAACTTTAAAACATTTTTGATTGCTAATAATTTGAATTATAAGTTTAATGAATCCTTCCTGTCAACCGTGAAAGAACAAGAGGAAAAATAATTGCAAAAAGAAAGAGAAGGAGGAGAGGGAGGGGCAGCATAGAGATCAAAGTAAAGTGGAAGAATTACTTTAAGAAAAAAAAGAAAAAAAGCTCTGAGATGTTAGAATATGATCCTAGAGACAACTTCCTTGAAAGATAAAAGATTATCCTACCCCGCAAGAGCCAGCTTGCAAACTCTTGGAAGGATCACGTGGAGCGGCACTGTTCACATCTACTAAAGGGTCATGTTGGAGATAAATGATCACTCTCATCACTACCTGCTTAGCCATCACAAAAGGAAGAACCTTCCAAGTGATTTTCATTGGAAGCCAAAATAGCAGTATATCACCCGCAAACACTCGGCAAGAGTTATGCCTATTTATGGAAAACAACTTGGTAGATCTCACCTGATTGGCCCAAGTGACACCTCACTAATACACAACCTCTCAGGGAACCTGTAGGCCCCTAAAATGATAATGAGACTCTGGACACTAATTAGGGTAAGTGGAGAAGTTGCCTATCTATACTTGAGGGGTAGGTGAGGTGAGGTTAATCTAAATAATCCCAAGACCCTCATGCTGAAACCATGATTATATATTGCATATTAATTCCTGCCTCACTGTGTTCTTGGGAAGATTAATTGAAATGACTTATGTCAAGAACTTAGTATTGTAAGAATTCAAAATAATAGCTATTTTCATCATTATCACAGCTGCAGTGCCTTTTAATGTTATTGGGGCATTAAGAAACATGAACATGAAAAGAAATAAGAAAGTGGGATAAATGGCAGGGTGTACTCTCAAACTTGGCAAGAGTTAACCTCCTCATCAGGAATTGCCAGAAAATACCAGGCAATATCATGGGATCATTGCAAGAAAAGCTGTCATAAAATTTTACACTTTTGACCTGGACGTAATCTAATTCAACCATACCTTGCTATAGATGTGCAAACACTGACAAGATTCAAAGGTCCCAAAAGTGTGTTTTCAATAAAAAATTATCTAGAAGTAATGTTTTACTTGGGGCATGACATATACTTCTGACTTTCTTCAGCCTAGGCATAAGGGCTGTGCTCTCAAGAATCAATTCCATTGAAAAGTTTTAAAAAATCAAAGTGTAGTAATCAATATGCTTTTTGACTGCAAGTGAATCTCCATTCAAATTAAATGTACTAGAGAATTTACTGGCCGATACAATTGAAATGGCTCATGCAGAAGAACTTTAGGCAACAACGGATTCACATACCTAAACATTATCATCACAACTTAGCTTCTCCCTATTAGCTTTTTTTTGTTTTGTTTTGTTTGGCTTCTCTTGGTCAGGTTCTCTTCTTTGGTTAACGGTCAGTGCAGTAATCCTAGTTGAAAGATGACTTCTCTTTCACAACAGTTAGACCAGAAGTCCAAAGATTGAATGTATTTGCCTATATCAGGCCTTGTGAACATTATTGAGCAAAACATTGTGGCCAAGAAATGGTCTATGTTCATTGCCCTGGCCTGGGTCCCATGGCCACTCCTATAGATGGAAGAGCAGTAAATCATCACACAAATCAAAGGAATGAAACTGGGAAGTTATTCCCCAAAACAAACTGGGAAGCTGTTAGCAAGGGAAAAAAAACAAAGAAAATAAATGCAGGACAAGGAAAAAACAACAGATGCCTACTGAAACTACTTTTATGAGAATACAGAGAATGTTAGGATGGACAAAACCCAAGTATAAATTCAAAGTTCTTCAGGATACATTATTATTGTTTTCTAAGCTCAGGCAACTGTCCAAGTCTTAAAGCACTTCCACAGAATACATAGGGTCAGAGGTCTGCAGACTCTTGTCTCTCATCTCTCTTCACTGACTTACAAATCCTAAATCAGGCACTTACAGTTAAATTGTGGTTCCCTTACCATCTTAATGACCAGTTTTATGCAATCATACTGGTCGTTGGATCGATCCTATTCAGTTAGAAAGACAACCCCAAACATCAAATTGACCTTTTCAGACTAGCGTTTTTTAAAAATCCTAGACATTGTCTCCTTCATTCTCACTTATGGTTTTCCGATCCATTTTTTTCTTCTGCTTTCTTCTTTTCCACTCTTCTCATATACACTCTCACTCATATATATGCTTTCACATCAGATTCTTGAATTCAACTTCGCTTTGTCCTTTATTTTTTGTGTCAAATAAAGATATTGATTAAATTCCACTCTATTCCATTTATCCAAAAGTACCCAAATTCCGGGCACTATTCCAGACACATGAGTCACAGGAACAAATAAGTCGTAGAAAATCTGTGTTCTCATGGAATTCCCATTCTGGTGGAGGAGACAGACAAATGTGTCACCTACTTGTGCTTCCTTGATTACTGCTATCCACCATGACCTGTGATCATCATAAATTGGGTGGTTTTTCAGAACACATTATCTGATTTAACCTTGCCAACTCTTTCAGGGGAGCGGGGCAAATTCCACTGACCTCATTTTACAGATATAATTGGACAGAGAGGCAAAGTGAGATCATTAATTCAATCATTTGATAAATATATACCTAAAATATGCCAGATACTATTTTAGACTTTGGAACTATATCAGTCAATAATATTGTCATGGACATTATCCTCATGAGTCTAGTGGGGGATATCAATAAATAAAATGACAACTAAAATGCATATGAAGTTAAACAGAAAATTCGTGGTGAATGGACCCAAAATAGTTTTCAGCATTTCTAACCTAAGCCTGCTGTCCTCACATACAGTATGACTACTCCCTCCAAATGATAATTTGACTAAAATCCTTGCAAGGATGAAGCACCAGCAACAAAAGCTATTCTTATCTTCATGCCTGCTACACAGGACAGGCCTGAAAAAAAATTCTGTAATTCGCAATCGAGACCATGCTGCTACTTCACAAGGAATTCTGCTAACCCTACCTCCTCCAATCACCTCTACTGTTCAACATTGTACTGAAGGTCAGATCAATGCAATGTGATAAGATGGATAGGAGAGGTTAGGATGGGATGGGATGGGATGGGATGGGATGGGATGGGATGGGATGGGATGGGATGGGATGGGAGACAGCTCAGCTTCCATCTCAGGCAGCCTAGCTGCAGAGACAAAGTTCCTAATCATTCTTTTATGCTTCCTCTCCCCAAAGAAGCCCTTTGTAAGTGACAAGTACGTCTCACGAAAGAAAAAATATAATTTTTCTAAGTGTTCAGTATTGACTTATGGATAGTATAAAGCAAATAACAAAGAGAATACAAATAGCTATTGTAATGAACCGCAAATAGGATTAAGTATTAAGTACAGTATTAAGAACAGACAAGGACTGTTACAAACTAGTTAGAAAAAATGAGCCAAACATGTGAAGAGGCAAAATAGAAATCCAACAACCAACAAACAAACCAACAAACAAAAACCAACATAACTTGAATCGGCAACCAAAGTACTGCGAGTTAAATTAACATTTGGATACCAATTTATGCTCTTCAAATAGGGAGAAAAATATCAGACTTCACAAAGTGTTGATAACAGTATACATTTCCGGAAGGAATTAAGTTGCTGCAATCATTTCTGAGAATAGTTGTCAACATATCAATAATTTTTAAAAGAACATAAAATTCAACAATTCCATTTCTACCTATAGATTCTATAGAAACTCTTGCACTTATGTCTCAGAAGACTGCTCAAGAATGTTTACATCAGCATTCATGAAATTGTATTATAATCAAGCTAAATATCCATTGACAGTAGAACAGATAAGATGGAATGTAGTAGAAATTAAAATTGAAAAGCTATTCCTATATGATTCAACACAGACAGACCTCAAAAACATAATGCCAAGTGAAAAATGTATGTTGTAGATTGTTACACGTAGCATATTATAACTTCTGGATATTTTTAACACCCAAACGATACAATATATATGTTGTGTTGCATATATATAATATTACAGAAAAACACTTTCAAGAATACAGAAAAATATTTTCTAGAAATAGAGAAACATGACCTGGAAGTAAACAAGCACAGCTCTGGAAAGGGTGGGAGAGAAAATGTGAATTGGGAGGCATAAAGGGATTGTGAACATTACCTGTCAGGTTTTGTTTGTTTTACATTAAAAAAATATAAAACAAGACTGACAAAAAGCCTTTATCAATGCGAATATCCCACCATTTGTGATATACTTTTCTAAATTTTCCATTTTCTGTATTTCTCAAGATTTAAAAGACCAAACAAGACAACTATTTGTATGCTTGCTACTTCCTATTTCTACCTTTGCATCATTCTCCATCTCATCATTCCAGATTGGCAGAAGAGAATTATGGTTAAGAAATGGTACTCCACATATCAAAGAATAAAATCATGTCTTTTTCGGCAACATGAATGAAGCTGAAAGTCATTATACTTCAAGTGAAATAACTAAGTTATTTCTAAGTGGAATAATTTGGAAAATCAAATACTGCTTGTTCTCACTTATAAGTGGGAACTTCACAATAAGTACACATAGACATACAGATGGAAATAATAGACAATGGAGACTTCAAATGGTGGGAGCATGTGGGGAAGTATCAGCTTAAAAACAACCTATTGGGTGCAATGTTCACTATTCAGTTGATGGGCATACTAGAAGCCCAAACCTCACCATTATACAACATATCCATGTAAAAAAAAATAACCTGCACAAGTAACCCCTGAATCTGTAAAAATTAAAATATTTTTAAATAAACTAACAAACAAGTATATAAATAAATAAGAAATGGGGCCCTATAATGAAAAACACTTTGATTCAAATGTCAACCTTGTTGTGTATCTGGGCAAGCTAGTTAACTGCTCTCTGCCACAGTTTCCTCATATGTAAGTGAGGAAAAACAGTAGTACCTACAGTGCAGGAATGTTGAATGTAACTAATGAAATGATACATGTATTAATAAAACACTTAGCACAGAGACTGGCCCTGGTAGATCATGTCATGAAGACTAGTGGTAGGGAGAGCAGGCTGAGCGGCAACTTGTCCAGGAGCCTGTGCTGAGCCAGAATCCTTGCCCACCTGAAAATGGCACCTAAGGCTTCCAGCCCAGAAGAGAGGTCATATCCATTCATCTCTGCGTCTTTCACAGTGGGTCTTCCCTATCCATAGCAGGTGATCATTCAATATTCAACTGAATAATTACTATTCAGACAGCCATAAGTGCAAGGCAACAACAAGATATCCAAAGAAAGAAATCACTGACATATACATCTTAGCATTTCTTTATTTGAATTACTTCATTCAATAAATATTCACTGAATGCCTGTCATACACTAATGCTACTCAGAGTGGGATCCAGGAACCAGCAATTTCAACATGAGAGCATGTAGAAGATGCAAAACCTTAAATTAAAATAAAATAAAATAAAATAAAATTTAAAAAAAGAAAATGCAAAACTTGGGCCCCATTCCAGGGCCACAAAATCAAAATCTGCATTTTAACAAGCTCTGTAGGTGATAGATATTCAATGTAAAGTTTAAGCACAAGTATGTAGGTCTAAGGGTGCTCATATCAAGAGCTAATTCTGATTTTTTTTAAATGGGCTACCTGGGTTTAAATACTGGCTCTGCCATTACTAACTGTGTGACCTTTGACCAAGTCATCTGGCTTACCTGAAACTCACTCCTCCTATCTGCAAACGAGAATATTAAGTACCTACCTCACAAAGTTGTTGTAAGAACTAAAAAATTGTCCCAATAGAAGTATTTAGCACAGCCATGAAGTTGTACTTTTATGTTAGTTTTGTTAGTAAGTGATGTCAGTTTTTGTTAGTAATGTAAACATTTGGAAGAAATAAAAATAGGCAAATGAAGACATGGAAGACAGAGATGGCAGAAGCTGCATTAGGGGAAGAAATTGAACCAGAGGAAAAATGGCTCATGGAGGTACAATTGTGAGAGAATAGGACAGGACAGAGGAACTGAAAACAAGTTTGCTATATGTTAACCCTGAAGTAGATTTCCAGCTACATTCTATACCCACTTCTGCTCTAGCATCTAATGCAAGTGGCTTTTTCTTCTTCATTTCTTAGAAACAAATTTTTGGTAGTGGTGATGGTGGTTTGTTTAGGTATTCTGGATTTCATATCTTATTATTATTTTTTAAATCCAGCTCCTGCATGATCTTGTATTTTTCAATACTTCAATCGGAAACCACATATACAGTGCAGATATTTTGCCCATGTTGGAGTATTCTATCTACTCCTTTTCAGCACCAGAAATATAACTGAAGCACTGAGCAAAGTCCTGCATCCTTCTGTAGGAGCTATCTCCCCCACTGCCTTCCATGATGTCCTGTTCATGACCTTCTCTCTCCTGGATCATCTTCTACTCATGCCCTGCTGTAGTCCCTGCTATAAAAAGTGCAAGCAGATGACTTTAAAATAGTAATTCTGATGTTGCCACACTGCTTACAACCCTTAATAATAGTTGCCCATTGCTTTTCAGATACAGGTGAAACTCCTGACCCCATTAAGAGTGAGTCTTTATTAGCTTAGCTTTCTAGTCTCATAATGCACACTTTCCTTTCTCTCTCTCTCTCTCTCTTTCCAGCCATAGCATCCTTTGAGTCCCTCCAACACTCCCTGGCCCCTCCAACCCAGATCTGACTCACACAACCAACCTTCCACTAGGAATGCCCACCCCTGGTTGCCACTATGCTCATCCAATTTATTTATTTATTTATTTATTTTTTTTTTTTTTGAGAGAGTCTCACTCTTTCACTCAGGGTGGAGTGCAGTAATGCGATCTCAGCTCACTGCAACCTCTGCCTCCTGGGTTCAAGCGATTCTCCTCCCTCCACCTCCCAAGTAGCTGGGATTACAGGCAAGCACCACCACGCCAGGCTAATTTTTGTATTTTTAGTAGAGACAGGGTTTCACCATGTTGGTCAGGCTGGTCTCAAACTCCTGACCTCAAGTGATCTGCTCACTTTGGCCTCCCAAAGTGTTGGGATTACAGGCATGAGCCACTGCACCAGGCCTATTTTTCACAGTCACTCCAGGTATAGTGTCTTCTAGGAAGCTTCCATAGCAGAGGCATGGCCCACCTTAGGCCACATTATCTGGCTTGATGCCCCAGAACACAATTTTGCTTTCCTTTGGAACATTACCCTAGTTTGAAGGCTTAAATACACCGTCCACTGTATTGGCTGACTCTCACACACAGTGACCTGTTCCCTGTTATGTATAACCTGTGAGGATTTTTCTCTCTCGCTCCACAGACAAGGCAACCTGAACTTTAGCCCCACTCCTCTCTCTGGTTTTCAGGGGTTTTTTTGTTTTTGTTTTTATTTTTCCTTTTTTTTCTGGTCACTGAGGACTTCTCTGACTTTGGAGGCATTTAGTTCTACTTTTGAAATGTTTCGTGTTTTTTTAATTTGTTTGTTTGTTTGTTTTGAGACAGGGTCTCTCTCTGTCACCCCGGCTGGAGTGCAGTGGTATGATAACAGTTCACTGCAGCCTGGAGCTTTTGGGCTCCAGCAATTCTCCCACCACAGCCTCTCAAGGAACTGAGACTACAGGCGCCCACCATTATGCCTGGCTATAAAATGTTTCTTATTATATTTTATCCAATGTTTGACATATTTTGAAACTAGAGGACTTCTTGTTATCCTAGAATATAATATTACCAAAAAATATAATTACCTAAGAATGCAAATGCATATTCTGTTATTTAAGAAAACTTGTCTATTTCACGACATTGGAATCTCCATAAGAAAAGAAAATGTATGTGTTTTGGTTCATCACTGACCTCAGTGTTTTTTTCTTAATCAATGTCTGCCACAGAGTAGGCACTCAAAAAAGATTTCTTGAATGAATGAACAGATCAGACCCCGAAGGGTGGGGGATTTTTCTTGGAGCACTTTGCTGAATAGCAGGCTGAATTTAACCAAAGGCGATATGACAAATTCCAAGATGTTCAACATTCTCCCAGGCACTTGCAGATGAAAGCCTCAGAGTCTTTGATCACCAGAAAATGTGGCTCTCCCACTAGTCTAATGTCATTAATCTTTAATGCATTTTTCACTCCATCCATCCTACACTTAAGTTTCCATATACTTCATTAATTCTGACATCAGCAGTCTGAATTCCTCTGAGGCCCAAGGCACTAGAGCTCTGCCTTCAAATACCAAAGGCGTATTTTTTTAAAGACAGGCATAATTTTTGCCCACAAGATTTTGTGTAACAATGTTACCAATTAGCCCCTTGCACCGTCCAAATAAATTGCCTACTAGTCATCACTTTAAGGGATTAATTGACCATGCAAATATTAAGAGGCATAAAATTCTGCTGCCAAGCAGGGACCTAGTTAAGGCCTCTTTATTTCTCCTTGGGAGCAAACTCCTTTATATTTTAATCATATTGTATCGTTCAGATAAAAATTACAAAGTTTACTTAAGTTTTTAGTCCCTAGGATCATCCTCAATTTATCTGCTCTTTGCCATCTGGGTTGGGCCAGCCTTTCTTCAAAGATTTCACATGAAGGAGGCAGCTGTTAGAAGGTAAATGTTAGAACTCCAGCTGGCTTTCCATCTCTCCTTTTGTGCCTTGGAGAGAGCAACCATGGCAGAATTCCCTCTGTGAACAAAGGAAGTCTACGCTTATCTGAGCTATGGATAGAATCAGAATGTTGCTCATAGGCAGTCCCTTAAATATCCTCCAAGTCCAGTGAAGTGTTAAGGAAGTGAATAAGTCGGAGTCTATGAGGTAGGGCCCCAGTGGGAAACAAATGGCATAGTCAAATAGAATAATGAGGAGAGTTTTGATGAGGGAATCGTTGACAGAGGGTGCAAGAAAACTATAAAAGCGGTAACAGTACCGTGATGTTAGTGCCAGCAGAGCTGTTCCCACTTCTTAGCTGGAAGGGGACAATGGGAGGGAACTGTTATCAGAACCTGGAAAGACTTACAGAGAGGGCCACCTTCTTAGGAGCTGTGGTTTTTGTTTAAGGTGACAGCCAGTCCAAAGTGATCCCTTTGAGAAGGAACCCAATGGAATAAAATACCCCAGTCTCCCTTTCCTACCCCCAACCCCTGCCCCATGTCCTGCCCGTGCTCCCCATTGGCTGATCCCAACAGGAAGCCAGAAAGCAAGGGAGTTCTCCAAGGCATCCCAAATGCTCAGTCTTCTGAGAAAAGAGTGTGGTGGAAAAAATAAAAGCTGAGTGTACATCTGGAGGAGAAAACAGAAGGGCTCCAATACTGCTGGGATCAGAATCCTGTGTTCAAAGTCAGCTCTGTCTTAACCTTGATTAACCTTGATCAAGCTATTTAATCTCTGGGCCTCTGTTTCCTTATCACTCAGAGATTGAACAACAACAAAAAAAGCCCTCCTCACAATTTTTCTGGTCAAAATACGCTATTTTAAGATATACATCATGATTTGATTAATTGGCTAGGAAGAGCAAAGAAAGGAAGAAAAAGAAAAGAAAAAAGAAGAAAGCATTGAAGTTTAAATGAGCAGAAAAAGACAACGTATTTAGATGTATATAACCATACAAATAAAATGTCATTTATGGAGCTATTATACTTCACGAAGTCTATAGTAGCAGCTTTGCACACATTTAATTCTCACTGAATTAATAGGTGGTAATCTTAAACCCATTGTACTGAAGACTAAGCTCAACTTATAGCCCTGTTATTATAAATATGACCTTTAAAAATGCTTACCAGCTAGTCATTAACATCCAATTTTAGAAAAGAAAGAAAATGGCAGAGTACTGGTTTTTAGTAAGAAACTCATAAAACTACAGTATAGAGAAAGGTACATTTTCTTAAGACCTCTGTATTTACCAGGATTGGTGAAGTTCAAGAATGTTAATTCACCAGAGAGGGTCACTCTCATAAGTGCTTTAGAGGCCTGTAAGCAAAGCTATTGATTTCTTCTTCTGCAAGACTTTATTTACAAGTTTATTAACATGATCAACATCAAAGTAACTTGTGTCTCAGGAACCACAGTTGTAACAAGAAAGCAGTTTCTCAGGAGATTGCAGGTTTAATCACATAATTTGGAGGCCTTTCAACTCTTTTCCATTCCCAAACTAGGTGGATTTTATCTTCAACTCGCATCGCATTTGGAAAACTGGCCTCATGGGATCTAGCAATGTGCTCTTTAATAAAGACCACTATGGTGGCAAGAATGAAGGACACCTTGCTGACTCATCCATGAATAGAATAATAAGAAAGTTCTAATAACCAAAACCACAATGAGATACCATCTCATGCCAGTCAGAATGGCAATTATTAAAAAGTCAAGAAACAATAGATGCTGGTGAGGTTATGGAGAAAAAGTAACACTTTTACACTCTTGGTGGAAGTATAAATTAGTTCAACCATTGTGGAAGACAGCGTGGTGATTCCTCAAAGACCTAGAGGCAGAAATACCATTTGACTCAGCAATCCCATTACTGGGTATATACCCCAAGAAATATAAATCATTCTATTATAAAGATGCATGCATACGTATGTTCATTGCAGCACTATTCACTACAGCAAAGACACGGAATCAATCCAAATGCCCATCAGTGATAGATTAGATAAAGAAAATCTGGTACATACACACCATGAAATTCTATGCAGCCATAAAAAGGAAAGAGATAATGTCCTCTGCAGGAACGTGGATGGAGCTGGAAGTCATTATCCTCAGCAAACTAACGCAAGAACAAAAAAACAAACACCACACGTTCTCACTTGTAAGCGGGAGCTGAACAATGGGAACACATGGACACATGGTGGTGGAGGTGGGGTGTGGAGCAACACACACTGAGGCCTGTCAGGGGATGTTGGGAGGAGGCAGAGGATGAAGAAGACAAGCTAGTGGATTCTGGGCTTAATACCCAGGTGATGGGATGATCTGTGCAGCAAACCACCATGGCACACGTTTGCCTATGTAACAAACCTGCACATCCTGCACGTGTTCCCCGGAAATTAAAATAAAAGTTAAAGATTAAAAAAAAAAAGTACACACTGTTTTGCTATTCATGAAAATACATTGACTTTGGTTCGCATGCTTTATAACTGGTGGAAAATTCATCACCATGACTCACCTTCTTCTAACATAGGGCCCTGAAGTTCCCAAGAGCTTTTGCCTCCTAATCTCAGGAAATCCACACCACAGCCATGTGATGAGTATGTTCCTCCTGCCTCCGCTTGTGAGAGAGGTTGAGGGATGTGTCTAAGGTGGTGTCCTTAAGCATGTCTTCTTGTTAAGAAGCCGAATCTGAGCTCCACCTTAACCTCTTCAGTCAGAATCTTGGGGCGCTGAACAAGTTCTTCAGGTGATTCCAATTGATGCTCAAGTTGAAGAATTACTATTCTATACCAGATTTCTTAAATTTACCTGATAAAACTCACCTGGGATGTTCTTCTTCAACCAGGGCTTCCAGCTGGCCAAATTGGTAGCCTCTGAAAGTCCCTCCCACAGAAAGTCTGGTCTCAGTGGTTCTCAGATGGTGTTACAGACTGAATTGTGTGTCCCCAAACTTCATATGTTGTAATCCTAACCCAATGACTGCATTTGGAGACAGGAACTTTAAAGAGGTAATTAAGTGAAAATGGGACCATTAGAGTATACTTTAATTCAATACAACCGATATTCTTACTAAAAGAGGTGATTAGGACACATAGACACACCATGGGCACACAGATACAGAGACACAACCATGTAAAGAGGCGGTGAGAGGGCAGCTGTCTGCTAGTCAGAGAGGGAAATCTGAGAAGAAAACCAACCTGCTGATACCTTGGTCTTGGGCTTCCAGCCTCTAGAACTGTGAGAGTATACATTCCCATTATTTAAGCCATTCAAACTACAGTACTTTGTTATGGCAAAGTATCTATATTTTCAATAGGCGCCACAGGTGGTTCTTCTATTCCAGCCAAGCTCAACAAATATCTCTGCTCACACTTTCCTTTTGGATGTGGTCTTTAGAACAGCAGCTTTAACATAGCAACGACTGACTCAGAGTCTGCATTCTTTTTTTTTCTTTTTTTTTTTTTTTTTTTTTCAGACGGAGTCTCGCTCTGTCGCCCAGGCTGGAGTGCAGTGGCGGGACCTCGGCTCACTGCAAGCTCCGCCTCCCGGGTTCACGCCATTCTCCTGCCTCAGCCTCCCAAGTAGCTGGGACTACAGGCGCCCGCCACTACGCCCGGCTAATTTTTTGTATTTTTAGTAGAGACGGGGTTTCACCGTTTTAGCCGGGATGGTCTCGATCTCCTGACCTCGTGATCCGCCCGCCTCGGCCTCCCAAAGTGCTGGGATTACAGGCGTGAGCCACCGCGCCCCAGAGTCTGCATTCTAACAAAATTCCCAGCTGACTTATATACAGAGTAAAGTTTGAGAAGCATTGCCCTGCACCACAATCTACAGTTGTTATATTTAGCAAACAGATATTTGCAATATTTGAGACGTATTCATACATATATACATACACCTATAAGTATACATATTTATACTAAAATATTCATCATTTATCTGAAATTCAAATTTATCTGGGCGTCCTGTATTTTAACAGGCAACCCTACCACAACATCCTCTCTCAGAGTGTAGAAGGAAACTGGATTGGTTCACCAGAATGATGTCAGAACAAGACGGCCAAAGACTCAACTTTGGTTTCTGAAAGCATCCTTCAGTATCGTGTGTTTCTTATTCCCAAATTGAATAATGTAACAACACTGGAAAGGACATTTCCATTAGTTAAAAAAATAGCAAAACCTGATGATATTGTCTAATCTTCAGGTACTGAAATTTCTCACTGGAAACATCTGTATCAATTCTCACCCTTAAAACTGACAGCTTGTTTTCTGGAAGGCAGCCCTGAATTCAGAGCTCCTTATCACCCAAACATTCTCAGCAATACCACGTGGTTATTTTTTGTTGATAGTGCCATATCTCTCAAAGTTAAAATACCAGGTCATTTATTTTGTTACTTCTAAAAAAAAGTCACAGAATGCTAGCACTTGGCTCAGCTACCTGCTATCAGTGTCAACCTTGGCAAGTTACTTAAACTCTCTGAGCCTTGATTTCCTCATGTATAAAATATGGGTATCTAGTACACACAGTAGTTGTGAGGGTTGAGTAAGTTACTGTGTGTGGTCGGAAGAGTGCTTGGTACAACTGTAATTGCTATGAAGTGTTACCTATTACTAACAAGGAAGTGGAAGTTCCCAGATAAGACTTTTTTCAAGCATAGTCCCTGAATCCCTTAGGGTCCCTAAGTCAGAATCCCTTAGGGTGCCTGTTAAGAAATATATACAATGGAATACTACTGGGCCATAAAAATGAATGAAATCATGTTTTCCTTTGCAGTAACATGAATGGAACTGGAGACCATCAGAAACAGAAAGTCAAACGCTGCCTGTTCTTATGTATAAGTAGGAGCTAAATAATGTATACACGTGGACATAGAGTATGGAATGATAGAATTGGAGACTCTGAAGGTTGGGGAGGGTGAGAGATGAGAAATTCATTAATGAGTACAGACATCACCACTATGCAATATATCCAGGTAACAAAAAGACACTTGGACCCCCTAAATTTATACAAATTTTTTTAAAACAAATTTAAAAAGTAGATTCCTGGGTCTCATCTACTGAATCAGAATCTCAGAGATCTCTGGTTATTACAAGTATCCCTCACCCCAAAAGTGTTCCTTAAGTACATGAAAGTTTGAGAGGCCTGTTGTGGAAATTAGGAGACCTGCCCACTTCTCAGTGGCAGTATCTTTGCTACCCAGTAGTGTATGAAATAGACAGGTGCATGATAAAGGACTCAGCGCATTCCACTAGAGGGCGAAATACAATGGAAATTTAAGTGGTTTTTCCAAGGTAGCAAGTTACCCTAGTAACAGGCAGAACCAGGATTTCAATGCATATCTCTAACTATAAAGGTCTGCTGTCATCCACCCCACCAGCAGGAACACAAATCTATCCAGGAGACGCTTACCTGCATCTGACGATAGAGGAGAATGAAGTCTTCCAAAATTGCCTCTTCTCTGAAGAGACTTTGTACTGAACGGTGGACCCCAACATCCCTGTGGAAAGGGTGGGGCCTCCCAAGTGCCCTGCTAGAGCCAGCCTTGACAATGAAGGGCATCTATCTGCTGAGGAGAGCCTCACTTTGGAGCAGCCCACACCTGCAAGCAAAGGGCTCACACATCCTGGAAGAAGCCTGCAACCAGGATGGGCCTTTTAATCCAACGATTTCACATCCGAGAATTTTCTTTGAGAAACAGGAGTTTTTAATGTTTACAAGAGGAGAAGATCAACAGCTCAGTCTCTTCAGCAAGTCAATGTTAAAGAGGAGAACAAAGGCGGAAGGGATTGCTCTTGATGGAAAGACACTTAAGAGATGCAACAATCAAACGTAATAACTGGTCCTTGGTTGGATCCTAATTTGAAAAACATTCTCACTCATAAGTGGGAGTTAAACAATCAGAACACATGGACACAGGGAAGGGAACATCACACACTGGGGCCTGTCAGGGGATGGGGGCTAGGGGAAGGATAGCATTAGGAGAAATACCTAATGTAGATGATGGATTGATGGGTGCAGCAAACCACCATGGCACATGTATACCTATGTAACAAACCTGTACGTTCTGCACATGTATCCCAGAACTTAAAGTATAATAATAAAAAAAATCAAAAAAAAGTAAAAATTAAAAGTTGGTGTTCAATGTAAAAAAAAAAAAAGCTGAAAATGGCATTTTGGACCATTGGGAATTTTTTAAATGGATCGTATATTAGATATTAGGGAATTGCACTTAATTTTGTTAGGTACAATAATTATACAGGAGAAGTTCTCATTTTTATGAGACACAGATTTACAGTAGTAGGGTGAAATGTTATGATGCATATGTTTTATTTTAAAATACTTAAGAAAAACAAACACCAAGCAAGTATGGCAGAATGTAATCAGGCTGAATATACTTGCTAGCTACATGTTTGTGTTCATTGTACTACGCTTTCTAATTTGCTGTGGGTTTGAAATTTTCATAATAAAAAGTAAATTTAAAATTACTGAATGGGACATTTGGGGCCAGTAAGTCCACTTCTAGAAACTTGTCAATATTCATTTGTTTATTGAAAAAATATTCCAAGCAATAAGAAAATATTTAGACAAGTACTTGAGTATTGCAGGGCTATACATAATAGGTAAAACTTTAAAAAAAAAGCTAAATATCCATCAATTAGAAGCTGTTAAACAAATAGGCAAATTGTAATTCATGTTCACAATGAAAGGATGTGCATCTCATAAACAAAATGATACAAGTTTCTGCTTCCAGAGTCATATAGGAAGGTATTCAAGATAAATTCATTAAGTGAAAAAAGCAGCTACATACCAGCATGCATGCTGTTTTGCAAATGATCCCATTTTGTGAAAAGAATCATGTATTTATTTAATAGTGATTTTACAAGCTAATGTGCATTGAGAACTTACTATTTTCCAGCCCCTGTGCCACATTATAGGATTATTTTAGTATCGTCCCAGTTTTCCAGACTAGGAAGTTGAGGCACAGAGTGGTTATGTAATTTGCCCAAGAGATCATACAGCTAAAAGAGACAGAACTGGGATTTCAACCAGGTTTGTGGGATTTTCAAGCCCAAAGCCCTTACTCACTGCACTGCTCTCCACCCAGGAAGACAACATACCCAACACCAGCACATTAATATGGATTCCGATTGTGTGGTGGAATGATGGGGAATTGTTTTTTGTTATGCTTCCGTGTAGCTTTTCCTTTTTTCTATAAGATGTATTACCTGGAGCTCTTTTCATAAGTTCCGGAACAAATCATAAAAAAGATGGGGAAAAAAATGCAACAATGAGCAGAATTTTCTGGATCTGGGCCCAGATATCCATCATCATCTGGCTGTGTAATGCTGTCTGCTTACTCTGCTACTACCCTGGGAGACTGTTTCTAGTTACCTTCTCTACATTTCTTTCTGCATTTGCTTGTGCCTGGCTTACACTGAGAGTGCAATCTGTCTCATTTTGTCGAGCCTTCTTGCCTTGATAAACTTCCCTTGTAATAATATCTTCTACTTTATTGTAGATTGTATTTTCCAAAGATGGTGATAACAGTATCTCCCATCCCACATGCTGTGAATATATGACTTTGCCACTCCTGTATAAAGATATGTTGTCTATATCCCTTCCCCTTGAACCCAGTGGAAATTTGTGACTGCCTCTATCAGTAGTATACATGGCAGAAGTGATCCTATATGACTTCCAAGGCTAGATCATAAAAGATAACACAGCTTCTACCTAATTATTTCTTTTCAGGGATGCTTGCTCTTGGAAGTTGGCCACCATGCTGTAAGGAAGTCCAGGCCACATGGAGAAGCCATGTATAGATGTTCGAGCCAACAATCCCAGCTGAGGTCCTAACCAAAAGCCGTCATCAACCACCAGATACATAAGTGAGACCTTGAGATGACTCTAGCCTAAGCAGTATCAGACTGAAACTACAAGAGAGATTTGAGCAAGAAGCACCAAGTTGAGCCCAGTCCACCTCCAGAACCTTAACAGATAATAATATATTGTTATTTTACATCACTAAGTTTAGAGTGTTTTGTTACACTGAAATAGATAACTGATACATAGTTGGATAGTACATTGTAATTTATAAAGCACTTTTACTTTCATTCTCATAACTCTCACAATCTTGTGGATGTAGATAAGAAGATTCTTTATGCAGAGGAAAAAGCTGGAGCTCTGAGAGTTAGGAATCTGGGATTATAAATATGAGAGAACTGGCCTATATCCTATTTCAGGTACTATTAATAGCTACATGCTCTTAGACAGTTTACTTAAATTTTGAAAGACTGTTTCTTTATCTGTAAAATGGGTATAATGTTACCAACCTTACAGGGCTGAGCAATGGGTTGTCTAATGCATGTGAAGTCATTAGCACCACCTCATCTCAATAAATGTTTCTGGTTTGGGGGCCCAATACCTTGGAGGTAGTCTTGACTCCTTTTTTTATCCCTCACATTAAACCCTCAGCATATTGTAGCAGCTCCAGCTTCAGAATACATGAAGAACCCCATGACTTCTCCCAATCTCCACTGGTCCAAGCCCCTATCATCCCTCCCCTTCACTAGGGCAATTGTCCCTATGATCTTCCTGCTCTACCCTTGCCTCCACATGAGTCTGTTTTCCATACAGCTGCAGAAGTGACCCAGCAATCATGGGATCGGGTTGTGTCATGCCTATGGCTTCCCATTCAGCATATTCTAGCCGCTCCAGCTGCAGAATACATGAAGAACCACATGCCTCCTCATTCCACTCAGAGCAAAAAGTCCCAACAGGAAACAGCCAGGCCTGTGTGCATAATCTGCTCCCTGTTATCTCTCCCACCTCATCTTCTTCCACTTTTTCCCCTTGCTCGCTCCCCTTCTGCCTTGCTGGCCTCCTTACTTCTCAAAAGGACCAGGCCTGTTCCAGCCTCAGGTCCTTTGCAGTTGCTCTTCCCTGTACCTGAGAGACTTTTTCTCCAGGCATCTACCGGGCTCATCCATCCCTTCTTTGGAGACTTTACTCAAATGGTAGCTCTTACTAAGGCTTTCAAAGACCATCTTATTTAAAACTGCCACCTTCCAGTACTCCAGCACTCCCATCCTCCTCCCTAATTTACTTTCTCTCTAGTGCTCATCATCATCAGACATTCCATATGCTTCGACTTATTTATCTGTCTGTCTCCAACGATACCCAATAGAGAGTGGCTTTATGAGAGCAAAAATCTCTGTCATTTTTTTTTGTTACTTAAGTCTGAGAACCTAGAACAGTGTATTTGTTCATCATAAATGAGTGCTTGACAACTGATTTAAAATTTTCTTAAAGGATAGCTATTGTCATATTATTAGAATTGAAACCCAAGTTTTCTGACTTCTACCTGTATATCCACTTAGTGGGTTGAATAATTGGCATCCTCAAAAGATATGCCACCTCCTAAACCTCATAACCTGTGAAAGTGGCCTTTTTTGGTAAAAAGGTCTTGGCAGATGTAATTAAGGATTTTAAGATGAAATCATCCTGAATTTAGCATGATCCCTAAATCCAATGACAGATTTCCTTATAAGAAGAAAAAAGGCATAGAGATTCAAGAGGAGATGACCATGTAAAGAGGGAGGCAGAGATTGGAGTAATGCATCTGCAAGTCAAGAAACATGAAGGACTGCCATGCAGCCACCAAAAGCTAGGAGAGAGACATGAACTGATTCCTTCTCAGAGCCTCCAGAAGGAACCAACCCTGCCAGCACCTTCATTTTGGACTTCTAGCTTCTACAACTATAAGAGATTACATTTCTGTTATAAGCCCAGTTTTGTTACAGCAGCTCTCAGAAACTAATACATCTGCTACACCCTGATGTCTCCTTGGAGACCAAATTGGTCTCCAACTCAGCCTGGCAATCTAGACTTGAGCTTATTCTGCCGTCAGGCCTCATTGTAAACTGTATGCCATTTTTCCATGTGGACAAGCACCTTGGCACAGCCTCTACTGTAGTCTGGGTACCACGTTGGCCACTTCTCTCACCAGCCCAGTCTGACCTCTGATCTTGATGCTTCCCAGCTTCTCCTGACCATGGTTCAGTGCTGCTGCACGTGGCTGATAAGGTTCCTTGGTCCTGCCTGTGTGCCTGTATTTCCAATTAACATCTCTAGACCTAAGTGGGCTGCACAAAATACAGCATTCAGAACCAGAACAAATTGTCTTTTGAGTCCCAGCCAACTGTCTGTGGATCACCCAGGGCTCCATACCAGCTGGTGATCTCACTGCCCCTCTGAACCTTCTGGCCAGACTGCATTAATAAACTGCTGAAAGAACCTTGGGTTCCTGTAACTTTTTCCAGGCTGATGTCTACTGTGATGTTTAATTTATGTTGTTAAGAAATAGAAGAAGTGCACTCCTTCCTGCTTAAAATGTTTATGTCAGCCGAGATCTGGCACTGTTTTTCCTGTATCATGAAGAAAGAGCATTAGGAGGAAGATTTTCTCTCTGAATCCAGAAAGGTTTAGCAACATCCTCCTCCAAACAGGTTGGGACAACATCATTTCAGATTTCCCAAAACTTCTGGATAGATGTGGACTCCCTTGCACAAACTGGTACCCAAATGTCAAAACTTCTTTCTTCTTAACCTGCAAACAGGGATTGGCAACTAAACAGATAGATTTCAAAATATCTTCTGTTTCCTGTTAACCAAGTTGTCATGCTCCCAACCTACCCTAATTTGTCAACTCTTCCCTCAATTCAGGCAAGATGAAGCAAGGGACACCCACTTCCTTCCCACCTCCTCCACCCACCTCCTTCCTTTACTCATTCACTAAGAGGGAAGCCTTCACTTTAAAAATAGAATTAAAAAAATATAAGAGCAGAGCTCTCAAGCACTCATCAAAGGGAGGTTTTTATCTCTGAATAGATGAAGGCTAAGAAAAATAGTTTTCTATCTAGGTTGAAGATTTTTCAACACAAAAAGAAATTCCATTCAATTGGCCCAAGATGTATTGAGTATTTATGTACCTAGAGTAGTATGTTTATGAAAGGCCTGCTCCCCCTAGCATGTTAAGTTCCTCGAGGGCAGGGATTTTTCTCTATGTTCACTAGAGATACTGCTTCTAATGGTCCTGGTGCATAGTCGGTGCTCAATAAATACATGAAGAATATTGAATGAAGAATGTTGAATCCTTAGGGAAGAAAGCAACTGGAGATTCTGGGAGAAACTTCTGAGAGGATCCTAAAATTCCAAAGCAGCCAGGCCTTCTGGGATGATCTAGTCTATACCTGAATTTTTATTAATGTTAATAATAGCCAGGGCTTATTATTGAGTGCCAAGCACTAAGCTGAGCTCCTTGGTTTCATTTCCTTATTGAATTATGTTGCTCTCCTTCTTATTCATATGAGGAGACAGGTGATCAAGGAAAGTAAGTAACTAATCTTAGGTCACACAGCTAATGAATGGCCAAGCCAGGATTCACACCCAGGTTTTTGAGGCCAGTGCCTAGACTCCAATTCTTTGGTATATTGCCACTTTTTATAGTTCAGTAAACTGAGGCCTAAAAAGTGGAAGAGGGTACCCTAGTTTGCACACCTCAAAAGTAGCATGGAGAACTTAAACTTGGCATTATTGGCATCCTAACTCAGTGTTCTTGCTATAACACCACACTGCCTCTTATCGCTAATAAAACCAGGAATTTTAAAACTTTAGCTCTTCTCATAAAAATGTTTTCTCATCCTGATACTCTTCCCTTTGGTACTTGGAAAGAAATCTGGTTGGTATCTTTAAAAAAGAAAACTTTTAAAGAATCAAAAAATTCTTTTGAGAAAAAGCAACATGTTTGATGACCAAAAGAAAAAAGGCTTTTATTCACATGGAAAAAGTTAACCTGCTTAAAATATTAATATAGTGTTTATATACTGCCTTTCTTCCAGGAACTGAATGAGTTTAATATAGCTCATTAATTCCTAGACTATTTCTGTGAGAGAAGAGAACAAGCATCATTATGTATATTTTAATATGAGGAAACTGAAGCATAGAACCAACTGGAGAGTTGGGAAATGGAGTGAATTTGTATTCCAAGCCAAATGCGAAAGACATGATCATTAAGTCAAGCTACAGCTAGAATGTTTGTTGAATGTGGATCATTTCTGTGAAGGATGTTGGTCTTTGTTGAGGTGCCTTGAGAAGCCTATGGCATGATAGCTTTAATCAGTCAGCCCTATGATTAATACAGCATTTTCTTGAAGTGACGATTTTTAAAACATGAGTCTCAAATTTGAGAATGTATCAGAATCACCAGGATGGAGAAAACACACATTGCTAAATCCCGTCTCCAAAGTTTCTGATTCACTCGCTCTGAGCAGTGGCTAAGAGTCTGCAGTTCTCACAAGTCCCCAGGCCATGCTGCTGCTGCTGGTCCATAAACACGCTTTGAGAACCACCCAACTATAGTGACTCGCCATTGCAGATGGCCCTGCCGGAGGTCAGCACACAGACTCTGCAATGAAAGCTGTCCAGGTTTGAATCCTGTTCTGCCACTTCCTAGCTAAATGACCACTGATAATTCATATGACTTGCTATTTTGTATTACAATTGATTTCTTTTGAAAAAAAAATCAGGCTTATGATAATTCTACGCAGCATGCAGCAGATAGAAAGTGTTCAATAATTGTTAGCTACCCTCCTATTTTGTCATGACTCAGGCTACAGGCTTAGAAACCTTCCCTGATGCTACAGAAACCCTCACTAACAAGGTATCATAAATTAGGAAATATCCCTCCCAAGAAGTTGGGCAGTCCCTAGGGAAATTAACCTCAGGCAGAAATCTTAATTATGGGAATGATCATGAAATTTGCAAGGCCTGATACTTTGATCAACAGGGAATATTATTTTAGGGCATGAACTCACAAGGTTTCCTTTAAAAGTCCTATTAGCAAGGGTAGAGATATGAACTTTGATATATTTCCAGAGAGTTAAGTATTGTAACAAATTATCAAATTTTAGTGATGCTGGTGAGGATAACTATGTTTGATGGAGGTGTATTCAGAAATACTTAGTCTGAATTCTAATGAAAGAGATTTTCCTCCATTCCTAGGTTGCATTTGTTCCCCGCTCAGAAGAAAGGATTCTGTGTATGTGCTGAATGATAATAGTATGTTAAAAATTTTACCCAAGTTTTAACAATCCTTCCAGAGAAATAGAGGATTTATTCTCCGTATTTAAATCAAATCACCAACAGAATGTAACAGAAATGATGATGTGCCTGTTCTGTGCCTGTCTTAAGAATGTATATCATCCTCTGCTTTTGCACTCTGGGGAAGGCCAGCTACCATGTAAGATCTGAATATCCTAAAAGTGCCAGGCTGTGCTAAGTCCAACCTAATCGTGTGAACTGAGTCCCAGATCAGGAGCTCCAGTCAATACCCCAGCCAACAGGCAGCTCTGATTTCCCTGCCATGTGGCTGAGGCTATCTTGGAAGCAGATTCTCCAGCCTTCAACAAGCTGCCCCAGCTGATGCAGTTTGGGACCAAATAAATAAAATGGTTATTGTCTTAAGCCACCTAGTCCAGTGTGGCTTCATTCATGAAGCAGCAACAAATAAGCGGAATAGCTAACTTAAAGAATAGCCCGGTGCTGTTTATTATAGGCACTCTGCATAAAAGTTCATCTTGATGCAGCCCCAACCAGCCCACAGTGATTTATTGGTGCTTTGTAAAACATATTGATTCCAAATAAACAATTATGCATGTTATTTGATACCAGTTACTAATAACAATTTTTTTACTGTTCTGTTCACAACTTTTTGATTTTTACATCAAGGAAGAAGGGCAAGGGAAATTCTCTTTCTTGATCTTGACTGTGACACCATGATGATCTAGACCTAACATTTCGTTACTTCTCATGTTCATTTTTATCATAAAAACATCAGAAAAAAAAGCTAACTGGTCAAAAGTACAAAGATGATGACTTAATTGACCAGATGGTTTCATGTGTATTTAAAACTACATGCACCCCAATGCATTTGAGGGCTGATGATAAAAAGATACTGACTGCACAGCGACACTTTCCATCCTCCAGCCTTACATCACTTGCCTTGGCAGAACCACACATTTCTATAGGTGATGGGGACCACTGCACACAGTCAAAATATCTAAGTTTGGTCATTGCCATTCACTTTTACCACTGCACTTCCCAAAATGAGAGAACACACACAAAATCCAAATGCATAGATGAGCAAATTGCTGCTTCATAAATCTTTCATAAGATCTAATTTTGTTCTATTTTAAGCCCTGAATGAAAACTCATACATATCCAGTTGTAACAGCCTGAGACTTCTCTTAAAAGAGGGTTAATTCTCAATGGAACCATTTCTCCAGATTTCATATTCCCTCTAAATCTTTCTTTTCCCCCAGAGAATAGCAGGTGGTTACATCAACGGTTTGCTATGCTAAGGAGACTAGAATATGTATGAAGGTTGTGTGTTTACTTTTGCAACTGTGGGGCTTTCCAAAACTTCTGCAAACAGGTACTTTAACCTCATGAAAGGTTTCATGAGAATTGAATACAGAGAGACATACACCTGCAAAAGAAATGAATTGTACTATTTGCATAGTACATTTGTCTTCTGCTGCCTACAGGGATGAAGGAAGGTAAGCACTCTGGGAAGGGAATTGTGCTTAGACTGCAGTTAATTCCATGGCTTCCTGGCAAGTTATTGCATGTTGGAAGCTCAGTATTCCCATCTATACAAGACAACAGAAATGCCTCCCCATGAATGAAGCAAAATAAATGAAATGTTTGGAAAAGCACATTGATATGAACTCTACACAGGCAAAGAACTATCATAATGATATTATTATTATTATTATTGTCTTAATTACCTCTAAATATTAAGAATCATTATCATTGTTGGTTATCTGTTTTGCACTCCTTGAAAGATTATCTTTACTACAGTAGTAGTTGTATGACCTTACACAAGTTAATTTTTCATCCCTAAGGCTCTCTTTTTTCCTCACCCAATATGGCAGAGTTGTGAAGATTACACGAAATAACCTTGGAGTGCATCGCCACCACTTTAGCACTCTATCCTGGGAGCCAATGCTGATTCAAGACCCTGAGTGCTTCAACCAGGGTTGCACCACCACAGCAGATTCCCCCAGTTTTATTCTTCTTGCTTCTGGCTCCCAGAATGAGGCAGCTGCTGTCAATACCCTGCCCACCTCATATCTCCGCAGCACAGCTCTGAGCTGACCTGCCATCATGTCCATCATCATGCCATCATCTTCCCTCTCTTTCTACTTTGCCACCTGAAGACTTTATGTACCCAAGAGCTCCACTAGCCTGTGTGCCGGGAAAAATCTCAACCAATGATGAGTGGAAGTTGGTGAATAAATAGCCCCGCTTCTCACTGCAGCACTTCTACTATGCTTTCTAGAAGATTTTTGATGATTCTCGGGAAGATTGAGACCCACCTGTCTACAGCAGTAACCCACTCATTAACATTCCTTTTAACAGGCTTCACTCTCTCCCCTCCTTCGCCTTCCCCATTCCTTCACTTGAGCTTCCTGGTTGACTTCCAAAACAAACACATGAGCCAAAGACCTTGTTTCAAGGTCTGCTAGTGGGAGATCCTAAGTCACCAAAGCCTGGGATGGATGTGCCTGACTTGCCAAGCCTATCATTAGCCCTTGCCCTGACTGTACAACAGCCCTTGCCAGAATAAGTGAGTGCCTGGCATTTTCAGCTTCTATAGTGACAGTAATTCTATAAGCTCTGTCTCTGTATTATCTTTATTTTCTATACTCTTCAAATATCAAAATATTTTTAGATACATACAATAAAAAATTATAAATATCTGCTACTCGATATTTCTTTCATCAAGAGAAGGAACGACACCTAGCTTTGTATTTGTATTTCTCTGGCGTGTAAATATATTGTAAAAACTCAAACATCATCTTTGTCTCTACTGCATGGTTCTCAACATCTGTTTATGAGCCCTCATAGTCCATGAGCCCCCCATGAGATTTCTGGGGCTTTTTGATCTTATGTTACATTCAACCAGCAGGTCCACTCTTTGATAATCCAAAGACTAGAAAAGAAATTGAGACACTGTCTTTAGCTCTTAACTTGCCCACAATCAAGTTAAGAAGACAATCATTTGCATAAATAATTCTGATTTAAGATGAACTCTGGCTAATGCTGCAATGCAAGTACAAAAGACAGGATACTGGGGAAAGGAAGGATTCACTTCCAATGAGGGAATCAGGAAAAGATTGGGCATTTAGCCATTTACAGATTCAATGCCATCTCTCAGACTAAGGCAACATGGCCAGCAAAACCATAGCACTAATCTGAAAACGTGCAAAAGTTGCTTTTGGCCCTGTGAGCAATCTGTAGCTACAAGAGTGCTCCTGTGAGTGACATGGTTTGTTATAGATTTACAGGGAGCTCCTCTAGGGAAGTGCATCTAGCAGTTATCCAAGTATGTACAAGTAAGCACAAGGTCAGAACCAGGTCAAGTAGGGAAGATGGCCACGTACTTGACACAACATTGAGACTCTTGCAGGACAGGGAATTTGTTCAGGAGATTTGCACTCACGGTCATATCCCATGTATCTTCTTCATATTTGGGGAGAAGCAGCTTTTTATTGGCAAAGGCAGGGCTGGTCCATGTTGGTCGGCAATGTTTTCTCTTTTTCAATAGCCATAGTTTACAACTGAAATATCAGGAGCTTGTTACACATAATGCTTTGGCAACCCTTGTACAGCACTACGCAAATGTCATATGATAGCATTTCTGTAATTGTCATATTTCAATTGCTGGTGTATCTTCTTATATCTAATTCTAACATATAACATAACATTTGATATCCATGTGAGAGTTTGATGGCTTTGGAGGCAAGGAACAGAAAACCCATCTCAAACCAGCTTAAACAACAAGGAAATTTACTGGCTTACATATCTGAAAATTCTAGAGATAGGGAAGACTAATTAAGGCCTGAATTCAGTTTCTTTGTGATTCTCTTGGCTGTCTCTCTTCTCTCTTAGCTTCATTCTTGAGCTGATAGTGAGAAAGCTGCCTTAGTTCTAACATGGTGATGTCCTTGGTGGAGAGAAGCCATCTTTTCCTGTGGCTTTCACTTTTCCAAATGCTCCCTGTAAACATTGTGTCTTGTCTCCTTCTCCTGGACTGAGATGCACACTCTTTCCTAAGCCAATTCTTCTGTGCAGCAATTCGTCCTGTTGGTTGTCCTGGATTCCTATACCAGTTACTCTCAAGGAGACAGGAAACAAATCAGACCCATCCTGAAGCTGGGGACAGGCTCCCCTCCCCTGAAGCATTTGTTGCTGATATGGTTTGGCTGTGTCCCCACCCAAATCTCATCTTGAATTGTAGCTCCCATAATTCCCACGTGTTGTGGGACGGACCCAGTGAGAGATCATTGAATCATGGGAGCTGTTTCCCCCATACTGTTCTTGCGGTAGTGAATAAGTCTCACGAGATCTGATGGTTTTATAAGGGGAAACCCCTTTCACTTGGTTCTCATCCTCTCTTGCCTGCCTTTCACCTCACCATGATTGTGAGGCCTCCCTGGCCACGTGGAACTGTGAGTTCATTAAACCTCTTTCCTTTATAAATTATCCAGTCTTGGGTATGTCTTTATCAGCAGTGGGAAAACAGGCTAATACAGTTGCCACAAGGGGGAAATCTAAATACCCAGAGTAAGTCAGGAAAGAAGGAGTGAATTACAAACTGCATCCACCATGTTAGTAGAGATTAAATGGCTTAAGATAGGTAGAGCACTTGGATAATAACTGTGATATGGAAAAATGCTTAAATAATATTAACCGCTCTTTTTGGAATGTTAAAATTACTAAGTAATCTATTTTTCTAAATACAATTCTAGAAATTCAGGCAAAGAGAAATTGGTGTCTAACCAAAAAAAAACTATGATCTTACATAAACAATTTTATAGATTTTTTACTTGACCAATGATTAGGTATTATATATTTTCCAGTAGAATTTTAGTCAATCAGTATGTTTTAATATCTGCACCATGAAAGACACAATTACAAATGCTACCTGAGACATTAAGTGTAAAAATATAGCTTCTTCTAGACACTTGGAAGCTAACACATAACATACATACCATATCAGTGTACAATAACACTGAAGGAATCAATATTCAATAATAAGTGAAATACTAATATTTATATGTAATATAAATATGTATATATAATCGATTTCTATAATAATAGAAATATAGAATAAGTGTTTCAGTACTACAGTGTTTAAGAGCCTGGTCTTTAATGCCATGCAACATATGGTTTGAAGTCTTGCCCTAGCATTGGCATCTGAGTGATACTGAGAAACTTGTTAATCCTTCCCTAGCTTTCTGTACCTATCTCATTGGACTATTGTAAGGGTTAAATTAAATGAGCTGATGCAAATAATTGTTGTCACTGCATCTGGCACACATTACATACTCCAAAAACATGAGCTACCCTTAGAATCACCATCCTCATAATGAGTCAGGTTTATAAATTTGATCTCAGTTTTAAAGGAAGTGTATGAAGTTGAAAGGTAAAAAATAAATAAATAAATAAAAATAGGAGATAGCTGACCACGTAATCACAAGTCACACTTGGGAACTCAGTGAACAGCCAAACTGGGGCAGGAGAAGACTCCAGGTAATAACAGGTCATATTTGTACAACATCATCTCACTGAATCCTCACCCCTTTTAAATTCAAGAAAGAAGAACAGTACCTAAGGTACTGAAGGTGCCCTGTGAGTAACTGTTGAATGGGTGATGATAGAATAAAAATAAAATAGTTGGCCGGGCGCAGTGGCTCATGCCTGTAATCCCAGCACTTTGGGAGGCTGAGGCGGGCAGATCACGAGATCAGGAGATCGAGACCATCCTGGCTAACACGATAAAACCCCATCGCTACTAAAAATACAAAAAATTAGCCGGGCACAGTGGTGGGCGCCTGTAGTCCCAGCTACTCAGGAGACTGAGGCAGGACAATGGCGCGAACCTGGGAGGTTCACACTCATTCTCATCTTCTAGAGTTGTAAAGATTCAGTGCAGCAATGCATAGAGGACTTTTTAGGACACCACTGGTTTTTTTTGGGTTCTCCCCACTCTATATTTTAATCTGTGCAACTCACAGCTCTGTTCTCCATTTGTCAGAGACTTTGATGTTTGCTTTTCCAGCTCTAGGAGCTGTGCATTCACAAAGAAAGGGTGGCAGGGATTGCTGTTCCACTGAAACCCCTGCAGAGAGGCAACCACCCCTCTCATCACACACAGCATTCAAACTAGAAAAAATGGCTACAATTTCATTTCCATGAGTCTGACACTCAGGACTGGCCTGAGTGTCATATTAATAATTTGTGGGGTCCAGTGCAAAATGAAAATGTGGAGCTTCTTATTTCAAACCTATTAAGAATTTCAAGACAGGAACAGCAGAGCATTAAACAAGGTATGGGACCCTTTTGAGCTCATGCACAGGTTGTACACTCTAAAGCCAGTCCTGCTGATAGACTTTAAGCACTCTCCTTCCCATATTCCTTTAGGGTGGAGGTATATACAATGGAGACTCCATTGCTATAACTTATCCACCTATGTAGTCAGCCCTTTGCTACTTCTGTCCCAAATGCCTGACCATAAGTGTTCCTCCTTCCTTTGATCTTTGCATTAAACTTACTTTGCACTCTGAAATCCAACTACCTAGACTCACGTTTGGATTCCACCCCTTACCAGCCTGTATGACATGGGCATAGTACCTAACTTCTCTTTACCTTTATTTTACTAAATAGAGGTAAAAATCCTGAAAATTGAGGATAATGATAATAGCAACCTTATAGACCTGTGGGATGAACAAGCTAAAAATTTAAAGTTTATGAATAGCATCTAATGCAGTGGTTCTCAACCATGGCTGCACATTCAAACCTCTTGCAGAGCTGTTTAAAACTTCCATATTGCTGGGTCCCCACTCACAACCAATTGAATCAGAGTCTTTATGGGGCCAGGATATTGGTAGTTTTAAAAAGCTCCCCAGGAGATTTGAGTGATCAAGAGAGTGGAGGACAACTAGTCTTGTGCATGGCAAGTATTCAATACAGTGTTGGCTAGTTAATACACAGCATAGCTAAACAAAGAAGTAAAATGTTCTGCATTTCGGTTCTTCCCTTGGATCTACTCTGCATCTGGCTTCTTTCTCCCATTCCCATCAGCTTTTATCCAACATGTACCTGAAAGCAATATAAATCAAAACTGAAGATGTCTTAAGGTGCTCCCACTGAGACGAAGGTGCCTTTGAATTCAGGTCTCCCCATTAACCTAGAGATGAGAGGGGGAAATGTCAACTTCTCCAACAGGGGTCTTTCTTTTGATATCAAGGTGGGCTATACTCCAAAAGCTTGGCACACTGAGGGCTTTAGGGGACAAGGAGGACTTCAGTCAAGTCACCAGAGATCCTTAAATAATGCAAAGCAGAGGAGCAAGGCAGTGATGAGAATGTTAATTTCTTGAGCTCATATTTCTCTCCCATCGGTGCGCATAATCATCTTTTGAAAATGTCCTTTTGTCATATTTATGATGGTGACACATCCATTATGAATACAGTAGCTCATTTGCAACATGACCTGACAAATATTGAATGTTCTAGGCTACATTTAATTCCATGATAACTAAAATCATTTGTGTTTCTTAATAACCAGAAAGGGTTCACATTATATAAAGCATAAAATAGGAAGAACTTATGATTTGGCCTTCACAATCAATCCAACAAAAGGACGTGGCCTGGGGTTGAGATAGGAGCTGTAGGAGTGGAGCCAATTTGGCCTCAAGATAAAGAGGATTTCAATTTCAGGCTGAGGTTCAGGGACACATTTTTGGAGGGAAGCTGGATGAACTAGTGACAAATGGTTTTCTAAGTAAAAGTCAATGACCATCTCCTCCAGCTACGTCAAGGAATCGGTTTACAAACCCAAGGCCTTTGAAACTCAGACTATAAAATCTGACTTGGGGAGAATCTCAGAGGCCCAAATTCCAACATCCAGTTGTTGAATAATTGCTACATTTGCTGTGATTGTGGATCTAAGAGAAAGGAGGAAATCCTGCCTGAAAGCTGTTTATGTTCTAGTTGGATCCACAATTCCTAAACACCTGAGAAGGAAACTCCTAAGAGGTATTACAAAATCACATAGGTTTAGATGGCAAAAGAAGCATTATAGTCAGGACAATGTTTTCAATGAATTTTGCAATCATGGTGAGTCCTGAAGTTCGCTGTGTAGGTTAAAAGAAAGATTTCTTTTTGGAAGAACAGAAGAGAATGAACTGAACTAGTCTAAATCATAGCGCTTTTCTTTTTGTTAAGTAAGTTGTTAGGATTAAGTACTGTTTTCTAAAAGTTTTGTTTCATTTATATTTGCTTATGTATGTGCATCTTAGATTATGATGTAAAATGGAATTTCGCTATCATATTCAAGGTCCAAAAAGAATGAAATTCACCATTATTAGGGGACAGAGTCTCCTCAGGGCCCTTAGGGCAGAATTTACAAATTGGTGGTTCACAGGATACATACAGCCCATTAGCAGTGGGTCGATTGGGAATTTTATTGTTGTTGTTTTATGGTTCACAAAATGAGGTTCTGAAAAAATAAGACAAAATGGTCAGCAGTTAAAAGTCAGGAGGTTTCATATTTTAAAAGCACAGATTTTGGCTGGGCACGATGGCTCATGCCTGTAATTCCAGCACTCTGGGAGGCCGAGTTGGGTGGATCATCTGAGGTCAGGAGTCCGAGACCAGCCTGACCAACAAGGTGAAACCCCGTCTCCACTAAAAACACAAAAATTAGCTGGGTGTGCTGGCAGGAGCCTGTAGTCCCAGCTACTCGGGAGGCTGAGACAGGAGAATTGCTTGAACCTGGGAGGCAGAGGTTGCAGTGAGCCGAGAGTATGCCCCTGCACTCCAGCCTGGGCAAAAGAGTGAGGCTCCATCTCAAAAATAAAAAATAAACATAAAAAATACAGATTTCTAGCTTTTCTTCAAATACCAGAACATTTGGGAATAATGAGTCTGTTTACCCACAGACCAGGAGAGCCCAGACAAACTTTCTTCTGAAAAAGGAAAAAGTCTGATGGGTAAGTCACATGGATCTATTCCCACATTATTCTTTATCCCTGGATCTTTTGGCTTGACAATGATTGGGACCTGGTAGGTGCTCTTGCCCCAGCCTACATTTTTGACCTTGTTGCTCACCCACCTTCTGTTCCAGTCAAACTAGAGAGCTAAACTATGCAAGAATAGTTCTGGCAATCCTCTAAATGCGTAGCACTCTCTCTTCACCTCAGACCCTCTGCTGGTTGAAACCTTTGCCAAAGCCCAGGCCAAACTTACAGACCTTCCAAAAAGCTTTTCTGAATCTTGCATCTCCTGATAGTTTCCATTCCTGAATCCCCTATTCTCTACTGCCCTTGCAGTACTCTATAATTCTATACTCTATTATTCTCTAAAATATGTCATTCTTATTTTCCATCATCTGTCTCCTTGAGTAGGTCATGAGCTCCCTGAATGCAGGAACCATGTCACATTTGTCTCTACTTTACCATCCCATTGTCTAGGCCAGTGAATTGTGTATAGCAGATACTCAATAATTGCTTGAAGAATTGCATTACAAAAGATTTCAATATAAGCTTATTTATTAAAGCATTGTTTGAAATAGAAAAAAAAGGAAAACAATCCAACTGTCCATCAGTTGAGTTTGAATAAATCAATCGCAGCACCTCCATACAATGAAATACTCTGAGACTAGTAAAAATGATTTAGATCTATATTTGGTGATGTATTATAGAAAGATGCTTAGAGCATATTACTAAGTAAGAAAGCAATTTCCAGAACCACAAAGACAGCATTATCTGAAAAAAATTTTTGAATAGACACTTTTATGTATAAAGAAAATCTAAAAATATATTTATTCATTCACCTCACAGATATTTCCTGAATTCCTACTATGAGTCAGAAATTATGCTAAAAGCTGCACATATAGGATTTAAATAAGCAAAATCTCTATGAGCATGGAGTTAACAGTCCAGTATGGGAGGTGAAGAAAAATTATATGTAAGACAATAATGAGTGCAACAAAGAAAAATAAAGCAGAAAAATTGGATAAAGAGTGACAAAACTAACGTGGAGAAAATTTGTATATTAAATAAAGTAGTCAGAAAACAACTCTTCAATTAGAGATTATTTTTCCCAGAAACGTGAATGAAGTGAGAAAATAAGCCACATCGTTATCTGGAGGAAGAGGATTCCAGGCAGAGAGAACTCCCCGTGGAGAAGTCCTGAGGTATAATTGTACTGGCTGTGATGAGAGACACCAAGTAGAAGGAAATGCAATATGAGATGAGATCAGAAAATTAGTGTGACATCACATTATGTAATGCCCTATAGGGGACTTTGAGTCTTATTCTGAATTGAGAGAGAGGCTGGGCAGGCATTAGAAGAATAATAAAGAGTTTGGTAATAGACTTGGTAAGTTCAAGTGATCTATTAGACCTCCAAATGGGAGGTAGATAGTTTGATACTTTATCTACCATTCAGGAGGCATGTGTAAGCTGTATTATACATTTGGGATAACATATACAATGGCATTTAAATCCATCTTCTAGGTTGGCAAGACTACTTTGAAAATAAATGCAGAAAGCAAAGGGGTCTGTAAACAAAAACTAAAATTCTAAGCCCTCCCAACTATCCGAATGGACCCCTCCTCTCAGCCAACGGCATTTCAAAGTTAACCTGAAAAACTACTTCAAGCCATAATGGGAAGTGGTGGAGGAGAAGGTGGTCAGACATGCTTCATTACCATTAACATCAAAACAAACCTAAAGACTGATAGAATAGACTCTTTAAGTCTGATAAGAAACATTTACAATCTATTCTCTCTAAAGCCTGCTATCTGGAGGCTTCATCTGCATAATTAAATCTTGGTCTCCACAACTCCTTATCATAACCCAGACATTCCTTTCTTTGGATAATAACTCTTTCAACCAATTACCAATCAGAAAATCTTTAAATCTACCTATGGTCCAGAAGTCCCCGCTTCGAGTTGTCCCACCTTTCTGGACCAAACCAGTGTACATCTTACATGTATTAATTGATGTCTCGTGTCTTCCTAAAATGTATAAAATCAAAGCTGAACCCCGACTACCTTGAGCACATGTCATCAGGACCTCCTGAGCCTCTGTCATGAGCAGCGTGTCCTTAACCTTGGCAAAGCAAACTTTCAAAATTGATTGAGACCTGTCTCAGATACTTTTTTGTTCACAGGTTTGAGGACTGAGGTTTCATGGCATTCCATCATTTACAGGTCTGGAAGATTAAAGAAGCTGAAGAAACATTACTTAAAAGGAGGAGTCTGAGAAATGAGGAAAAAGGACAGAGCTAAGTTAAAGGAACTTAATGAAGAAAGTACAGTAGTAATGAATGGATGCTTACAAGCTTAACGATGGTAGCAATAGCTTTTGTTGGTGAACATCTCTGTGACAAACCCCACAGAGCCCAGATGAGGATGTCAATAGTGCTATAAGGCTATCCAGTTGATGAAATGAGTAGCAGATATTTCCTCCCTTCGCTAGTTTTCCTAACCTTCGGGTATCAACATCTCCAGTAGTTCAACCGCAGACATTCCTTTTGTCAGGTAACTAAAGAAACTATACAGTCGTTGTGTTTTTTAACAGAATTCAGTAGAAGAGAGTATGCTAGTAGGTGGTGCCAGATAATTATACAAATCATTTACACCTGACATTTGCATGTTACAACACTATTATGCAGAGTGCCATTCTAGATTTTAATCTTATTGTGTTCTTATATGAGCCTAGTGAGTTAGGTTATGCAGATGTTGTTACAATTATTATTATGGTAGAATTGCATCTTATTTGGCAGTGGGGTTCTAAAGTACATAAAGAGAAAATTGTATATAGTCAAAATTACCTCTGAGAATTTTTTCTTTAAAAAACTCCAACACACTCAGTTTTCCTGCAAGTATTAGGATTCGTTGCTGTTTCTTCCACTCATGCCTGGTAAAGTGGATGGCTTCTCTATGGGCTCATGCTGTTCAAGAAAATAGAGACATGTTCAGTATAGCAAGATGCATGCTATTTCTTCATTTCTTTCCCTCCCGTTCTTCTTTCTTACCTCTTTTCATAAATATTTATGACCTCTCTTACATATAAGGCATTATCATAGGTGTTGTATATACAGTCATGAAACAGAGAGACTATATTCTTGGCCTCGGCAGGCTTACAGTCTAGCATACACTGTGAGAAGCACATGTAATGCGGGAACAATAGTCCAGATTTTTGGCACACATGCTATTGCCATTTATGGCTAGCAGAACTCTTGCACTAATTAAATTACTTCTTTTCCTCTAACAGAGTGTTTATATTTGAATTTGCCTAAGATAAACTCCCATCAGATGCAATTCTGTATTACCATAATACAAATAAAGGAATAGGCTTAGAGAGAAAGGGTGACTTCCCAAGAGTCATTCTATCATAGCAGAATTGGACTTTAAGTCCAGGTTTAAAAAATTTTACATCCCATGTTCTCCTTCCTCTGTTCTCCTAGACCCCTCTTCTCTCCTCTGACATGGTTACTCTTTTGGGCTGAGTCAGCACCTCCCTTTGTCCCTCCTAAATGGGACAGCATGGCCTTGCTCTTGTCTTTTGTTTGCCTTTTGCTCGCCTTTTGCTCTTGACCGTTCTGTCCCCAGATACAAATTTCTGTTTCTATCCTCATCTTAGCCTCACCTGAAGAAAATGTGGCTATAAACGTCTCCATTGCTTAGTCTTTTGCTATTGGTATCCTTGACGCTTGGTCGGAACTAGCCCAGGCATAGCTATTGAATAGAAAATACTTGATTTCACTTTACTGACATCTCAAC
The DNA here is from genome assembly GCF_000001405.40 of Homo sapiens. Classification (NCBI taxonomy): domain Eukaryota; kingdom Metazoa; phylum Chordata; class Mammalia; order Primates; family Hominidae; genus Homo; species Homo sapiens. Next base: position 67,843,400 of record NC_000003.12, on the reverse strand, counting down.
TTTCCAACTTCCCTGGAGATTCCATTATATTCCTACAACCCAGGTAGGGAATTGTCATTTTTACTGAGGATAAACCTATTTAGGTGAATGTCCCTCTGCAGAATCATTTATCTTCCATTCCAATTTATACTGTAGACATGGCTCTTATCCAAAACATGGTGATTTATTAGGGTTTCTATTTAGGACTGTGTTTAAAGACACTATGCCCTACATTGTGAGATTGTTAAAGTAAGAAATTCCCATAAAATTAAATTTCAAGCAGAACAAATTGTGTGGGGAAGGAGAGACGGGATTGTCTGAAGTACATGAATTCTTACTGGTGAGACTGTGAAACCCTTTGTATCATGTCAGGTTGAACTCACCTATTACTTGGTAAAAGTAGAAAGTTAAAGCAACGTAACTTCATTTAGGTAAATAGATGTGCTATATTTTGAAGCTGCTCTAAATGTTTTTGAATAGTTGCCACTGTAATTTTATGATATAATGACTTGGTTTAATGTCACGGTCATTTAATGAAGTTTTTACATTCATCTGAGGTAAGCTATGAGAAGGAACAAGTGATTACTTGCAAACAGAGACCTTTTACAAATTGGTTTTCAAAAATAAGGGGAAGAAAATGGTGAAGTCTCCAGATCCTTTTCTTCACTAAAGAGCCATTGGCATGCAGTCACCTTTCTGGGCCTCGGTTTCTGTCAGGGTAAGAAATGTTAGCTGCTATAAGGAGCAACCTTGAAATCTCAGTGATTATTTGCTCACTCACTCCAGTATAAGGAGTTTGTGTGGGAGGTGAGTTCTGGCCCTTACAAATTATGGCTCCACCATTTTCAGCAAATAGTCCCAAATTAATACCATTTGAAAGTTTTGCTGGGTGCAGTGGCTCACGCCTGTAATCCTAGCACTTTGGGAGGCGGAGGTGGGTAGGTCACGAGGTCAGGAGATCGAGACCATCCTGGCTAACAAGGTAAAACCCCATCTCTACTAAAAATACAAAAAATTAGCCGGGCGTGGTGGCAGGCACCTGTAGTCCCAGCTACTCGGGAGGCTGAGGCAGGAGAATGGCGTGAACCCAGGAGGTGGAGGTTGCAGTGAGCCGAGACTGTGCCACTGCACTCCGGCCTGGGCGACACAGTGAGACTCTGTCTCAAAAAAAAAAAAAAAAAAAGAAAGAAAGTTTTTTCATGGTTACCATTATTGCCCTTATGAGAAAACCATTTTCAACAGTCAACTCACTCTTTCCAGGATATTTTCTCTTACCTTTTTCCCACACTGCAGACTGGCTACAACTTTAACTTGGATAATCATGAAAGAGTTGGCTATCTCTTTGATACCAAATTATTACATTGGAAATAAATGCTTACATTGTTATCTACCTCTAATTATGTAACATTTTAGGCTTCTTCATTACTCAAGTATACGAAATAACAAATTTAACAACTCTTTAGTTAATTGATTCTGGATGTGTTTTTCACAAAACTTCAGCCTTAAGAGAAAAGATATCTGGTTGATTCAGAAAAAAAAAATTTTTTTTCCAAAAAGTATTTTCTCAAAATAATTTCTTAATGGAATTTAATGGTGTTTAATATTCAAGTTCTTCTCTTTTTTCTTTCTTCTCTGAGGAAAAGAAACTAAAATACCAAGTAGATTTCAGATCACAAAAAAGAGGAAACTGGCAGGAGGCTTAACTCTTGGTGTCTTGGATTTTTTTTCCTACTACCAAACAGTCCATATTTTTTTCTTTCATTGTATTTATTTAACTCCTTCTTCATATCTACATATGACTTTTTTACACTGCTAATTTTTCATTATTTGCAGTATTTACTATCTAAGGTTTGTGGTGGCTGGTTTTGCATTGTTTTTAGTTTAAAAGTTTGTTGTTGTTTTTGGCTAGCTATATGAGGTATATTCCTGCACTTCTCTACTTCTTGACCATTGTGTAATACTGTCTAATTATTCAAACCAAGGTGATTTGAATAATTAAAACTTGATCCCACGTTTGAGAACCTCACACATAGTCTTGGCCCCACAGAAATCATCTATATGTGGAATTTCATGAGGGTGGGATTTAAAACATGTCTTATAGGACAGAAGGGAATATGAAGAGGAAGCCTTATGACGCTGAATGGGATAATAAGTTTAGAGGTAGACTGTGCAAAATACAAGGTCTATTTTTGCAGAGTTAGAGAGCAATTTGGGGAAATGGGTGAGACCCAGATAGGGATGCCTCATATAAACACCTAGAATATTTAGACTCTAGAGAAGGTTTCTTCAAAGTGTATTTCAGAAAGCACAATTTCCTTACTGCTCCATAAAAAGAGGAAATCATGTATTTAAGATATGCTTCATATGACTTTTACCTCTATTATTAATGTTGAACTTTGGTTTAATGCTTACTCTTGCCCTAAACCATGGCTAAGTTTGTTACTTGCATTATCATTTGTTGTTTTTTGGTAGGTAGATACTATCATCACCAACATCATTATCATTGTATTTATTATTTATTGTTGTGTAACAAATTACCCTAAAAACTGGCTTAAAACAACTTTGAACATTTATTCTCTCACCTTTTCTATGGGCCAAGAGTTTGGTAGCATCTTGACTGGGAGTTCAGGCTCAACATGTCTCAGTTAGTTGCAGTCAAGTCATCAGCCTTAGCTGAAGTACTCTGAGAGCTTGATTATGTCCTCAGGGTGCACTTCCCAGTTGGCTTGCTCACATGGCTGCCATGTTGGTGCTGGTTATTAGTTGAAGGCTTTTTCTCTACGTAGGCATTCTAATGGGCTCTTTGAGGATCCTCATGACATGGCAGTTGGCTTCCTCCAGAACAAGTTATCCAAGAGAGAGCAAGGAAGAGATACAGTGTCTTTCATGACTCAGCTTTGAATACAACTCTGCAACATCCTATGGGCTATAAAAGTCGGTCCTTTCTCATGGGGGAAGAGACTACCAAGTGTGTGAACACAGTGTGAGAGGATAATTGCAGGCCATTTCAGAGGTCATAATCATTATCTTATTTTGCAGATCAGGGAACTAAAATCAGAGAGACGAAGTCATTTGACAAAGAACATAGAACATTGGGAAAGGTCACTTAAACCCAGACACTCTGATTTAGAGAAAGCAAGTTTTGAAACTATTCTATATTTATCTCCAATAGATGATTTCTTTATTACTGTCACATGGATATTAACATAATAGTCAGATAAATCTTTCTGTAATGAAAGTGCTTTCCAAACTCACGAGTTTGTCTTTTCTTTTTCTTTCCTTTTTTCTCCCTCCCTTCTTTTTCTTCCTCCTTCTTTTCTTCCTTTCTTTTTCTTTCTTCCTTTTTCTTTCATTTACATAGAATATTAACAGCTTGGAGAACATGTTTTGGGAAATATCACTGTAGGAAATAGGGATAATCAGAAGATTTTAAATAAGACAAAGAAATGAAGAGAATGGTATTGGGGTAGATTAATTTGATAAGTGTGGGGCACAGATTGGTGGGAGAAGGAATCAGAGGCATGCAATTGTGTTTTTTTAAGAAAACAGAAACCAAACAAACATACACAAAAAGGTAAACAAAAAGCAAGGGACTATTGCACATGTGACTTGGAAAAAAAAATCAAAAGAAAGAGTGAAATAATGCAGGGTGGTGAAAGGGGGAGAGCAGTCTACAAACTACATAAAGCAGAAGAGTAGAGTGGTTAAAGGCAAAGCATTGAGTCAAATATGTCAGACTTTTTTCTTGGCTCTGCCCTATAAGCTAGGGGATATAGGAAAAGTCAATTCAAACCCATCTGACCCCAGACTTATTCACCTGAATAGGCAGGCAAAATTATGGTACCTCCTGTTGTTGGGAGAATTAAAAATCACATGGTAAATGTTCATAAAAGACCTTTATCACTATTTTTCATATTGAACTATAATTACCTGAAGAAATACAAAATTAAAAGTGAATTTTTATTGTAAATAGGATATTAATTTTTTTAAACATTTTTCAAAACCTCAGAACCCTGTCCTTGAAGGTCTTGTAAGTGATTAATGTATCATGATAAATATGACATTGTTCTAGTTGAAGGAAGGAGCCCAACGTCTTGCTCCCATTCCTTTTCTATCCTGAAGTGTTAGTCAAAGAAACTGTATAGAATGCCAGGAAATTTGCAAGGTGCTTTTTGAAAATCATCAGATTAAAACCAAACCACCAGTGCCAATTTTTGAGGTGAACTATGAGAAGATCATGGTACAAGTAGAAGAGATGTTTCCCCATAGACTCATATAAATAGAGACAAATGAATATATCCTAACACAAAGCATTTGCAACCCCAAAAAGCTTAATTCTAGAGCCACGGAGGAGAAAAAGTGAATAAGCAATAAGCCTGACTACTGAGGTCAGAATTTAGTTTCCGTTATTACTAATGAACATAGATTTGCATAAATATTTATCATAACTTTGCAGGGCAGGTGCTGGATCTTATTTACTGCCATATCCTCACTGTCTTGCTCAATACATACCATTTAATGATGCTTGATAAATATCAGTGGAATGAATGAATGATGGAGTCAACGGATAAAGGAATGAATGTTTGCATGAAAGGGTTAGGTAGAAATGAGAATAAATGGATGTGAGAAATAAACACTTAAAAAGAAAAATAAATAAACACTTAAAAAGAATAATAAATACAATTTCACTGCAAACCGATGCACTGAATGAAGGAAAGAAATTTCCAGACTTACAAGAAACAAGACAGCTGAACTTTATGATTCTCTTTTGGCTTAAAAAGCCCACACTTCTAATGTTTTGTGAGTTACAATGTTCTCTACATCTTTAAGCTTCATTTCAAGACTGCTTCAATAATACTGCATTTCATAGAAATTTGGAATTGAGGAGGAAAAGCCCATTTGATAGAGAAGATAAAAGAATGCACATCTATTATATATCAATTACAAAATTGAAAAAGTTTTTAAAAAAGAATTTGAGGCCTCTGTTAGGGTTCTCTAGAGGGACAGAACTAAGATCTATATATAGATATATATAAAAAGGGGAGTTTATTACGTATTAACTTCCATAATCACAAGGTCTCACAATAGGCTGTCTGCAAGCTGAGGAGCAAGGAGGGCCAGTCTGAGTTCCAAAACAGAAGAACCTGGGGTTCGATATTCGAGGGCAGGAAGCATCCAGCACGGGAGAAAGATGTAGGCTGGGAGGCTAGGCCAGTCTCTCTTCTTCACGTTTTTCTGCCTGCTTTACATTTGCTGGAAGCTGATTAGTTTGTGCCCACTAGATTAAGGGTGGATCTGCCTTCCCCAGCCCACTGACTCAAATGTTAATCTCTTTTGGCAATACCCACACAGACACACCCAGGATTAGTACTTTGTATCCTTCAATCCAATCAATTTGACACTCAGTATTAACCACCACAAGTCCACTCCGTGTCAACTTGAACCCATAAACATCTCCTGAGATCATAAATAATCTTCAAATAAAGACAATAATAAGGTCATAATTAGGCCTAGCATAATACAACTATCCTTCAAACAACCGGAAATGCAACAATCCCCAACACAAATACTGTTACTTAAAGTTAACAATATTTAAACGCTTATATGAAGTCAGTACATCTTATGTCACATGATAAAGGAAAAGGAAATAAAATAAAGATATTTTCTTAGTACAAGTGTATACATGCACAAACATGTTTTTCACAAAAGAAGGAGGAAATACTCATGACAATTACAGTCTTCGTTTCTGCAGCTGGTCACGTGGTCGTAGCTGGTATTGACGACTACCTTCTTCTACTTCCCATTCTGTATTCCCTTTGCCTTCAGCAAGCATCTCAGCAGGTCATGGTTTGTTGCTTTTTTTTTTTTCCTGGTGGAGTGACCCAAACCTTCATTCCTGAGGAATCTGGGCCATTTGTAGTCCTGCCTGGATTGGGCTGTTGTAGTTTCCAATTGACCTTAATCACAGGGCATGGGAATAATAAGAGATGCCCTAATGTATCTCCTGTATTCCATGCATACTCTTCCTTACCTCCATTGTGGAGTAGACTGATTTCATCTTGATAGTCCAGGTCAATCACCCCAGCCAACACTGTAACTCCCTTCTTAGCCTGTTGACTTAAAGGCAGAAGGAGCCCAAAGTGTCCAGGTGGCAACCTTAACTTCCAGTTTAATGGAATTGTTGTTGTGTCTCCTGGTCGCAGCATTCCTCCCTCTGGAACTAAGACCTCTAGGCCGGCAGAACGTAGTATCTTGGGAACAGGAAGCAAAACTTTTGCTAGTGGATCACTAGGGGTGATGGTGAGTGGTGCCACTCCCACTTCTACCCCTTGATTCCTGGACCTGCAAATCCTGGCTATGAGAGAAAAAGTAACATATATTGAACACTGATTCAGAGCATACACGGCCTTCTGGAGAACTCTGCCCTATCCTTGCAAAGTATTGTCACCTAGTTGGCGTTGTAATTGTGACTTCAAAAGGCCATTCCACAGTTCTATTAATCCAGCTGCTTTAGGATGTTGGGGAACATGGTAAGACCAGTGAATTCCATGAGCATAAGCCCACTGCCGCACTTCGTTAGCCATAAAGTGAGTGCTTTGGTCAGAGGCAATGCTGTATGGAATACCATGCTGGTGAATAAGGCATTCTGTGAGTCCACAGATGGTAGTCTTGGCAGAAGCATTGTGTGTAGGATAGGCAAACCCATATTGGAGTAAGAGCCTATTCCAGTGAGGACAAACCTCTGCCCTTTCCGTGATGAAAGAGGTCCAATTTAATGAACGTGCCACCAGACAGCTGTCTGATCATCCCAAGGAATGGTGCCATATCAAAGGCTCTGTGTTGGTCTCTGCTGCTGGCAAATTGGGCACTCAGCAGTAGCTGTAGCCAGGTCAGCCTTGGTGAGTGGAAGTCCATGTTGCTGAGCCCATGAGTAACCTCCATCCCTGCCAACATGGTCACTTTGTTCATGGACCCATTGGGTGATGACAAGGGTGGCTGGTGAAAGAGGCTGAGTGGTGTCCACAGAACAGGTCATTCTATACACTTGATTATTAAACTCCTCCTCTGCTAAGGTCACCCATTGCTGAGCACTCACACGTGATACAAATATCTTCATAGTTTTTGACCACTCAGAGAGGTCAATCCACATACCTCTTCGCCAAATTTCTTTGTCACCAGTTTTCCAATCAAGCTTCTTCCAGGTCCCTGACCATCCAGCCAAATCATTGGCTACGGCCCATGAATCAGTATATAATCGCACATCTGGCCATTTCTTCTTCCATGCAAAGTGCACAACACGGTGCACTTCTCGAAGTTCTGCCCATTGGGAAGATTTGCCTTCACTGCTGTCCTTCAGGGATGTCCTAGAAAGGGACTGTAGTGCTGCAGCTGTCCACTTTCTGGTGCTGCCTGCATATCGTGCAGAACAATCTGTAAACCAGGCCCTAGTCTTCTCTTCCTCTATCAACCAATCATAGGGAACTCTCCATGAGGCTATCATTAGTGCAGGCTGGGGTTGAGAAGACAGGGTGACAGGAGTGGAGACCATGGGCATTTGAGCCACTTCCTCACGTAACTTACTTGTGCCTTCAGGACCTGCCTGAGCCCGATCACATATACAGCACTTCCATCTGATGATACAATGCTGCTGCTGTGCCATGACCCACTTTATGGCTGGATGGGTCAGAAAGCACCCAGTTCATGATAGGCAGTTCAAGTCACATGGTGACTTGATGACCCTTGGTCAAATGTTCAATTTCCAGCAAAGCCCCATAACAGACCAAGAACCGTCTCTCGAAAGGAGAGTAGTTATCTGCAGAAGATGGCAGGGCCTTGCTCGAAAATCCTAGAGGCCTCCACTGTGATTCACCTATTGGGCCTGCCAAAGGCTCCAAACAGCATCCCTATCTGCCACTGACACCTCAAGCACCATTGGATCTGCTGCGTCATATGGCCCAAATGGCAGAGCAGCTTACACAGCAGCCTGGACCTGTTGCAGAGCCTCTCCTGTTCTGGACTTCACTTAAAACTGGCAGCCTTTCAGGTCACTTGGTAAATGGGCTGGAGTAACAAACCCAAGTGAGGAATGTGTTGCCTCCAAAATCCAAATAGGCCCACTAGGCATTGTGCCTCTTTCTTGGTTGTAGGAGGGTCCAAAGGTGGCAACTTATCCTTCACCTTAGAAGGAGTATCTTGACAGGCCCCACACCACTGGACCCCTAGAAATTTCACTGAGGTAGGAGTTCCCTGAATTTTAGTCAGATTTATTCCCCATCCTCTGGCATGCAAATGTCTCACCAATAAGTCCGGTGTGTTTGCAAGACTGCTCACTGGATCCAATCAGCATAATGTCATCAATGTAATGGACCAGTGTGATATCTTGTGGAGGCGAAAAATGATCAAGGTATTTCTGAATAAGATTGTGACAAAAAGCTGGAGAGTTGAGATAGCCCTGAGGTAGGACAGTAAAGGTATATTGCTGGCCTTGCCAGCTGAAGACAAATTGCTTCTGGTGTGCCTTATGGAGAGAAATGGAGAAAAAGGCATTTGCCAAGTCAATGGCTGCATACCAGGTACCAGGAGATGTGTTAATTTGCTCAAGCAATAAAATCACTTCTGGTACAGCAGCTGCAATTGGAGTCACCACTTGGTTAAGCTTATGATAATCCACTGTCATTCCCCAAGATCCATCTGTCTTCTGCACAGACCAAATGGGAGAGATGAATGGAAATGTGGTGGGAATTGCCACCCCTGAGTCTTTCAAGTCCTTGATGGTGGCAGTAATCGCCACAATCCCTTCAGGGTTGCAATGTTGTTTTTGATTTACTATTTTTCTAGGTAGATGCAGCTCTAATGGCTTCCATTTGGCCTTTCCCATCATACTAGCCCTCACCCCGTGCAATTTTATTCAGTAAAGAAAATGATTAAAGGTCTTAGGGTCAAAGCGATCTCAACCTATTCTCAAATTTTAAATGCGTAAGAAGCCTGGTTCACTGGCATGGAGCTGGGCATGCAAAAACCCCACTTCTGGTACCAAAATCTATATTAGTCAGGCTTCTCTAGAGGGACAGATCTAATATGATATATATAAAGGGGAGTTTATTAAGTATTAACTTACACAATCACAAGGTCCCACAATAGGCTGTCTGCAAGCTGAGGAGCAAGGAGAGCAAGTCTGAGTTCCAAAACTGTAGAACTTGGAGTCTGATGTTTAGGGCAGGAAGCATCAAGCATGGGAGAAAGATGTAGGCTGGGAGGCTAGACCAGTCTCTCCTCTTCACGTTTTTCTGCCCGCTTTAAATTCACTGGAAACTGATTAGATTGTGCCCACCAGATTAACGGTGGGTCTGCCTTCCCTAGCCCACTGACTCAAATGTTAATCTCTTTTGGCAACACCCACACAGACACACCCAGGATTAATATTTTGTATCCTTCAATCCAATCAAGTTGACACTCAGTATTAACCATCACAGGGCCTATGATATTTGAGGAATGGACATTAAGGAAGAACTATCTAGAAGACAACTGGGGTTATGGTAGAAGACAAAATAGGTAAAAATGAAATGCTAACTCCATATTTGCACTATGCCATGAGCGTGAGTCTTTAAGATGAATAATAGGAATGAACAGCACTGATTAATTGGGTGAATTGACAACACAGAGGTCAGTGAGTTGAAAGTCTAAAATCATAATGATAATGATAATCACTCACAATTACTAAGCATTTACAATGTCAAGTATATTGGTATTTTCTTTTCATGTATTATTATATTTAATTCTTCTGGCACTTCTGTGATAAAGATCAGGGATTTGCAAACTTCTTTTGTAAGAACCAGTTAGCAAATAATTTAGGCTTTGTGGGTCCTATCATCCCTGTTACAACTATAGCCATGCACCACACAATGACATTTAGGTCAACGACAGACCACAATGGTGGTCTCAGATATTATAATGGAGCTGAAAAATTGATATCACCTGGAAAATTTCTATTCCTTAGTGACAACTTCCAGTCCTGCAAGCTCCACTCATGGTAAGTGCTCTATACAAATATACCATTTGTTATCCTTTATACCATATTTCTACTGTACCTTTCCTATGTTGAGATACACAAATACTTCCCATTGTGTTACAATTGCCTAAAGTATTCAGGACAGTAACATGTTGTACAGGTTTGTAGCCTAGGAGCAATAAGTGATACCATCTAGCCTAGGTGTGTAGTAGACTATCCCATCTAAGTTTACATAAGTACACTCTATGATGTTCAAACAATAATGAAATTGCCTAACAATGCATTTCTCAGAAGGTATCCCCCATTAAGTGATAGATGACTGTACTTAATTCTGCAGTTGTAGGAGGAAGCAGTCATGTATAAGACACAAATAAATGGGTGTGGTTACATTCCAACAGTGTTTATTACACAAACAGGCAGCAAGCCAGATTTGCCAACCCTGGATGTAGATCATCATTCCCACTCAGTGTCTTTTGGTCTACAGAGCCAAGATTCCAACTCAAGTCTTTCTATGCCAGAACCCACTCTCCTTACAACTTCATTATATTGCTTGCAACGAAGTTTCAGAAAGGTAACTTCAACAGAGGACTGTAAGCCGAATTACAAAGGAAAAACTGATTTCTAGAGACATGAAGTCTAGATGGTAAAAATATAAACGGGATTCACTGACATCTAAAACTAGGGAGGTGTATTAGTCCATTTTCACGCTGCTGATAAAGACATACCTGAGACTGGGCAATTTACAAAAGAAAGAGGTTTAATGGACTTACAGTTCCACGTGGCTGGGGAGGTCTCAAATCATGGCAGAAGGCAAGGAGGAGCATGTCACATCTCAAATGGATGGCAGCAGGCAAAGAGAGAGTTTGTGCAGGGAAACTCCAATTCTTAAAACCAACAGATCTCGTGAGACTCACTATCAAAGGAACAGCTCAGGGAAGACCCACCCCGATAATTCAATCACCTCCCACTGGGTTCCTCCCAAGACATGTGGGAATTGTGGGAGTTATAATTCAAGATGAGATATGGGTAAGGACAGAGCTAAACCACATCATTCCTCCCCTGACCCCTCCGAAATCTCATGTCTTCACATTTCAAAACCAATCATATTTTCCCAACAGCCCCCCAAAGTCTTAACTCATTTCAGCATTAACTCAAAAATCCACAGTCCAACATCTCATCTGAGACAAGGCAAGTCCCTTCTGCCTATGAGCCTGTAAAAGCAAAAGCAAGTGATTTACATCCTAGATACAATGGGGGTACAGGTATTGGGTAAATACAGCTGTTCCAAATGGGATAAATTGGCCAAAACTAAGGGGCTATGGGACTCATGCAAGTCTGAAATCCAGCAGGGCAGTCAAATCTTAAAGCTCCAAAATGATCTCCTTTGAATCCATGTCTTGCATGTGGGTCACACTGATGCAAGAGGTGGGTTCCCATGGTCTTGGTCAGCTCCGCCCCTGTGGCTTTGCAGGGTACAGCCTCCCTCCTGGCTGCTTTCACAGGCTGGTGTTGAGTGCCTGTGGATTTTCCAGACACATGGAGCAAGCTGTTGGTGGATCTACCATTCTGGGTTCTGGAGGACAGTGCCCTCTTCTCATAGTTCTACTACACGGTGCCCCAGTATGGACTCTGTGTGGGGGCTCCAACCCCACATTTCCCTTCCACAGAGGTTCTCCATGACAGCTTCACCCCTGCAGCAAACTTCTGCCTGGGCATCCAGGCATTTCCATACATCCTCTGAAATCTAGGCAGAGGCTCCCAAACCTCAGTTCTTGACTTCTGTGTACCTGTAGGCTCAACGCCACTTGGAAGCTGCCAAGGCTTTGGGCTTGCACCTTCTGAAGCCACGGATCAAGCTGTACCTTGTCCCTTTTCAGCCATGGCTGGAGTTGCTGGGACACAGGGCACCCAGTCTCTAGACTGCACAGAGCAGAGGAGCCCTGGGTCTGGCCCACAAAACCATGTTCTTTTCCTAGGCCTCTGGGCTTGTGACGGGAGGGGCTGCCAGGAAGACCTCTGATGTGCCCTGGAGCCATTTTCCCCATTGTCTTGAGGATTAGCATTTAGCTCCTTGTTACTTATGCACATTTCTGCAGTCCTTGAATTTCTCCTCAGAAAATGGGATTTTCTTTTCTATCACATTGTCAGGCTGCAAATTTTCCAAACTCCTATGCTCTACTTCCCTTATAAAACTGAATGCCTTTAACAGCACCCAAGTCACATTTTGAATGCTATGCTGCTTAGAAATTTCTTCTGCCAGATACCCTAAATCATCTCTCTCAAGTTCAAATTTCCACACATCTCTAGGGCAGGGGCAAAATGCCACCAGTACCTTTGCTAAAACATAACAAGAGTCACCTTTGCTCCAGTTCCCAACAAATTTCTCATGTCCATCTGAAACCATCTCAGCCTGGACCTTATTGTTCATATGACTGTCAGCATTTTTATCAAACCCATTCAACAAGTCTCTAGGAAGTTCCGAACTTTCCCACATTTTCCTGTCTTCTTCTGAGCCCTCCAAACTGTTCCAACCTCTGCCTGTTACCAAGTTCCAAAGTCACTTTTACATTTTCGGGCATCTTTTCAGCAATGCCCCACTCTACTGGTACCAATTTACTGTATTAGTCCATTTTTTACACTGCTGATAAAGACATACCCAAGACTGGGCAATTTACAAAAGAAAGGGTTTTAACAGACTTACAGTTCCACATGGCTGGGGAGGCCTCACAATCATGGTGGAAGGTAAGTAGGAGCAAGTCACAGCTCACATAGATGTCAGCAGGCAAAAGAGAGCTTGTGTAGGGAAATTCCCGTTTCTAAAACCATCAGACCTTGTGAGGTTCATTCACTGTCATGAAAACAGCTCAGGAGAGACCTGCCCCCATAATTCAATCACCTCTCACTAGAGGAGCCAGCCAATCACCTCCCACTCGTGGGAATTGTGGGAGTTACAATTCAAGATGAGATTTGGGTGGGGACACACACAAACCATATCAGGAAGTAATAGTAGCAACAGATGAGAGAGAGTGGATAGAAGTTCACAGTAGATAGAATCTCCATGATTTTCTAACTAATTGGTGTGGTAGAACTAGGAATGCATATACAGTATGGTACTCTCAAGTAAGCAGAAGAGATAAACTCTATCAAATTCTGCTAAGAGGTTGAATGAAAGACTGAGAATTGAGCATTGAATTTTGCGACATGAAGGTCACTAGTGACCTAAATAAAAGCACTCTTGGAAGAATGATAGGGACCAAAAGTCAGAATAAATTAGAATCTCAAGAGAATAGGAAGGCAGAGCTGAAAGTGAGTTCATATAACCTTTTTAAAGCCTTTTTAAAATTAAGAAATATCAAACTAATTGAAAGGCGTTCTAGAAATCAACTGGTCTGTTCTCCGCAAAAATGTCAATGTCATGAAAGATAAAGAAAGGCTGAGGATTAAAAAAACCCTACAAGACATGGTGGCTACATTTTATACATGACTGATGATGGAACTCAGGATCATGGAAAATTATTATAAAGAACATTGTTGAAACAATTGATAAAATTTGAATATCAGCTGTATTTTAAATGAGAGTATTATATCAATGCTTAATTTCTCAAATTTGATAATCGAGTTGTGGTTATGTAATAGAATGACTTTGTTCTTAGGAGATACACCCTGAAGCACTTCAGAGTGAAGGATTATAATAGATGCAATTGTCACTCAAATGATTTAGGAAAAAATATGTATATGTGTGTGTGTATGTATATACATATTTTTCCAAATCCTTTATGTGTATATAAATATATATGATACGTATGTATGTATATATATAAAATAATAAAATAAATACATAAAAATGATGACATACATAAGTAAAAATAATAAATAGATATACAGGTAGAATATTGAATATATACATATGGAATCATTGAGGGGAATATGGGAGTTCTCTGTATTATTCTTATAACATTCCTATAACTATGAAATTATTTTATAATAAAACATTTTTGAAAATGTTGAGTAATTATTTCTGAGTATTGAAATGAGTTTTTTCTACTTCCTTATCTCTATTTTAATTTCTCTCAACAGCAAACAAGGATTAATTGTGCAGAAACATGAATATTTTTCAGTGATGAGAGAAAAATATATCAGTTAACTTTATCAACCACTCAAAAGAGAAGTGTTGTAGCAATTTGGGCAAATATTAATTTTATGAGAGATATTTGTTGTATTTTTTGTAATTATAGAAAAATATTTAGGACAGCTCTTTAACGGGGAGATTATATAGCACAGACGATATTTTGTGGGCCAATGTTCTTTATATCAATAAAGAAGGAGTTTATAAATTGGGACATTGCTTTAAGTATTTTCATATTTATTATAATGATAAAACACCAAGTGAACTGCTAATTTTGAATTTTCCTGAACTCAATTGGCACAACTTGCTTATGGGCTTAAATTTTTATCTCAATGTTCTATGTGTTGTTTTACCATCCACAGAGGAAAAGATTCCAAAAGTAATTAACTATACCCTTTGGTCTCCCTGAGAAATTCCTGTAGGGAATCTGTGAAAGAAAGGGCAGGATTAGGGTAATCATACAAAATCAGTTTAGTCAGATTCTCACCCTTGGGAAAATCTGGCTTAACACCCCTTGGCTAGCAGAACAAGTATGCCATTATCACAGTAACAGCTTTTTGGTAGAAACTCAAAAGCCACTTGTTGATTAATTGGTAGAAATGGGAGGAAAGTTTATATCAGAGACAACTTGATTTTGCAAGATCTAGCAAGGTTAGCATTAACTCTCACTGTCACAGAATGTGCAATATAAAGGCCACAGTGTTAGGAGATTGGGTAGATTGTTATAAAATGTCAATCCATCTAACAAGAAGGATAAGCCAATTTTATTGACCGTAAGTCTTAAAGTATTTTATTGACTTAACAGCCAAATAAGAAAGAAAAATGGAGAAGGAAAAAAATGAATCAGTAAAGAAAGTTGAATTACAATAATATCGCTGCTGAGATTTGTAATTCAATGGAAACAAGTCATTTAAATTCAGCCTTTAAAAATAATTATAGAGAATTTTTTTGGAATTATTACGAATATGGGATTTTGAAGGGGTTTAAAACTGTGTGTGTGTATATATATGTATGTATATGTGTGTGTATATATGCATATGTGTATATATGTGTGTGCATATATACATACACACACACACACACACACACATACATATATATACACACAAACATATATATATATATCAATCAATTAGTTTATGTAGTCTACTATGCTGCCAGAAGCTGAAATTGTATCTGTGTGTGTGTATATATGTATGTATATGTGTGTGTGTGTATATATATACTAAAACCAAATACAAATAAAAATAAACATCTATTTTAATGCATTGATAAACTGGCAAGAAGATAAGGATTGTCCAGAGGACTTAAGGAAGAACAAGAGCCCAACATGATAAACAAGGATCAAAGCTCACTTTTACCCTGAGGGCATCTTCTGAGCCCAAATGACTTTGGGCTTCATTTTTCATGGTCTCATGAGGAATGAAGACAAGAGAAAAATCTTTCAGGGTAGTAAATCTAATACGAGATTCTACACGTATACCTGGGGCTAAAAAATTTACACCCTCAGCAGACAAACTAGAAATAAAACTACACCTCCTAGGAGTAAAAAATAAAATTAGGTATCTATACCTTGTTATTGAGTGGAAGTCAGGAAAAAAAATCTAAAAATTACAAAGAAAAGACCATACAATATACTGAAAAACCAACTGAATTTCCATATGATAAGCAGTATAAATATGTAAGTTTTTTTAAAATAACATTTTAAATAGTACCAACAAATCAATTTAACTAAACATATACAAGACTTTAACAACACAAACCTTTGAAACTTTATTAAAATGTATTAAATAAGTGCTAAATAAATATACAGATTTATCATTGTTCATAGATAGGAAGACTCAATATTGTAAAGATAACAATTCTTCCCAAACTGATCTATGTATTCAATACCAGTTGGCTTTACTTTGAAGTTTGACAAAAAGATTATGTGATTCAAATAGCAGGACAAAGACTAATAATAGCCAAGACAGCTCATAATAGGAAGTATATGGTAAGATACTTGCCTTACCAGACATCAAGAGTTTTTATAAATATTTAGTATTTAAGATATGGTGGTATGAGCCCAGGAATAGATGAATAGAGCGGTGGAACAGTATCTGGAATCCAGAAACATATTCAGAAATGTATGCATGTTTGATTCACAGATTAGTGGGAAACATGAGTTTTTCTATAAATGGTGCTAAAACAATACAATTGAACCCCTAAATAAAACAAGACAATTTCATATGAATTAAAGACCTAAGTTTGAACAGCAAAAGGGTAGCAAGTTTAGAGGCAATGTAGAAAAAATGGCTTCACCGTTCCATTCAAGGAATCCTCCATTTTATTCTGAAATTGACTTTGAAGTAGGGAAGGACTTTTTAAATAAGATAGAAGAAAAAAACATAATGAAAGAGAATTAAGTTCAATTACATTAAAATTAGAGTGCCCATTCCTTAAATGGCACCATGTGGCAGATACTGTGAATCCTCTGAAATACTCATGTACTTCCCTACACTTTCCAACCTCCCTTGCATTAGATTGGGGCCAGATGTGATTTGGACAGTAGTGACATAAGCCACTTCCAAACATAGCACTTAAAAATAACCTATGCAATTCTCTAGTTCTCCTTCCCTTGCTGCAGCAACTGTGAAGGCCATGTGTTTTATAAGGCACAGCTACTAACATCAGACTTCATTATTTCACTAAGAATTGAGATTCATGTGTTATCCCAGTTTAGTCTGTTCTATTCTGACTAAGAAACACCATAGAAAAATGACAGCTACAAAGTGAAGAAGGCATTTGTAGTACATTTAATAGACAAAAGATTAGTGTGTAATATACTTTTAAAACCCCTATGAATTAATAAGAAAAGAATAAACATCTCAATGGAAAAATGGGTGAAAGATTTAAACAGCCTCTTTTATAATGGTCAATAAACACATAAAAAGATATCCACTTTCTTTAGTTAATGAGAAAATGGTACCTTTTCATTTTCCTACCCATCAATATGACAAAATTTCTTAACACAAATGTGAAACAATAAGAATTCTTATCAACTGCTAATGGAAGTATAAATCAATACAACTACTTTGGAAAACATCTTATCATTTTCTAATAAAGGTAATGAAGCTCATACTCTTCAAACCAGTAACTCTGCTCCTAAATATGTACTCTAAGCCAGGGCTACCCAATAGACATTTGATGATGAAGAAAGTATTTTATAACCTCATTTTCTAATGTGGTAACCATTTGCCATGTATGGTTACTGAACACTTGAAATGTGGCTACTGTGAATAAGGACATATTTTATTTTAATTCACTTTGATTTTAATCTTAATATTGCCATGTGCTAGTGGTTACCACATTGGACAGAACAGATCTAGAAAAATTCTTGTACATATCTATGAAGAGATTGTTCATAGGCCTGCCTGAGGTCTATCACTGCCACCATCAGTGTTTGCATACTCTCCCTCCTCTTGAGGCCTGAGGACTGACCCATGAAAGTCCCTATATCCACCATAGTTGTATCACACCCTCCACAGACAACTGCAGCATAAGCCAATAAGGAATTAACAGACACCACTGACATTGATTACAGCCTAAGATCTCATGAGAACACTACACTACTGTGCCCATCCAGAACCAAAGCTAAAGCACCTTACCCAACCAACACTTACTCCATGAAGACAAACTGACTGTTTGGAACCTAGAGACCTGAAAAATAACACAGTAGTAAGTTCCTTGGCTGTTCTTTTTGCTTCATATATACCAGACTTGGTGGTGAAGAACTCAACAGTTAAGCCCCCTAAAACTCTGCTCTCTCTAGCCAAAGGACCAGGAAAGCACAGCCTAACAAGCCAGAAAATTTTAAACACCATCTTCACCCCTATAGCCAAATACCACAGAAAAAAACAAAATGTGGCTCCAACCGCATCCATACTATCAAAGGTCAAATGGAGAGCTTAAACTTTTACCCTTCCAAGACTACAAGGAGGTACTACAACATCTCTGGCAGGGTGGTGTCATATAATGCCAAGTGGAGGGCCTGAACATTCATCTCCACCAGGCAATAATGAGGTGTCTTTCCACCTCCCCACTGGGGTGGTATCAGAGAAGGCCTCAGGAAGAGTCAAGATGTTCATTATTGCTCAGCAGTAATGAGGCCATTCCCCATTGCAATGTCAGTGGACAGCATGTGGGAGCCAGACTTACACTCCCACTCATCAACAATCAGAAGTCTCTATCACAGGTATCAACAGAGACTGACTGTGGAACCTTGATGCCTATCTCCACCTGGAAGTAGCAAGGCTATCCCTTCTCTTTCCCCTGTCAGAGTAGTTTCAGAAAAAGCAAGCTAAAGCAGAAGGTTTAAACAAGATTCACAGTCTCATAAAATAAACAAAAGTGCCCAGAATTTCAAAAATTTATTGATTCACCATCCAAAACCCAAGGAGGGCTTAAATTGAATTAAGAAAAAGAAAATCCATAGATTTCAACACCAAGATGACAAAGACATTACGATTTCCTAACAAAGATTTTTAAGACAGCCCATCATAAAAACGCTTCATCAAACAATTACAAATATGCTTGAAACAAATGAAAACATAGAGCTCTTAGGCAATAAATTAAAAATCAAATCAAAGATATTTTAAAACTAAAAGCAAATTTTAGACCTCCAAAATACAATACAGAAAATAAAAAGCTCAATGAATGGGCTCAACATCAGAATGGAAGGGACAGAAGAAAAATCAGTAAAGATAAAACAACAAAAATTATCCAATCTGAATAAAACAGTGAAAAAGGACTAAACCCAAAATGAACAAATTCTCAGGGCCTTCTGGGACTATCACAAAAAATCTGACATTGATTTCATTGGAAGGAGAGGTGAAGAAAGAGAAAGAATAAATAAGCACTCAGAGAAACAACAGCTGAAAACTTGCCAAAGTTAGCAAGAGACAAACCTCCAAAGACTCAAGAAACTGAGCAAACCCTAAGCAGGATAAACTAAAAATAAATTTAAAAATCTATGCCAGAGCACATTATAATCAATCATCTTAAAATTTTTTTAAAAAATAATAAATCTTTGAAGCAACTTGAGAAAAATGATACATTATCTACAAAAGAAAACTATTAGAATGACAGAGTTCTCATCGGAACAGGAAGTCAGGAGGAATTGGCACAACACTTGCAAGTGCTGAAAGAAAAAATATATACAATGAAACTATCTCTCAGGAATGCAGGAAAAATCAAGACATTCTCAGATGAAGGTAAACTAAGATTATTTGGAAACAGCAGACCTACTCTAAAAGAATGGCTAAAATAAGCTCTAAACCAAAAGAAAACAACAAATGAAGGAAACTTGGAATATCAAGAAGGAAGAATGAACATGGCAAGCAAAAATATGGGTAATTACAATAGGATTTTCATCTCCTGTTGTGTTTTCTAAATTATGTTTGATGATTGAAGCAAAGAGTATAATACTTTCTGATACAGTTCTAAAGTATATAGAGGAAAACTTTAGAAAATTACGGTCATGTGTCACTTGATGACATGGATACATTCTAAAAAATACATCATTAGGCAATTTCATTATTGTGCGAACATGAGAGTGTACTTACATAAACCTAAATGGTATAGCCTCTTCCACATGTAGCCTATATAATATATAGCCTGTTGCTCCTTGGCTACAAACCTACAGAGCATGTTACTTGACTGAATACTTTAGACAATCGTAACACTATGGGAAGTATTTGTGACCAACATGGTGAAACCCCACCTCTACTAAAAATACAAAATTAGCCAGGCATGGTGGCGCATGCCTGTAATCCCAGCTACTGGAGAGGCTAAGGCAGGAGAATCACTTGAACCAGGGAGGTGAGGTTGTAGTGAGCCAAGACTGTGCCATTTTGCACTCCAGCCTGGGCAACGAGCAAAACTCTGTCTCAAAAAAAAAAAAAAAAAATCTAAACATAGAAAAGATACAATAAAAATATGGTGTGAAGGATAAAAAATGGTACACTGGATAGGGCATTTACCATGAATGGAGCTTGAAGGAGTGGAGATTGCTCTGCATGAGTTAATGAGTGGGTTGTGAGTGAATGTGAAGTCCTAGGCCATTACTGTATGCTACTGTAGACCTTAAAAAACACTATACATATTTATTACCACTATCATTATTATGCACTACATAATTTTATGTGCTATAACTTTATATGACTGGCAACACAATAGGTTTGTTTATACCAGCATCACTACAAAAACATGAGTAACAAATGCATTGTGCTACAACATTATGACAGTTACAAACTCACTAGGTGATAGAAAATTTTAAGCTCCATTATAATCTTATGGGACCATCATATATGAGGTCTATCTTTGATCAAAACATTGTCATATGGCTCATGACTATATATTATAAACGTAAGAGTTTAAAGGGGCATAAAAGGAACCTGGGCTTTCATACATCATTTCAAATGATAAAATGATGACACAGTATAAAAAGATATATCCTCAAAACATTAACAAAATCAAAATTAAAGTGGCTATCTTAATAACAGAGTAGACTGCAGAGAAAATTACCAGAAACATGGATAGACAGTGATAAAACATATAATAATAATACATGATGACATATAATCATATATAATATATAATGATAAGGAAATATATATTTATTGATAAAAAGTTCTATATCTAGTATATAATGATAAAATATATACGATTAAAAAATCAATATATAATGATTAAAAAGATCAATCAAACAAGAAGACATAGCAATCCTAAATGTGTATGCATCAAACAACAAAGCCACCAAATACAACATAGTTAAAAGAAAAACAGAAGTGTACACAGTTATAGTTGGCGATTTCAACATCCCTCTCAACAACTGATAGAACAATTAGACAAAAAATTAGCAAGTGTAAAGAATAACCCAACATCATCAACCAATAGGATCCAATCAACATTTATAAGTAGCATGCTCAGTATTTAATGACTAACTTAATGTTACTCTAACATTAGTCTAACTTGCCAGAAAGTTCAACTGGCATAAGCATTAAAATTCTGTAATGACACCATTGTTAAGATATGAGCTCTTTGCTCTTGCTCTGTCTTTTTTAATCACTCATGTCTGTACCATGTTTTGTGTTGCAGATAGGGGGAAACCAACCCTTTATTATGCTGTTGTATAGTGTCAAGCAAGTATAATTGGGAAAAGTGCTATGAGGAGCCAAAAAAAAAATCAAATTGTTACATTTTTGCTGATTGCACAAAGAGGACCTAACATGAGAAGGAAAGTGCTGATTCTGATGTAGTTAGGAAAGAAACAGATTTCTGAAGCAAGGGACTTAAGGTTTACATCATGTGAAATCGATTGTGCATTGTCTTCTCTAAGAATTTTGAAGGAGGGCAAAACCCCAACTTTCTCCATATGTTTGATAAAATAAAAAATAGTTTGTCCAAGCAACAACAGCACACTGAAAAAGTTCTTCCCTGAAAAATGGCAAAACGCTTTCCAAGAGCACAGAACCGGCTGGCTTTTGGTTTAATTCAGCGATACTTCTATTCATTGGCAGAAATAACAGCATATTTCCTGCAGATCAAATTTGAAGTTTCTCTCAGAAAATATCTTGGGTTTTGTATATGCATATTCATAAAATGAAAATAACTTGATTTGCTGGCACTCTGGTCCTGGAGGCAGAGGGGTAGAGGGGGAGCAAAATATTATTAGGAATTCAAGTAAAAGAGCAGGGCCAGAGAAAGCAAGAAAGTGAAGTAAAAACACAGGTCAAGTTTCCAGAAAGAGCAGAAATGTGCAGATGTTAACCGTGCAGATGTGCTTGGGAAAGAAGGTGGCTTTTCCACTCGGTATCCTATAGCATGAGCTTGAAAAATGTTGGTTGCCTGACCCAGATGGTAGCGAGTCTCACGTATGCCAGTGCAGAGCCAAAGGTGTGTCTGGATGCAAGCTGGCTGGGATTCCAGCCAGGGACACAGCAGTGAAGCTCAGAATGAGAGGGAAGTATCTGATCTTTTCTAGCAGAGGTGTCCTTCAGAACAAGGCTCATGTCTGCTTAGGTGGCAGCAGCTTGCAGAAAAGTGAAGGAAATAATCAGAGTATTCTTTGTTTGCACCTCCATTTCCATTTTCTACTTTGTCTCTTCCTTCTTTCCTTCCTTCCTTCCTTCCTTCCTTCCTTCTTCCCTCCCTCCCTCCATGTCTGTCTGTCCTTCCTTCCTTCCTTCCTTCTTTCCTTCTTTCTTCCTTTCATATATGGGAGGGACATCACAGTTTTGATCCCTAGCTACTTCCTGGCCAGGCTGTCAGGCTGCAGTGGCTGCCTTTTTCCAAGACCACAGCTGCTGTTTGGTGGCAGCAAATATTCCCTGATGTCAC
Organism: Homo sapiens; assembly: GCF_000001405.40. Classification (NCBI taxonomy): domain Eukaryota; kingdom Metazoa; phylum Chordata; class Mammalia; order Primates; family Hominidae; genus Homo; species Homo sapiens. Next base: position 67,820,907 of record NC_000003.12, on the reverse strand, counting down.
TAGCCATGGAGTCCTACACCACTGTTTGTGAGTCTCTCTTAACACTGCCCATACCTATCTAATGTCTCCTTCATTAAACTTAACTCAATTATCTCATTTGAATATTTTATCTGTTTCCTGCTGGGACACTAACCTAGCAAGTGAATTGGTCCTGATTGGTAAATGAGTTCCAGAAAGGTGACTTGAAGTGGAGGAAGGAGAATAGTAGCGATGAAGGGAGAGAAACCTCCAAGACAACATGCTGCTATGGTCCTTGGCTGTCCTCTAGGAAAGCAGCACTACTCCCTAAGCCATCTGTCTTAGGTTACAGTGTTGCAGAAATTAAGAAAATGACATTGGGTGTCATTGGGAGCTTGGAAATGACAGGCAGTATGAAGTTAATGGAGTTATGGAAAGAACCCAGGATTGAGAGTCACACAAACCAGGGTCTGTTACTTAATATCTGTGTGGCCTAGAAAAAGTGGCTTAAATCTTTGAGCCTCACTTTTTTTCATGTATTCAAAAAGATAATAATATCCACATCTTGGTGATTTTGTGTGATGGTTAATTATTAAGATAACACAATGCATCTAGGACAGGGTCCAGAGCTTTCCAGTTTCTTGGTGACTGTTAGCTCCCTTCTTCCTTCTCTGCTTCCAAGTAACTGAACAAGTCATGGGATGCCAACGCCTGGGAAAGTTTATGCTCCTAGAACAGAAACGTGTTTAGTGGCATGATGGTGCTGCATTATTGCTTTACTAATAACCGGCTATGGTGCACAGTACCCTGCACTGGCATCAGAACTAGATTAAAGATTTAGATAATCAACAAAGCCCGTTGATTTTTTTTTAACATACTTGTCTTCTCTGAGCCCCAGTAACCCATAAGTAAAGGGAAGCATTTGGGCCAGATCAGCTCTTCCTAAAATACGAGTCACAGTCTGAAATTGAAAGGGAGACAAGGGCATAAGGAGGAGAGTATGTTCCCCCTCAACTTCCAGAATGAAAAGATAGAAGGCAATAGAAATGACAGCAGTCCATTTAATTATCTGTAGCAAAAATAATGTGCTGGTAGGTCATAAGCTGGAAACTTTTGCAGATGTGTTTTGTTTGACCTGCATATTGGTGTTTCAAAATTTTGCATTATTTGACAACATTTAAAAGTCAGGAGACATGATATGAAAATTGAGATTGCCAGCTTCTCTGGAAAATCTAGTCATACACCCTCCCCTACTATACAAATTTCTGCAGGGTAGTAGTGGCCAGAGCTGAGAAAGTGCTGCCACCTACAGAAAGAACCTGAGCCCTCCTGTTGGTCACAGTCTTCATCTAGCTCACTTTTCCAGTCTGTATGTTACCTGGCAGAATCTTGAGGACATTCGAGTGCTTGATGCTTAATAAATTAAGAAATGTAGGTAGCAATGTAAATGGTTCTGATAGATTAAAAATTGCCTTTTATCTTCACTAAAATAGAAAGTAAAAATAAGCACCAAGGACACATTGGTATAATACAACTCAATACAAATCAACTAATAGCAAAGTATGGACCTTTTTCAGGACTTAATATAAGCAAACTGTAAAAATCTAAAATAATTCATGAGGCACTCAGGGAAATTTGAACATTGAGCGAATATTTATGGCATTTGGGAACTACTCATATATTTGATGTTGTAACAATGACACTGCTATTTTGGCTTTTTTATTGTTAATACATTTTATTTTTTGAGCAGTTTTAGGTTCACAGCAAAAAGTGCAGAAAGTGCAGTGAGTTCCTATCTACCTCCTGCTTCCCGCCCACCCCACACACACAACATACCCTACTCTCTACATCATACACTAGAGTGTATATTTAATGCAACCAATAAACCTACACTGACACACCATTTTCACCCAAAGTCCACAGTTTACATTAGGGATCACTTAGTGTTGGACATTCTGTGGGTTTGGACAAATGTATAGTGACATGTATTCACATTAAAGTATCATGCAGAATAATTTAACTGCCCTAAACATCCTCTATGCTCTCTGTCTATTCATCTGTCCCTCTCATCTAAGCCCTGTCAACCACAACACTTTTTACTGCCTCCAGTTTTGTTCTTCTCTTTTGATATTGGGTTGGCTATTCTGGGTATTTTGCTTCTCCATAGAAACTTTAAAATCAGTTTGTTGATAACCACACTTGATCATGGTGCATAATTATTTTTATACATTGTTGGATTGAACTTACTAATATTTTGTTAAGGATTTTTGTACCTATGTATGTGTGAGGTATTACTCTTTATGGTTTTTCCATGTAATATCTTTGTCTAATTTTTGTACTGAAGCAGTGTTGGCCTCTTAGACTGAGTTAGAAACTATTCACTGTTTTAATCTTCTGGAAGAGATTGTAGAGAATTGGTATGATTTCTTTTCCTTAAATGTTTGGTATAATTTAGCAGTGAACCCCTCTGGGTCTGGTGCTTTTATTTTTAAAGGTTAAAGGTTATTAGTTATTGATTCAATGTCTTTAATAGATATTGGCTTATGATTGCCTCTTTCTTGTTGTGTAACATTTGACACGTTGTATTCCTCAAGAAATTGTGTCCATTTCATCTAGATTATCAAGTTGTGAGCATAGAACTGTTCATAATAACCTTTTGTTATCATTTTAACATCAACGGGTTCTGTAGTAATATCCCCTCTTTAATGTATGGTACTAGTAATTTATGTCATCTCTCTCTCTTAGCCCAGCTAGAGGTTTTATTGATCTTTTCAAAGAACCAGTTTTTCATTTCATTTATTTTCTTTGTTGACTTTTTGTTTCTCAATTGTATTGATGTGCATTCTAGCTTTTATTATTTCTTTTCTTCCGCTTACTTTGGATTTAATTTGCTCTTCCTTTTCTAGCTTCCTAAGGTGAGGGCTTAAATTATTGATTTGAGATTCTTCTTTTCTAATATGTGCAATACAAGTTGACTGATGGTGCTCTTGAGTTCAACCATGTCCTCCACCTTTTGGATCTGTCCTCTTCTAATAGAGGAGTGTTGGAGTCTCCAACTATAAGGGTGGATTCTCCTGTTTCTCCTTGCAATTCTCTCAGTTTCTGTTTCAACTATTTTGACACTGTCATTAGGCATACACATCTTAAAGACTGTTATGTCTTCTTGGAGCATTGACACTTTTATCATTAAGTAATATCCCCTCTTTATTTCTGATAATTTTCCTGGCTCTGAGGTCTGCTGTGTCTGAAATTAGTATAGCTACTTCCACTTCTTTTGACTGATGTTAGCATGGTGATATGGTTTGGTTGTATCCCCACCCAAATCTCATCTTGGATTGTAGCTCCCAATCTCTCCAATTTTGGGGACAGTAGTCTTTCCTGTGACCTCATTTCTTTGATGGGTCTGATGACCTCATTTATTTGTACTTGTTAGGACAGAGTGGCAACTTCTATGTTTCTTACCTGCCAGAAAAGCAACTAGAAATCTCTGTTTTTAAAAAAAGTTCTTATCTTTCTAAGATGACTGCTGAGATACATATAGACAAGATATGATACCTGGAATTTGCTTCAAAATAATCTGGGAGGATGAAAGGAAATGGATGGGATGCAACTGAAACAAGATTGGTCATGACTTGATCTGAGAACCCAACAAAATCCATTGTTGAATTTGGGTGATAGCTATATTGGGGTTCATGACACTATTCTCTAAATGTTTGTATTTGCTTTTTCAAAATATATTTCAAAATATGTTTTTGAATGTTTCTCTTTTTCTACTTGATAAACTTTGAATAACTATAGTTCTCTAACTGGTCAGGTCCATTTTCTCTCTTCCTCCCACTCTGTCCTCCCTCCCTTTTCTCCAAATACTTCAGAAAAGACAGACAAGGCTCACCAACATCTTAAAAGGAAGAAAAATAACTCTACCCTAGTGGTAGTTCCCATACTTCAGTCCTTCACTTTCTTCATGCATATCTTGCATACCCCATTGTAGTATTTTCTCTAAAATTGTCTTAAAGTTTGTTTCAAATTAAGGCCTTTATTTTCACAATGTCCTGAGAATTGTATCCATGAAACCAAAGAGTTGAGGTTCTAGCAATATTTTAATACATGTAAAAATGAATCTGTAGCCACTAAATAAAGTACATTGTCTCGGCCGGGTGCCGTGGCTCATGCCTGTAATCCCAGCACTTTAGGAGGCCGAGGCAGGCGGATCACGAGGTCAGGAGATCGAGACCATCCTGGCTAACACGGTGAAACCCAGTCTCTACTAAAAATACAAAAACAAAATTAGCCTGGCATGGGGGCGGGCGCCTGTAGTCCCAGCTACTTTGGGAGGCTGAAGCAAGAGAATGGCGTGAAACTGGGAGGTGGAGCTTGCAGTCAGCCGAGATGGCGCCACTGCACTCCAGCCTGGGTGACAGAGCCAGCCTCCGTCTCAGAAAAAAAAAAATACATTGTTTCATGTATTTTATTTAATCATCTTATATTTTACCAGCCAATATGTGTGACATGCTGCACGACCGCACTAGCTAAGTCAAGGTCACAATTATGGAGAGAGGTGCATAGATTCCCAGTACCCTCAAAAATTTAAGTCATGTTATACTTCCTCTTTCCTGGCCTAATATTCAGAAGATGATTAAGTGGCAGAATCAGAATCTCTTACCTCTCCAATGTAGCAGTTTGACTTATATCTGAATTTTCAGTAGAAATCACATGTATTTTACTGTGCGGATTCCCAACAGTGTCAGAGAATTCAGCAATTGTCCTAAGCTGACCATCAAATGAGGGAGGTATAAATCCATGTTTGCTTCTTGAGAGAGGTTAGATCTCTAACTAAAAGGGGATCTGCTGCTATGGATTCACTTTGTTTTTAATTTAACTGAGAGGGAAGCTTTATAAATTAATCACAGAGGATGGTATTTTGTTTCTGAATGCAGTCATGTAAAAATCAATGTATGTATAAACGTGGCAATCCATTTCAACTGCGTCTTCCAGTCTTGGTTTCTCTTTCACTTCCTAGATTAAGTTTTCTTTCATTAGATCGGTGCTTTGGAGATCTTGAGGGGAAAAAAAAAGAAAGGAGTGAAAGTTTGGGCTATGATTAAATCTTATAGAACTTGAAAAATGACAAGTCTTTGTTTCTTTGGTCATTGCAATGCAACAGGACCAGCAGCTGAGTGATTATAAGAAAATAAATACACCAATCAATTGGTCAGGTACTACCACCATCATTAAAACCTGAGCATTTATTCTGAGAACCCAACAAAATCCATGAAATCCATGTAAGAAAATGCTTCTGGCTGCTTATATTTAAAGTTAATATTGTTATGTGTGAATTTGATCCTGTCATTATGATGTTAGCTGGTGATTTTGCTCGTTAGTTGATGCAGTTTCTTCCTAGTCTCGATGGTCTTTACATTTTGGCATGATTTTGCAGCGGCTGGTACCGGTTGTTCCTTTCCATGTTTAGCACTTCCTTCAGGAGCTCTTTTAGGGCAGGCCTGGTGGTGACAAAATCTCTCAGCATTTGCTTGTCTATAAAGTATTTTATTTCTCCTTCACTTATGAAGCTTAGTTTGGCTGGATATGAAATTCTGGGTTGAAAATTCTTTTCTTTAAGAATGTTGAATATTGGCCCCCACTCTCTTCTGGCTTGTAGGGTTTCTGCCGAGAGATCCGCTGTTAGTCTGATGGGCTTTCCTTTGAGGGTAACCCGACCTTTCTCTCTGGCTGCCCTTAATATTTTTTCCTTCATTTCAACTTTGGTGAATCTGACAATTATGTGTCTTGGAGTTGCTCTTCTCGAGGAGTATCTTTGTGGCGTTCTCTGTATTTCCTGAATCTGAACATTGGCCTGCCTTGCTAGATTGGGGAAGCCAAAAAACACATGAAAAAATGCTCATCATCACTGGCCATCAGAGAAATGCAAATCAAAACCACTATGAGATATCATCTCACACCAGTTAGAATGGCAATCATTAAAAAGTCAGGAAACAACAGGTGCTGGAGAGGATGTGGAGAAATAGGAACACTTTTACACTGTTGGTGGGACTGTAAACTAGTTCAACCATTGTGGAAGTCAGTGTGGCGATTCCTCAGGGATCTAGAACTAGAAATACCATTTGACCCAGCCATCCCATTACTGGGTATATACCCAAAGGACTATAAATCATGCTGCTATAAAGACACATGCACACGTATGTTTATTGCGGCATTATTCACAATAGCAAAGACTTGGAACCAACCCAAATGTCCAACAATGATAGACTGGATGAAGAAAATGTGGCACATATACACCATGGAATACTATGCAGCCATAAAAAATGATGAGTTCATGTCCTTTGTAGGGACATGGATGAAATTGGAAACCATCATTCTCAGTAAACTATCGCAAGAACAAAAAACCAAACACCGCATATTCTCACTCATAGGTGGGAATTGAACAATGAGATCACATGGACACAGGAAGGGGAATATCACACTCTGGGGACTGTGGTGGGGTCGGGGGAGGGGGGAGGGATAGCATTGGGAGATATACCTAATGCTAGATGACACGTTAGTGGGTGCAGCGCACCAGCATGGCACATGTATACATATGTAACTAACCTGCACAATGTGCACATGTACCCTAAAACTTAAAGTATAATAATAATTAAAAAAAAGAAAAAAAGAAAAAAAAAAAAAAAAGAAAATGCTTCTGAAAATTGAATGACTATTGAACACTGGAACTTTATAAAAAGCAACCAAGAAAACTTCTGTAAATGCACAAGGCTTTTAAATTAGCTCTAAAATAATGAATGTCAGTTTTCAACCTTTTTAGACTATTTTATATCAAAATATATGATGAATGTTGCAATATCACTTTTTACACTGGCCAAAAAAAATATTATTCTCTGTAGACATTACAACATAAAACAAAAATGCTTTTATTACCAGGAGCAATGATGTGACAAGCTTGATAAATGCAAGTTTAAGATTCCTTTGGGTTTTAGCATCCCTTCACACTTATTTTCAAGTTACTAATAGATTCTGTAGGTTTGACTAGCCATCATTTAAGAGCGTCATTTACTCCGAAATGACAGAAAGTAAGATGTTCTTAAATGTCCAATTTTTCTCTTTTCCCTGAATGAGTTGCTAATGACAAAAAGTAACATATTTTATTCATGTTGTCTGAGTGAAGAAACGGTCATTGACAAATGATGACTATCAAACAGAGACGTTTTCACTTAACACTCTTAAAAAAACTGTTAAAGAAACCTGGCGACCCTGTTTTGTTTTGTGTCGTATTTTTAAGAGGCTTGGATTGGCAGGTAAATTTTTCCAACTAAATGGGCCTTAAATATCCCCCATGTAAAACCTGGATGATTTAGACTGAGCCAGCTACAAATGAGTTGGCTTATAGGCTAATTAGTGCATTGAAGACCAAAGCATGCCCCTAATGTTATTTCTTCAACTAGGGAGGTTTCTGAAACGGTGACAGTTGTGAACCTAGAAGTAAATAATTAATGACAAAACAACTCATGGCTTTCCAAGCAGAATTTTCTTTGAAAGTTATGTGATCATATTTGAAATACCACATAACAGTCACATTAGGGATCTCTAGGCTGGTTACAATGAATTTTGAAATGTAAATAACCAGCTCAGATCCCTCTGGGTGTCTCAGAGATTGAAATTTAACTCTTAGTTTGCCATTTAGCAAAACATGGCTTTTTGTTTATCTTTATAAAGAGTCCCAAAGAAACATTAGGCATCTCAAAGATTGTATAAAGCAATGCTTATTATTGTTGGAACTTCTCATTTCTTTATTTAATTCATTGTTTAAAATTTTGTTTCCATTGTATGCTAACTATGATGCTACACATGGGGAACAATGGTAAACAAGAGAGATAGGTCTCCTTTCCTAGAGAAACTATGCCAATGGGGATTTAAATAATGAAAAATAATAAGGCAGATTCACATAGTGAGAGAGTAGAAGAAAAGGATGGGAGGATAGGATGTTACTTTGCATAGAAGGGTCAGCAAAGGAATTTGTGTCCATGAGCAGTGATACTCAAAGTGTGTTCCCTGTACCAGTAGCATCTGCATCACCTGAGATCATGATGGAAATGCATATTCTTGAGTCCTACCCATGACCTACTGAATTAGAAACTCTAGAAGGGGGACCAGCTGTCTGGTTTTAACATGCAACACCTCCCCACACACACGGGTGACTGTGATATGCTCTTGAAGTTTGGGTAGAACCTAACAATCTCATTTGAACAAACTCTCTCTAGATAAGTCTGATATATCATTGTACTTTGAAGTTCTGGCGAGTCTACCATTTTTATTCTACCTTCTTTTGACCACATGCCTCTTTCCCACACCCCCCTTAATTGCCCATTTCTTTGTTCTTCTTTACAACAAAATCCTCAAAGAGTCTAATTTATTTTTTTATAATCTCTCTTAATCCTTCTCCAATTAAGTTTACATCTACATTACTACATCAAAACTGCTCAGGCCAAAGTCACCATTGACCTCACATTGCTAAATCCAAAAGATTTCAGTCTTCATTTTACTTGAGTTATTCACAGCATTTGAACAAATTGACCTACCTTCCTTCTTGAAGCACTTCCTTCCTTGGCTTTCTCTTTCTTTCCTAAAGTATCCATTCTGTTAGCTACTTTTGTCTTGTCCACCCGTAAATGTTGCCACACCCCAGAGATTAGACCTCGGGCCTCTCAACTACTCTATCTACAGTTGCTGGTTGCATTTAGTTTCATGGGTTTAGATACCATATATATGCTTTCAACCCCCAAACTTAGATCTCCACCATTGACTTTTCCCAAAACTTCTTATTCCCACTTGTCCTGTGGATGTTTAATCGGCACCTTAAACTTAACAAGACCATAATAGAATTTCTGATTCCCTCCCTGCAACCTGCTTCCCCATCTCAGTAAACGACTGCTCTACCTTTTCTGAACAACTCTGGCTCCAAATCTTGGAGTCATCCTTGACTCTTTCTTCTTTTTCGCCCAAAATCTAATCTTTCATTATATCCTCCCTGTTGACATTGCCTGTAAAATATATCTAGAATGTAGGCCAGGCACGGTGGTTCATGCCTGTAATCTCAGCACTTTGGGATGCTGAGGCAGGCGGACCACCTGAGGTCAGGAGCTTGAGACCAGCCTGGCCAACATGGTGAAAACCGTCTCTACTAAAAAAATACAAAAATTCGCCAGAAGTGGTAGCACGCATCTGTAATCTCAGATACTCAGGAGGCTGAAGCATGAGAATTGCATTGAGCTAAGATCATGCCATGGAACTGAGTGACAGAGTGGGATTCTGTCTCAAAAAAAAAATAAAAAATAAAATAAAACATACCTAGAATCCAAATAGTTACCACCACCACCGCTACTACCATTCTGGTCCAAGGCACCATCCTGTCTCACATGGATAATTGCTCTAGCATCCTAATGTACATTCCTGACCCCACATTGCTCCCTACAGTCTATTTTTTACCACCAGGCATTGTCATCCATCTTACTCAAACAAAAAGCCAATGTTTTCACCATAAACCACAAAGGTCTACATAGCCTAGACCCTTTTACCTCTCTGAGCTTCTCTTCTAGTACCCTCTCCCTCATTCCCTTCTCTCCACTCATATGGGCATCCTAGCTTTACTCAAACAGGCATGCTGCTGCCTCAGGGCCTTTATATTTGCTTTTCCAACTGCCTAGAGTGCTTTTCCCCCAGATAGTTTCATGGCTTATCTATGACTCCCTTCAATGTCAGCCCAAATGTCTTCCCAGCAGTGGCATATGCCCTGCTTCACTTTCCTCCATAAAATAGATCACCCCCTATATTTACTTATACACTTGTTTATCTGTATCTCCTCACTAAAGTTACAAGCACACACTGTCTTGTTCCCTGCTTTATCTCCAGTGCCTAGAATAGTGCCTGGCACATAATAGGTCTTTAAATAAATATTCGTAGAAAGAGTTAGTGTAATACTTCAGGTCTCAGATCAAATATCTACCACCTCAGGGTGGATCAACCCACCCAAAACACCCTTCCACGCCCCCACTCTATAGCCTATCACCATGTTTATTTCTGTATTGCAGTTGTGAGGATACTTGCTACCTTCTTTAGTGTTTTATTTATTTATTCATATTGTCTCCCTCCCAACGACACTAGGCTATATGCCCCATAGGGACTAAGACCTCATCTATCTTCCTAGTGCTTAGCATAGCACCTAACACAGTGGTGCATTTCAAATATTTTTTAGTACAAGTGTGTAAAGAAATAAGGTGCTTCTCCATGCTCTCTTGATATTATCTTATTAAATCTTCATATTGAAATTTTGAGGGCAATGGTGTCATCTCCCTTCTATTTATGAGAATACCAGAGCTCAGCAAAGCTACTGTCTTGCCCAAAGTCACTTGGAGAGCAAATCACAAAACCCAAGTCAAACTCTAAATCCACTCTCTTTCCATTGCATTGCTTTATAGGGAAACCAGCCAGAAGGACAATAGGATTCCTTTGACATAATATTCTAATTTGATGAAAAAGATATTTGGATTAAGATGTCAATCATCAATAATGTTTTTATGGCCACCCCTCTCTATTATTTTACTGTGACTTTAAAAGAGGAATTTAATATTTTAACCCAAATGAATAATAAAGAAATTTAGACTTATGGAAGAAAAATGTTTGGAAAAATAAAGCCTTTATTTCTTTTAATGACTCCAGAGTCATGGCTAATTTTTTGTACGACATCTAGAGAATGATTGTGTAGTGGAGAAAATATTAAATTCAGAATCCAGGTCTGTCACAAATTATACTTCAGAAGAATATAATCACCTCTCTGAGTGACCATTTTCTCACCTAAAAAGTGAAGATAATGCCTATTTCAGAGAACTGCAGAAATAAGAGCGATTGCAGTAAATATGCCAAACTGTCTATTGTCACCTCAAAGTCCTTGTCATCCCCTTCCGTGGTGTCCTCTACATTGCAAAGAAGTCAGAACCATAATTTCCAGAATTTCCTTCATGGAACATCTCCAGGTTGGATTCTGCCAGAGAGAAGTACTTGTATAAGATTTGGAAAGCAGAAAGGAGAATTAAGCCATTATCATAAAGAGGCATCGCAGCACAGGAAAGGTTGGCAGTGGCTTCTGCAAGCACCTGTGTGCATCCCCCGCTTCAGTGCTGTGGACACCTGCAGTGGTGGGAGGTGTCTGCTGGAGACTTCCTCCCCTACAAGGCATGCTGAACAGCTCAGTAGGGATTCCTGCAGCATCCTGGAGCTCTTGAGAGTTACAGCAGCTTTCAACGGGTGTCTAGACCCAGTGAGTTCAAGGCTGCTGACTGAGATGATTGGAAATAACTTTTCTGACCATTGACCTTTGCTACTGCATCCTCCCCAAAATTGCCTAAGTCTCTATTTGCCTAAATTAAAAGACTTTATACTTGGAACACATTGAGTGGCTTCTGTGTATCTGATGAAACCCGAATCATAAATAATGGTAACAACTTATGCATATTGAATAATGCCCATGGGCTGGGCATAGTGCATCTTCTTATTGAATTGCCCTGTAAATAATAGATATCATTAGGCCCATTTAGTTGATGAGGAAACAGAGGCTTATAGAGATACTTGCCCTCAGTCACACAATTTATGAGCACCAAATAGGGATTATACAAGAAAGTACATTAGAAACTGAAAAGCTCTGTACTGTTGGGAGATATTTAGCTCCGTATCCTTTCCTGGTAGAATTTCCCACAAGAGTGAAAATAAATCCCTCTTTTTTCAGGGACAGAGTCCTCATTGTTCTCTATTCTAATATTTCTCAATCTGGCACCATTAACGTTTTGGGCTAGTTCATTCTTTGCTGTGTGGGCAGTTGGCAGGGGTGGGGGTAGGGGCAGTGGCTGCCTTGTACATGGTAGAATGGTGAGCAGAATCCCTGGGCTGTACCCACAAAATACCAGGAGCACCCCCCACGGGTGTGACAGCAAAGTGCCTCTGGCACTATCAAATGTTCCCTGGAGAGTGGGGTGGCAAAATACCCCCCAAATATGCCCCCATGAGAATCACTGAGTTGTAATCTTCCTGCTTGGGGTCTAGACTTGTAAGGGCCACAGATCTAGCCTCCCGTGACACACCCTGTCCTAGGTTTCTGTGCTCTCTAGCAGTAAACAGTTCCTGCAGGGAAGCACATGCTTTTACAAAACCTAAAAGAAAAAAAAGATGCAGATGATTGGGTTTCGTATAATATCATTTGGTTTAAAATATATTAAAACCTACCTACAGCAAAAGATATGAAAATATTCATACCAACCTGTTCACGTTCGCCACCTTAAGGATGTGGGCAGTACAAAAGATGATGAGTTTTTTTATGTTTCTGCCATGGTTTAACTTATTAGAATGAGCAAATTTTACTTTTTCAAATATTTTTATCCATGACAATTAAATGTGCAGTAAATATTAGAGCATCCAGTATGTGCAGACCCTAAGCTAGACACAGTAAAATAGATCAAAATGAAGCACATAAAGTCCCTTCAAAAGCCACCAATCCTTTCTGCAAAACTCAGGAGGTTTGAAAATCTGAGTGGTTAGGTATTTCAGGAATAGGCACCCAAGGTTATGGCCCTAAAGTAAAGCATCAAGCAAGAAACTGATTCTGGGTCCATCGTTTCCTAGCATCCTAGCCACCCCCAATCAATGCCTTTCTTGATTACTTTGTACCTCACCATGACATTTACTGAGGCCCAAATCATAGGCAACAGGACTTTCATTCTCCACATCCAAAGAGCAGACAATTTCCTTTCCTCACTTACTCCAGCCATCTTCTCCACTCTGGAAAGAGCAGGAAAAGTTCCGCTCCAATAGAAAGCAAAAGGAGTTGTAAATAAGTATGTTCCCTCACTGAATTAACAACACCAGGCACTAGAATTGTAAGTTCTTTGTATTAATATTACTCAACTCCGGAACTTGTAGACACCCAGTAGTACAACGTCTCTCAAACTAATTGAATAAAAATCACCTGGGACCCACACAAGATGAACTGAATCTGAATATGTGAGAGGGAGGCAGTGGTGGTGTAGAAATCTGATTTTTAACAACTACTCAGGGAGATATTTTTGCGCAGAAAGTATAGTATCTTCTATACAGTATGCATTCAATAAATATTTCTTAGTCATAAGCCAGTGACTCTTTCCTTGAATGCTAAAGTATAAAGAGATGTTGAGTAGAAAAACTCTGAGCTTTCAAGCTAGGCATCTTCCTTCCATAAACCTCTGTGATTTGGGTAAAAGCAGAGTAGCTTTAAAATTAAAGAGCAGTTTAAAAGGCCTTTAGAAATGGATATGACTTTCATCACAGCAAATGGTCCCACATTCTAGTAGACTTTGGAATTTAAGTCTAACATCTGGGCAAACTATTAGTCAACTATTCCTCTGAGAAGTGTTTGAGAGCAAATGATTATTAAAAACATCACCAGAAGGTCATTTTATCACCTTCCTAATTTCATTTTAGAGGATCTAAATTTCCTTCCACCGGGATGTTTGCCTGGAGCAATCAAATCATCTCCGTGCCAGCCAGGTGAAGGGGACTGATATGCGAACTACTTCTAAGAGCATCTGAGCTTTCAAGTTTTAAGTCACTGAAAGTTTCAAGCGATGTTCTAACTCAAAAGGAATGTGCTATAAATTATGATATGCAAAGGAGAAATAGGAGTATCTCTTTAAACAAACTCGAAAAGGAAGATAGCTATAACAGATGAAAAGGAGATTTTAGCACGCAACAAACAGGAGGAAATAGGTTTAAAACGGTAAATAAACATTAATTAGTCTTTATAAGAAGATTGTTAAATTTAATTCATACCAAAAGGATGAAATTTGGAGGAAAGGGTCCACTAAAGGCTTTATTTTAATTATAAATTTTCATCTAAAGAACAAATTGTCTTAAAAGCTCCATTTTATTACTCAGCACTGTTTTCACTTTATGGAATATTTTGCATTATATTTTAATTAAAGTTATAATTACAGAACTAAATATAATTAGCTTCTTTCTTCAAAAGAAATTGGAAGTGAACTTACTTTATTCAATTTTCAATGTGTTTCTTGCAGTGTTACATAGTTTATTCTAATTAATTGAAGGAGAACTCATAAATATTTTATCAACATGGGGATGTGATCAAAAACTCGAGAATTTTTCCCTTACTTTTTAATTTTATACCCCCTAATTTTTGGCTCTTGCTCAAATGTATACAGATGATGTAGAAGGTTGAAGTCCCTCATTATGTTCCCTCTTAACCTGATGCTTAGCCGCCAGGTTGGTTGAAGCATTTATTCCTTCATTTTCTTTCCTTTTGGGTCAGCATTTTGCAGTCTTCCCAAGGAAGAAAGGTGATCATCAGGCTCTACACATCTTTCCAGAATGGATACAGTAATGGACATCATGTATCCAACTGTTGTATTTCTGCCTATCTCATCGCCTTTTTCCCAACCTCAGTGCTCCACAAGGACAAGTACTTCATATTTCTGTCATTGGCTGTCCATGCACACTACCACAAACAGCATGCAGAACAGAGTAAGTGCTCAATAAATGATGGTTGAGTCAATGAATGGACTCAAAATTTCCAAAATTTGTCCCCCTGAAGACTAGTTCTGAATGATGTTAATAGTAAATATTCATTCAAAAAATTCCATGTCAGGGGGTTTAAGATAACTGACTATACGTGCTGGACATCAGTTCTCCCTAGAAAGAATAAAAATAATGAATAATTATACCTCAAATAGAATATCAAAGAGAGAACACTAGAACCCAGTGGAGGGCTCACAGGAAAAACCTGAAGCACAGAAAAAGAAGGAAGAGAAAGGCCAACTTAGTCATGATCAGCTAGAAGCCTGGAGCGACTCAGTATTGGAGGTAAGGGTAAGTGCAAGAGTTTTGGTAGCCCTCATCCCTACTGCAGACTTCCGGGATTGGAACTATGGGAGAGCTCCTCTGTTCTCATGACTGCACTAGTATGGGTGGTAATTTGGAGAATATATGAGAGCATTGCACCAGACTGTAAACTCATACTGGGTCACTCACCCTACACCCAGACTCAGTGGCTGCAGCAGGATGCCACTCTGACAGCACAGTTCTCAGGGACTGCATCCTGCCCTAGGAACCTCAACTCTGGTATCTTCACATCCCGGAGCTCCCTCTGACATTCCCCAGTGCCCAGTAGGAGGGCTGCAGCAACACTGCTAGCTGGACCTAAAAGAGCTGCAGGATTTCCAGCTCTGTAGCCCTCAGGGAGTGCTACTTCTGTGGAGGGAAAGACGAGTACAGCACACCAAAATGGCAGCCCCCAGGATAAAGAAAACCAAAGGACTTTCTAGAGCCCAAGAGCTCCCTGCATGGGGCTGTGAAAGTGTGTCCACTTCCAGCAGAGGCACAAACTCTGTGCTCAGTTCTTCAGAGAGTGAAATTCCCTCCTACCAGCTGAGCAGCCTCTGTGCTATAGCCCATACCTAGAGAAGGAGACCTCTGTTCTCCTCCACACAAACACTCCAGGCACGGCCACTGCTACAGCCACAGGAAGTTGGCACAAGCTAACCAGACTGCTGCCTCTCTCAGGCTGTGAGTGATGACCGCAACCCCACTGGTGGAATAGTCTCTTAGCCTGGACTAAAAGGAAAGGAAAGGCCCCCTGACTCCACTAGGCAGCCCACTAGGCGGTCCTCTAGTGCTGCCGCCACAAAGAGCAGGAGAGCCTGAGAGCTCCCTGTTTGGGACAGTAAAAAGTGACCCTGCCTTCAACAGTCATGCAAACTATGCTGGGCTTTGCAGGTGAAGAGTCAAGTCCCCCACCACTGGCCAAGCAGTCTCTGCTCACTCTGCCTCATGAGTGGAGAATAAGACCCCACCTCCTGCTTCGCACACTTCTGCAGGAACAGCCACTGCTGCTGCTCAAGGAGGCTGATGTGGATGAGCAGTGTGGTCTATCTGGGACTCTGAGGGACAACTGTGACCCCACTGGCAGCATGGCCTCAGCCCAGCATTGCACAAAGGGCGGTGTCTTTCCCTCCTCCTGCATAGAAATGCAGCATTGCTGCCCTAGAGAGTAACAGAGCCTGAAAGCTGAGTGTTTGGGGCTGTGGGTGGAAACTCCACACTGCACGCACTGCCAGCTGCCACAGAGATTTAGTGTTGAGTCGCTGGAGTGGCATCTCCTGTGGTCCTGGGTTATATTGCAGCCTAAAAGCAAACTGCAGTGTCTAACCTAACTGACTATTCTGAACACTGGGACAGGGGTGTGAGAGGAAAGAAGACCTCATTCCTGACTGCCAAGAAAGAGGCACTGAGACTGTCCCTCACTGCCAGTACAGAGACCTCAGTGCAGCAGTGATCACTCGTCACTCAAATATTTGGTCTGAGGACTCCTTTGCCACCCCAGTCAGGGCTGGTGCTTACCTTGAGGGACCTCAAGTCTTTTCTGGTTGGCTCTGCCTAGCTTTGCCACCCACTCCTAGACAGAGGTGGCAGGACTTAGGCCTTGAGTGCTCCAGGGCCTAATCCACCAACCGGGACAACAGACTACTTCTCTCAGTTTACGAAGATCAAGCACAAACCTACTGTTACCACCACAGCTGGCTTTTACTGGCAAGCACCACCTACTGGCCTAGAGGTCAACCCACACAGCCCATTACAACATCTGCTGACACAACTGCACAGTGCTCAGGAATGAGACAAGCCTCTTAGGACCTCTACTACCACCATTGCCTATGCCACTCCAGCTACCCAGGATGCCATGAATCCACTCACCCACCCAGTACACTGCTCCTACAACTGGCATTTGTGAAAGCCACCATACTAAGGCTATTTATAACCAAGGAAATGATACAGTCTTCGCTACCAAATGCACCCATAAGCAAAGTCAACAGCCCTACTCAAAATACATCATAATCATATCCTCCAGAAAAAAAAGTCCTGCCCCAATGAAAGTTAAATTCAAAAATAAGAAGAGACTGTTTCTCCAGATGTGAAGAAATCAGCATAATAATTCCGAAAGTATGAAAACCCTAGGTGTTATGACACTCCCAAAGGAACATAGCCATTCTCTAGCAATGGATCCTAATAAAAGGAAACTTCCAAAATGCCAGAGAATTAATTCAAAATATTCACTTTAAATACGCTTGATGAGATACAAGAGAAATCTAAAAACCAATACAAAGGAATCAGAAAATCAATTCACGATATGAATGAGGAATTTACCAAGGAGATAGATACCTTTTTTTAAAAAGCAAAACTTCTGGAAATAAAAAAAATTACTGAAGGAACTACAAAATACAGTTGAAAGCTTCAATAGTAGACTAGACCAAGCCTAAGAGAGAATATTAGAACCTGAAACACATCTTTTGAATTAATCCAATCAGACAAGAATAAATAAATGGAATTTTAAAAAGAATGAATAAAGCCTTCAAGAAGTATGGGACCATATGAAATGACCAAACTTATGAATCACTGGTATTCCTAAGGGAGAAGAAAAAGTTCAAAGTTTAGAAAACCTATTTTAAAATACAATAGCCAAAAATATCCCTAGTCTATCAAGAGATTTAGACTTTCTAGTATGAAAGGCTCAAAGAACACCAGAAAAATACATTACAAGATGTTCTTCACCAGAAAAGTCATCGGACTATCTAAAGTCCATGTGAAGGAAAAAATCCTAAATTCACCAAGAGAAAATTTTCTAGTCAGCTATAAAGGAAGCCCCACAAGACTAACAGTGGACTTCTCAGCAAAAACCTTTCAAACATCCAGGCACGGTGGCTCACACCTGTAATCCTAGCACTTTGGGAGGCCAAGGCAGGTGGATCCGTTGAAGTCAGGAGTTCAAAACCAACCTGGCCAATGTGGTGAAACTCTGTCTCTACTAAAAATACAAAAATATATATATAGCCAGGCATGGTGGTAGGCAATTGTAATCCCAGCTACTTGGGAGGCTGAGGCAGGAGAATTGCTTGAACCCAGGAGGCGGAGGCTGCAGTGAGCCAAGATCACGCCACTTCATTCAGCCTGAGTGACAGAGTGACACTCCGTCTCAAAAAAAAAAAAAAAAAAAAAAAAAAAAACAGCAACCTTTCAATCCAGAAGAGATTGGGATCCTATTTTCAAAGTACTCAAAGAATAACAAAAATTTCCAACCATGAATTTTATGTCCTGCCAGAAGAAGCTTCATAAATGAGGAAGAAATAACATATTTCCCAAAGAAGCAAATGCTGAGGAAATTCGTCACCACTAGACCAGTCTTACAAAAAATGCTCAATGGAGTACAAAACATGGAAACAAAAGGTCAATATTTGCCATCATAAAAGCCAGGAAAGTATAAAATTCACAAGACTTTTTTTGTTGTTTTTTGAGACAGAGTTTCACTCTTGTTGCCCAAGCTAGAGTGCAATGGTGCAACCTCAGCTCACTGCAACCTCTGCCTCCCGGGTTCAAGTGATTCTCCTGCCTCAGCCTCCAGAGAAGCTGGGATTACAGGCACCTGCCACCACACCCGGCTAATTTGTGTGTGTGTGTGTGTGTGTGTGTGTGTGTGTGTATTTTTAGTAGAGATAGGGTTTCACCACATTGGCCAGGCTGGTCTCAAACTCCTGACCTTAGGTGATCCACCCACCTTGGCCTCCCAAAGTGGTGGGATTATAGGCATGAGCCACTGTGCCCAGCCTAAAAGTCTTATTAAATAATTACACAAAAGAGAAAGAGAAAGAAATCAAGTGGCAACACAACAGCACTCCACTTAACCACAAAGATAAACAGAAAAAAAAACAACAACAACAAAAAAGAATCTATAGAACAACTAGATAACAATTAACATTACGACAGAAACAAAACCTCACATATCAATATTAACCTTGAAAGTAAATGGATTAAATCCTTCACTTAAAAGATATGGATTGCCTGAATAAATTTTTTTTAAATGAATGAACTATAGTCTGCTTTCAAGAAACTCACCTTATTGCTAAATATATTTATAGACTGAAGGCAAAGGAGTGGAAAAAGATATTCCACATAAGTGAAAACCCAAAGTCCTAAAGTGAGCAGGAGTAGCTGTATTCATATCTGACAAAATAAACATTAAATTAACAATGTAAAAAAGATAAAGAAGGTCATGATAAAGGGATCAATTCAACAAGAATATATAACAATCCTAAATATATATGCACCCAACACCAGAGGACCCAGACTTATAAAACAAAGATTACTAGACCTAAAGAAAGATATAGACAGTAATACTAATAGTGAGGGATTCAACATCCCACTCACAGTATTAGACAGATCATTTAGACAGAAAATCAAGAAAGAAACGCTAGACTAAAATCAGGCTTTAGACCAAATAAACCTAACAGTTAATACAGAACACTCTCCCCAACCACTGCAAGACATACATTTTTTTTGTCAGCACATGGAACATTTTCCAAGATAGACCATATGTTAGGCCACAGGTCAAGTCTTAATAAATTTTTTAAATCAAAATTATATCAGGTATCTTCTCAGACTACAGCAGAATTAAACTACAAATTAATACCATGTGGAACCCTGTAGAATGTGAAAATTAAACCACTCCTGAACAATGTTTGGGTGAACAATGAAATTAAGACAGAAATTAAAACATGTTTTGAAATAAGTGAGAATGGAAATACAATATACCAAAACCTCTGGGATACAGCAAAAGCAGTGATAAGAGGGAAGTTTATAATGTTAAATGCCTACATCAAATAAAAATAATCACAAATTAACAATCAAATGTTGCACCTCAAGGAACTGGAAAAACAGAACAAAGTAAACTCAAAGCTGGCAGAAGAAAGAAATAACAAAGATGAGAACAGAACTAAATGAAATTGAGACCAAAAAAAGATAAAAAGATCAACAAAATAAAAAAACAATTATTTGAAAAGATAAATAAAATTGACAAGCCACAAGCTAGACTAACAAAAAAAGATCCACATAAACAAAGTCAGAAATGAATAAGGAGACATTACAAGTGACACCACAGAAATACAAAAGATCATCAGAAACTACGATGAAGAACTATATGCTCACAAACTAGGTAACCTACAGGAAATTAATAAATTCCTGGAAACATACAACCTCCCAAGATTAAAGCAGAAAGAAATAGAAATCCTGAATGGACCAATAATGAGTAATTAGATTGAATCAGTAATGTAAAAAAAAATCTCCCAATGACAACGAAAAAAATCCCAGGAACAGATGAATTCATAGCCAAATTCTACCAAATGTACAAAGAACACCAGCGCACCCAGACTTATAAAACAAAGATTACTAGGCCTAAAGAAAGAGGTAGATAGTAATAATGCCAATCCTCCCAAAACTGTTCCAAAAAATCAAGGAGCAGGAAATCCTCCCTAACTAACTCTACCAAGCCAGTATTACCCTGATATCAAAGCCAGACAATGACACACACACACATACACACACAACTAGAGACCAATATCCGTGATAAACATAGATGCAGAAATCTTCAACAAAATACTAGCAAACTGAATCCAACAGCACATCAAGAAGATAATGCACCAGCATCAAGTGAGTTTTAGTCCAAGGATGCAAGGATGGTTCAACATATGCAAACTGATATATGTGATTCATTATATGAGCAGAATTAAGGACAACAACCATATGACCATTTCAATAACTGCAGAAAAAGCTTCTGATAAAATTAAGAACTGCTTCATGATAAAATTCTTCAACAACATAGGCATTGAAGAAACATACCTCAACATAATAACAGCCATATATGACAAACCCATAGCCAACATCATACTGAATGGGGAAAAGTTGAAAGAAATGCCCCTAAAAAGCTGAACAGACAAGAATACCCACTTTTACCACTCCAATTTAACACAGTACTGGGTGTCCTAGCCAGAGAAAACAGGCAAGAGAAAGAAATAAAAGACATCAAAATTGAAAAAAAGCAAGTCAAATTATCTCTGTTCACTGACAATATGATCTTGTACCTAGAAATTCTAAGGACTTTTCCAGAAAACTCTGAGATTTGCTAAGTTAATTAAGTGAGGTTTTAGGATACAAAATCAATATACAAAAATCAGTAGCATTTCTGTACAACAATAATAATCAATCTGAAGACTGGATCAAGAAGTCAATCATATTTATAATAGCTACCAAAAAATAAAATATCTAGTAATATGTTTAACCAAGGCGGTGAAAGATCTCTGCAAGGAAAATTATAAAACACTGATGAAAGAAATTATAGATGATGCAAAAACAAATGGAAAAACATCCCATGCTCATGAATTAGGAGAATCAATATTATTAAAATAACCATGCTACTCAAAGCATTCTACAGATTCGATGTGATCCCTATTTAAATACCAGGGTGATTTTTCACAGAATTAGAAAAAAAGAATCCTAAAATTATTATGGAACCAAAAAAATAGCCTGAATAACAAAAGCAATCCTAAGTAAAAAGGACAAAGCTAGAAGCATCACATTAATTCACCTGAAATTGCACAACAAGCCTATGGCAAACAAAACAGCATGGTAATGTAATAAATATAGACATACAGATCAATAGGACAGAATAAAATGTGCAGAAATAATGCCACATATCTATAGTTATCTGATCTTTGATAAAGTTGACAAGAACATACACTGGATAAAGGACACCCTTTTCAATACTTGTGCTGGGGAAACTGAATTGCCATATGCAGAAGAATAAAACTGGGTCCCTATCTTTCACTACATACAAAAATCAGCTCTAGATGGATTAAGTACATAAACGTAAGGCCTGAAACTATAAAAATACTAAAAGAAATCTAGGAAAAACTCTATGAACATTGTTATAGGCAAAGAATGAATGACTATGACCTCAAAAGCACAAGCAACAAAAACAAAAATGGACAAATGAGACTTCATTAAACTAAAAATCTTCTGCACAGCAAAATAAATGATCGACAGAGTGAAAGACAACTTGTAGAATGGGAGAAAATGTTTGCAAACAATGCATCTGACAGGGGACTAATATCCAGAATGTACAAGGAAGTCAAACAACTTAAAAAAAAATCCCCAAATAACCCCATTAAAAAGTAGGCAAAGAACATGAACAGACATTTTCCAAAAGAAGATATACAAATGGCCAACAAGCATATGAAAAAAAATGCTTAATATGACTAATCATCAGGAAAATGCTAATTAAAACCACGATGAGATATCATCTTACACCAGTCAGAATAACTATTATTTAAAAATTCAAAAATGATACATGTTGGCAAGGATGTGGAGAAAGGAGAATGCTTATGCATTAGTGGGAATGTAAATTAGTATAATCTCCATGAAAAACAGCATGGAGATTCCTCAAATAACTAAAAATAGAACAACCATTTGGTCCAGCAATCCTGCCACTGGATTTCTGCCCAAAGGAAAAGAAATCATTACATCAAAAAGATATCTGAACTCAAATGTTTATCACAGTACTATTTATAATAGCAAAGATATGAAATCAACCTAAGTTCCATCAATGGATGATTAGATAAAGAAAATATGGTATATATATATACAGGCACAATGAAATACTATTCACTCACAATAAGAATGAAATTATGTCTTTTTCAGCAACATGGATGGAACTGGAGGCTTAAGTGAAACAACTCAGAAACAGTAAAATACTGCATGTTCTCACTTCTAAGGGGGAGCTAAATAATTTCTACACTTGGACGTTGAATGGAATAATATACATTGGTGGCCAGGCACAGAGGCACATGCCTGTAATCCCACCACTTTGGGAGGCTGAGGCAGGCGGATCACCTGAGGTCAGCAGTTCAATACCAGCCTGGCCAACATGGCAAAAGCGCATCTCTACTAAAAATAAAAAATCAGCCAGGCATGGTGGTAGGTGCCTGTAATTCTAGCTACTGGGGAGGCTGAGGTAAGAGAAGCACTTGTACCTGGGAGGCAGAGGTTGCAGTGAGTCCAGACTGTGCCACTGCACTGTAACCTGGGCAACAGAGTGAGACTCCATCTCAAAAAACAATATATATATATATATATATATATATATATACACACACACACACACACCACACACACATTGGAGACTTGCAAGGGTGGGAGGGTGGGAAGGGAGTGAGGCATCAGAAATTACTTAATGGGTACAATGTGTGTTATTGGGGTGATAGTTACACTAAAATCTCAAATTTCACCACTACACAAAATATTCATGTAAATGCGACAAAACTACACTGTTACCCTTGAAATTTATACAAATAAAAAAGAATTCCATGTCAGGAAAACATAGTTTCTTGACAGAAAGACTTCCAAGAAGAGGATCACATATATAATGTTACCTATACTTATTTGACCAGAAACAACTTCTTCCCTGCACTCAGCTCATGAGACCAGTGTTTAGCAGAACATACACTGTGAATTTCTGCCATCTGTCTCAATGGCTTTGAGTGGGGTGAGGGGAAATTATACTTAAGTACTTGAGAGTGCAGTTAGTCATGTCCCCTGGTTCATTGTATACAATCATCAGTGATCCCTGGGGCAAAACCCTATTTTGATCAATTGATTGATCAACAAGTTCCCCTTTAACTTCATTCTCTCATGCTTCCCCTATAGGCAACCATATCACTTTGTTTAATGTGAATGTTTTCATTCATATATATTCTTATGTTGGGACGGCAAAGGAGTGGAGGGGGTGAGGAAGGAACTGACACCCTAGAATATTCCTTTTTGTATATAGTTTTGACTTTCTCAAGACTTTAATCCTCTACATAATAAAAATAGCTAAATCAATAAGGGTGGAAGGAGGAGGGGACTAAAACTGAAAGCAAAGTGAACCACATGAATTCAATTGTATTTCAAAGGAATGCTACAATTGCTCTTAAGAGGAACAGAAAGAAAGGAGTGAGGAAGAGACGGAGGGAGGAAAGGAGAGAGAGAAAGAACAAGAGAATAAAAAAATAAAAAGAGAGAAAGGAAGAGATGAAGGAAAGGAGGGAGGAAATAATGGAGGGAGAGAAAAAAGAAAAAGAAATAAAGGAAGAAAGGAAGAAAAAAATCCAAGTAATTGGCCATCCACCCTCAGTTTGCAGCGGAGTAGGGTAGGGTGGTAACAAGAATTGTAAACAAACCCTGAACTATTTTTGATAATCTTTTTTGTAATGGTGTGGGAAAAGTTGTGAAATTATTTTAGATGTATTAGAGGGTTGAGCAAATGAATTAATTTAGGAGCCAGGGTTGTCAATGAGAAAGAAGGTACATACGAATATGAAACGGGGAAAGACAAGAAATAGCCATGCAGGGATGACTTGAAAATTGTGAGTATTGGTGCGAATTCAAAATTTCAAAGATACGTAGATATATGTACAGGCGCATGTATATGTGTACATGTTTAAGCACATATGTATGCATATGCAAGTGTGTATATATATGTCTCTGTATATAGCATGTATTTCCTAGTTCTGTACATTGAAAGGGTCAAAATGCCACACCTAGTAACAATGAGCACACCTAGTACCTAGAGCTTGCTATCTAATATAATTCCCCACTGAAAGAAACCAGGACTCCTTAGAGAAGTGGCTGATTCCAGGGCTTGGGTAAATAGGTGTAAGATGAGCCTGGAACATCTTGGTATGCTATCAAGTAAGTGCTCAAATAATTGATGGGAGAACGCCCAAAGATACAGAAGCCAGCTTAACGGTGCTCCCACCAGCCAAATACGGGGCAATTTCAAAACGGCAATAATTAACTAATCTATTAAAAACCATTTGGGGAATAAAGAAAATTATGTTTCCATATTGATAATAAATATATAGAAAAAATAAATAAAAAGGGGAGATGAGAGGGCTCTTGTTTATGGCAGAATACCATGTGCTGGCTAATAAATGTGGAAAGAGTACTGGGATAGAAAATCAGCAACTTGCAGCCATTGTTTATAAAGATTAGATGAGCCAAGGATTATGAATGAATGCAAAAAATTAGGGAGAAAAATTGATGTGGAGAAGAATATGTGCATGGTCTTAATGTGTCTCTCCACAGATTAAAGAGTGCAAGGGAAAAAATATTAATTATACAGTAGAGAAATCAGACAACACCTTAACCAAATGGTCAAAATTAACACCACCGATTAGAAGTAGATGGGAGTCCTGCCACCAGATGTGGCACCCCGAGAGGGACACGCCATCACCTATGCAATATTCTGGCCAAGCATGCATAACCTAAATCTAATCAGGAAGAAACATTAGATGAAGCCCAAATGAAGATCATTCCGTTAACACATATGGGTATTGAGGAGTGTATTTTTTAATGTCAATGTTGTACAGAAACAAAGGGTATTCTACGTTAAAGGAGGTAAAGAGACATGACAGCCAAATGCAATACCTGACTCTAGACTGGATCCTGTAATAGAGAAGGAAAAGTACTATTTAAAAAATCTTTGGGTCAACTGATAAAACTAGAACATAATAAAATTGTACCAATATAAAGTTATGATGTTGATAACTGTACTGTAGTCATATAAGAGCATATCCCTATACTTAGGAAATACACAGTGAAAAATTAAAAATGGCCATGAAAAGAGAAAGAAATAAAGGGTATTCAAATAGGAAGAGAGGAAGTCAAATTGTCTCTGTTTGCAGATGACACAATTTTATATTTAGAAAACCCCATCATCTCAGCCCAGAAACTCCTTAAACTGATAAGCAACCTCAGCAAAGTCTCAGGATACAAAATCAATGTGTGAAAACCACAAGCATTCCTTTCCACCAACAATAGACAAGAGAGCCAAATCATAAATGAACTCCCATTCACAATCACTGAGAGAGTAAAATACATAGGAATACAGTTAGCAAGGGATGTGAAGGACCTTTTCAAGGAGAACTACAAACCACTGCTCAAGGAAATAAGACAGGGCACATACAAATGGAAAAACATTCCATCCTAATAGGAAAAATCAATATCATGAAAATGGCCATACTGCCAGAAGTAATTTATAGATTCAATGCTATTCCCATCAAACTACCATTGACATTCTTCACAGAATTGGAAAAAACTATTATAAATTTCATATGGAATTTCTTTGTAGGGCACTGGGCAGATAAATGCCCACACCATACAAAGAAGACCCCGTATAGCCAAGACAATCCTAAGCAAAAAGGACAAAGCTGGATGCATCTCACTACCTGACTTCAAACTATACTACAAGGCTACAGTAACCAAATCAGCATGGTACTGGTACGAAAACAGACACATAGACCAATGGAACAGAAACTCAGAAAAAAGACCGCACATCTACAACCATCTGATCTTCGACAAATCTGACAAGAACAAGCAATGGGGAAAGGATTCCTTACTTAATAAATAGTGCTGGAAAAACTGGCTAGTCATATGCAGAAAATTGAAACTGGACCCCTTCCTTACACCTTGTACAAAAATTAACTCAAGATGGATTTAAAACTTAAATGTAAAACCCAAAACTATAAAAACCCCAGAAGAAAATCTAGGTAATACCATTCAGGACATAGGCATAGGAAAAGATTTCATGACAAAAACATCAAAAGTAATTGGAAGAAAAGCAAAAATTGACAAATGGGATCTAATTAAACTAAAGAGCTTCTGCATAGCAAAAGAAACTACAATCAAAGTGAACAGACAACCTACAGAATGGGAGAAAAATTTTGCGATCTATCCACCTGACAAAGGTCTAATATCCAGAATCTGCAAGACACTTAAACAAATTTACAAGAAAAAAACAACCCCATTAAAAACTAGGTAAAGGATATGAATAGACACTTCCCAAAAGAAGACATTTATGTGGCCAACAAATATATGAAAAAAAGCCCAACATCACTTTTCATTAGAGAAATGCAAATCAAAACCACAATGGGATATCATCTCACACCAGTCAGAATGGCAATTATAAAAAATTCAAGAAACAACAAGGCTGTGGAGAAGTAGGAATGCTTTTACACTGTTAGTGGGAATGTAAATTATTTTAATCAAGACAACTAGCTGAAACACTCGGGGCTTAATACCTAGGTGATAGGTTAATAGGTGCAGCAAACCACCATGGCACATGTTTACCTATATATCAACAAACCTGCACTTACTGCACATATATCACAGTACTTAAAATATAATAAAATTTTTAAAAAGAGGATGGGCTTGGTGGCTCAGGCCTGTAATCCCAGCACTTTGGGAGGCCGAGGCAGGCAGATCACCTGAGGTCAGGAGTTCGAGACCAGCCTGACCAACATAGTGAAACCCTGTCTCTACTAAAAATACAAAAATTAGCCTAGCATAGTGGCAGGCGCCTGTAATCTCAGCTACTCAAGAGGCTGAGGCAGAAGAATAGCTTGAACCCAGGAGGTGGAGGTTGCAGATCACGCCATTGCACTCCAGCCTGGGCAACAAGAGCGAAACTCCATCTCAAAAAAAAAAAAAAAAAAAAAAGAATAAATCTGTAACCTGAAAAAAAGGAATAGATATGTAACCTGAAGAACAAAAAAAAGAAAATGTCTATGAGGGGTATGAATCATCCTCAATTCAGAAAAAGAAATGTACAGAGAATGAGGTGGGGCGGAATTGGGGGGAGCTATGTGACAATGATAAAGGAAAAGTAATAAAATATTAACAATAGGTGACTGAATAAAGGGTTTATGGGTTTTCTTTACACTATTCTTGTTCTTACTTGAAATTATTCTACTTATGTTACAATTTTCTATATTATTCTATCTAAGCTACTCTTATTTGACATTATTTCCAAATAAAAGTTTTAAAATCAAAAACATTTTTAAAGGAATGGTCTTTACTACTCTTATTTGACATTGTTTCCAAATAAAATTTTTAAATCAAAAAATATATTTCTAAAGGAATAGTCTTCCTAGAATGGTAACAATATTGAAGCAGAGTGATGGGTGTATAGAATTCACTATTCTATTCTGTCTCTTTGGTATACATTTGGAATTTTCCATAATAAAGAAATTCTTGTTTTTCAGAAATGGTTTGACTTGTCATTGGTTTACATTTAAACGGCTGATTTCATGTGTTGACCATGGGCTATTTGGAAGGGCTCCTCCACATGTGAGATGTTATCAATCTTGGTGGCACTGGGCAGATGAATGCCCACTCCATACAAAATTTGTCCTCAGGGCCTGGGTGCAGTGGCTCATACCTGTAATCCCAGCACTTTTGGAGGCTGAGGCAGGTGGATCACTTAAGCCCAGGAATTTGAGACCAGCCTGGGCAACATGGTGAGACCCTATTTTTAGAGAAAATATATAAAAATTAGCCAGGCATGGTGGTGGGTGCCTGTAGTCTCAGCTACTTGGGAGGCTGCGATGGAAGGATCACCTGAGCCCAGGAGGTCAAGGCTGTAGTGAGCTATGATTGCTCCACTGCACTCCAGACTGGGTAACAGGGTGGGACCCTGTCTTTAAAAAAAAAAAAAAATCTTCGAAGCTTTAGCTTGCACAGCAGTCTCTCCTCTCTCTCTCTCTCTCTCTCTCTCTCTCTCTCTCTCTCTCTCTCTCTGACAGAGACATTTGCTCCTTTTGGGCAGTCTATGATAGTGTGATAAAATAGGACAACTTCTGGCTTCCTTTCCTCCAGGCTATTTTCTCACTCTGTTCTAGAACATTCTATCTTTTTTATCACTTGTTTAATATTACCTTATACCTCTACAGAATAACTATCTTTTCCAAAACACTTTCACATACACTATCTCATATCATCTATAACTATTCTTTGAACAGAGATACACATTACCATGACACCTTGACCATCAAAGAACAAGGAGAAGGAAGCATCAAATCCAAGGTCAGGAGGAGCAGGAATTAGAACACAGGACACTTTTTTCTACACTGTGCCTCACCCAATTGACAGCATATGACATGATGAGGTTAGGGAAGAATGACAAAATTATGCCTGGCCCATGCCTTTTAGGGGTTTCTGGTAAGCTTTTAAATAACAGCATGGGGTTTGTTTTCAGCTTATGATCTACTCCAATATCCACATTGTTTTTTGCTGTGTCTATGCATAGCCTGGCATTCCAGTCTTGGAATCATGTCTTTCACATTTGTCCATATTGACTTTGCTTCCATATGAAATATTTACATAGGTTTATCACTTTGTCATCATTTAGAGTGGCATCTGTTTGCCAAAAACGAGTCAGGTCTCAGTCACGGCGGCTTGTTGGATCGGTGTGAGCGTCTCTGAAGGAAAGGAGAAATTGCCTTTTGATAGGCTCCCTTAACATTGAGTTACTTTATTAATTATTAACTGACATTTCATTATCTTTTGCTTTCAAATATGTTTTGGGTGTTTTCCTTCATTTCAGACTTACAACAACCTGTGGGATATGTTAAACAACTTTTATTATCCTACGTATTGGCTGTTGGAAGGTGAAATTATTTAAAAATGTCACAGAGCTAAAAGCATGATGACCCAGGTCTCCTACTTCTCAGGCCTGTGGTCTTTTTTATTAAATATGCTAAGTCACCTTATTAAAGAAAACACTAAGAAACAATGACTTTTCAAACATTCCAGAGACTAATTTTGTAATTAAACTAAGAGCTACCACTTGGTGAGCATCTAAGTTTTAATTTACATCTATAAAATAATATTAAAATGCTTTCTGTTCCTTCTGGAAACCAACTAAAGTCCCAAAGTCCCAAGAGACTATAGAAAACCTCATATTTAAAAAAGAAGGTGGCCAAATTGGTCATTTTACCCACACCCCCATCATCTCATCCAGCTCATATAGGCAGAAGACTAGAGTTAAGAGAGATTGTTGAATCAGGAAATTGTTGGCTGAGTGGCTATTGCACAAACCAAGTTAGGGCATTTCCATGAAGTGAACGAAGGCTGATTATCAGATGGGTAGATTAAGGTTTCATTCCCTGGCAGCCTGCTTGCGGGTGGACAGAAAAACATGTTAGTGTTCCCCAACCTATCCCCATTCCCCAAGACAGAACTCGGTGGCAGAATTCTTGAAGGAGGTTTACATGTATTCCTTAACTATGGGAGCATAAGCAAAACAAGAAGCTGCTATTTACTTCCTTTCTGAGGTTTTCTGAGTTTACCATCTGAAGATGGTAAACTGGCTGCAGACAACACCAATAACAGGGAGAGGAGAGGGCAACAGTGGAGACTGTCTACACAGCAAGCATGACAAGTCTCCTGTATACCAAGAATCTTCACCTGTCTCAGACCAACCTGATGGGGCCACACCCAATATCACTCCATGAAGGGAGCAATGAGCCCGCAACAGAAATAAGCTGTGGTGTGAACCACAAAGGCAGCAGCTAGTCAGTGCCTCCAAATCCTCAAGCAGTGGGAGATGAGCATAATTAAATAATTGCCCTGACTTATGTCAAGTTCCCTAGAAGCACAGATTGAGACAGAAATTCACATGCATGAGTTTTAGTGATAGAGATGCCTCAGGAGAAACCAGTAAAAGGAGGGAATAAAACAGAAGAGGGAAGAAAAAAGAGCCAAGCTAGTGTGAGATCACAGGTCCATCTAGCCAGATTCATGGGTAGAAAAGGGCTCTGTAGCTTAAATTACCCATCAGAATCATCTCCTATTGAGGCAAAGGGCTGGCCTTATGTGTCTCTGTCATTCATCCGCTCTTGGCAACTGGAGTGAGAGTGGGCTAAACTAAAAACAATTCTCAGGAGAAGGAGCAGGGGGCAGCAGTGAGCCATTCAATGCTCAGGGTAATGGGGGATGTGTGCAATAGAGCAGACAAGAGGATCCACTTGGGGAACCAACAGCACTCCTACATCCCCTTCTTCCAAAGAGAATGTTCCAAGGTATCTTCCACGTGGTATTTCAGAGAGATGGAGCCCCAGTTACCCATAGTAATGACCTGCTCTAAAGCTTTTGTTGGTTTTTATTTTTTCCTCTTTTCCTCTTTTCTTCACTTGTACTACCTGCACCCACTTTCCAGATAGACTAACTGCACCCATATTCTTCTCTCAAGATCATTTCAGGGGAAATCCAAATTAAGACAACTATCCAAATGAAATGATTGTTATCACTGAAGGTTCCCAACAGCCATGGGCTCCAATTAGATAGCTTTAAGGAGCAAGAAATTAAAGATCGTGTTGGGGGGAAAAACAAAATAAAGCTCTTTCCTGCTTGCACCACTATGAAATTTACATTGGTTAACAAATTGATACCCATTCATTATCTCATTTAATCCTCACAGCAACATTCTGTAGTAGGTATAATTATCTCCACTTTACATGAAAAAACAGAGGTTCAAAGAAGGTAAGGGTGTTGCCCAAAGCCTCCCAGCTGAGATTCAAGTTCATGTTATTTAATTCTAAAGCCAGCAAACATTCTTGTTTACTAATCCATTCATTTGCATTTGCTCATTTTAAAATTAAATGTAGGTTTCTAGAACAACTCTTAAGACAATTGTGATGAGAAGTATACTTTTTATGTGATGAAGGGGCACATTTTTCTTTTTCTAATATAGCCAGGAAGACGAAAAGGGCAGATAGCATGTTTTGTTGTTAAACTGACAACATTATTGATATTTTTCAAATTATTACAAGAAAGACCCAGCATTCACATGTTTTATTTAAGGCAGCTTCTGCATTGTTTGGACATTACATTATTTATGTCAAAAACAGTATTTTGGGTGAACATTTATTCACCCAGTAACATTTATTAGTTACAACTAAGCAGTTTTAAGACCAGAATAAAAGACTGGAAAAAGGAGGGTAAGGGGAATAAACCAGTGTCTTATTTCTCTGGGACTCTCCCTGACATGTAGATATTTTGTTCAAGTTATAAACTAAATTCCCAATGTTTGCTCTATAGGGTTGACACAGCTCCCCAGGCAGACAGCTGTTAGGAGGGACTGTTAAATCAGCCAGGTAAATGGGAAGATGTCAACCACAGTTTCTGTACAGAAGGCTATGCTGTATGGTGATTAGCATGATAAAAACATCGGTATTAGGCAACCTTTGATTTAAACTAGACCATGACACTCAGCTATGCAATCTTAGACTAACTACTTATGCTCCTTAAGTTTCAATTTTCCAAAATGCAAACTGGAGAAAATAATGGTAGTCAACTGTATTCATCTGTTTTCACATTGCTACAAAGATAGTACCTGAGACTGGGTAATATATAAACAAAAGAGGTTTAATTGACTCATGGTTCCGCATGGCTGGGGAGGCCTCAGGAAACTTACAATCACGGCAGATAGGTGAAGGAGGAGCAAGTACCTTCTTCACAATGCGGCAGGAGAGAGAGAGCGAGCGAGAAAAAGGGGTAACTGCCAAACACTTCTAAAGCATCAGATCTCAAGAGAACTCACACACTATCATGAGAACAGCATGGGGGAAACCGCCCCTATAATCCAATCACCTCCCACCCAGCACCTCCCTCAACACTTGGGGATTACAATTTTAGATAAGATTTGGACAGGAACAAAAAGCCAAACCATATCACTAACTGATAGGGTTTAGGAAGGATTAAATAGGATCAAGTTACAGCACTCACTAAATTTTATCCATAATCAATAAAATGTTTATTTTTCTGATTAGAATAGGATATAAGGAAGACACTTTAATGAAAATGAACACAGTTAATTTTGCAAAGTTTGACCTATGCTGTTCCAGTCTTAGCCACACCCTAGTTTCCTGGACACCACCAGTATCATGTCCATGAAGAGGTTCGACTTGCACATCAGGATGACTGCATGACTGACATTGCTTATCTGGAACAATTCCACTTATAACATCTCCTGATGTGGTGCCTTTTGGGAATTAACCCTCTCCCCTAGGAACGCAGCAGGAGTAGAGAAGTTTGCAAACACAGTGGAGAGAGAATATATGTCGATATGGAGTGCTGTAAACTTACATTATTGTGAATCTGGGATGACAGCATAAGTCACAAAAAGGGAAGCATTAAATGAATTACACAGGCCTTCTGCAAGAAGTGGCAATAAAACAGTGGAGTACCCTTCGCCATCCTGTATTTCATTTATGCCACATAAATTCAACTTAAGAATCTTATCTTAATTCTTTCCCATTTTTAGCCTCCTTCACATTCCCCCTGTCATATGACTCGGAATTATTCTTTCATTTCATGTGTATTTATTGAGTGCCTTCTCCTTTGTATAGAAGTCCCTATAGGGCATTATCAAGCTGTAAGTGCAAGCTATGGTGGTTATCTACATGGATATCTCACCAAATTAAATTGCTTTCCTGATATAAAAGATAGATAATAGAGAGCCAGGTAAAAAATAACTGTGTATTAAACTTCATATGTAATCACTCTTTAACCAACACCATTATTCTGTGTAAATTAAGAGTAAATGTCAACTGATTTTATGGTTGTGCTTGTGAGAATGTTAATACTATGACAAAAAAGGACACTGCAAAATCATCTTTTATTAATTTGATGAAAATACAATGTGGGTATGGATGGGGTATAATTATTAAAAAATAAGGTGATCAGGCTTCCCAAGTTATTGTGGCCACCCATTCATTATTTTTCTGATTGAGAGATGGCAGAAATGCAGCACATGGTTCACAATCCCCTCTGCCCCCAGCAACACACACATGCACGTATATACACATGTGAACAATTGATCATAGGGCTTTTTCCTATGAATGTTGATATTGCCTCAGAATCTATCTCAATGCAGCACTCCAGGAAATGCATTCCACTATCAGTGTGGGCACGTGCAATTATTTCTACTAAGGATATAATAATCCTTAGAGTTGATGGAGGGGCTTTTTACGCTTTTTGACAAACTAAGTCCTTCAACTTCTTAAAGTTGTGCACTTTTAATATGCACCCTACCCACAGTGAAGCAACAAGAAGAAGATGAAACACCTTAATGCCTTCAGTTGAGAAAGTTTAGATTTAAACTCATAATTTCAAACCATTTTAAAATATAGCTTTATTTATGTATTCCACAAAGATCTCTATTCTGTTCATTTTTTTGCCCAGGTTCATCCAGGAATTAGAATAAAATGTGAAGCAGCCATTGTTTATAAAAGTTGTTACTTGTATCAACCACTTCTCTCCCTGTCATGCTGTAAAGGTGAAACTCCCAATCCTAATACATCAAAACCCAGGTTTTGATTCTGAGCCTAGATCCCCAAAATCCACGTAACATTTCCTGCAATTTCCAGAGCTAACTCAGTGAACAAAAATGTTTTCTATTTAAGATAGTCCTTGCTCATCTATCTAAAAAGGAAAACTCTTATTCATCTTTCAAAATCCAGGTTAGGTATCATCCCCTGTGGAAAGCCATCTTTGTCCATCTCTTCTGGTGATCCGATACGATGAATTTCCTTCATTTCTTGTGCAGGTTTCTCTAGCTGCCCTTATCATACTCATTTGTGTCCTCTAGAAAATAGGGAACTCCTTAAAAGTCAGGTGATGTGTTAGTCATCTCCTTGCCCTGAGCACCTAACAGGGTTCCCCGCTTAAAGGCTAAATTACTACATGCTATTAAACTGAACTAAACAGAATGCTCAATTTTAAACACAGGGAATTACCTTTTAAATCAGATATTCTTGAAAGGAGCTATCGGAGATGGTGAAAACATTAAAGAGCAATTGATACCAAGAAGGTAAATAGTGTGGAAGGGAAAATTCTAATATTTCATTCATTCATCATTCAAATATTTAATAAGTGTCTATTATGAAGAAAATATAAAGTGAGAGACAGTATGGAGCTCCTATATAATAGATAGTGGGAATTATGTACCACCAGCTACAAGTAAAGGAGTGTTGATCCATCAGTGACAAAGAAATTTTGTAGTAAATAAGTAGAAAGGGGAATGGTTGAGACTGAGGAGAGATTGATGAACATGAAAAAACCAGGTCAATGAGCATGATACTGCACTAGTCCTATTCTTCTATATTCTGTTAACTGTTGAAGACAACTACCCAAAGTTTTCCATCAGACTTACCAGCCACAAAAACTGGGTAACAGGCAGAGGTTAGAACAGTTTGGAGGGCTCAAAAGAAGACAGAAAAATGTGAGAAAGTTTTGAACTCCCTAGAAACTTGTTGAATGATTTTGACTAAAATGTTGATAATGATATCGACAATGAAATCCATGCTGAGGTGGTCTCAGATGGAAATGAGGAAGTTTTCAGGAACTGGAGAAAGGTGACTCTTGTTATGTTTTAGCAAACAGACTGGTGGCATTTTGCCCTTGCCCTAGAGATTTGTAGAACACTGAACTTGAGAGAGATGATTTAGGGTACCTGGCAGAAGAAATTTCTAAGCAGCAAAGCATTCAAGAGGTGACTTGGGTGCTGTTAAAGGCATTCAGTTTTGTAAGGGAAGCAGAGCATAAGAGTTTGGAAAATTTGCAGCCTGACAACACGATGGAAAAGAAAATCCTATTTTCTAAGGAGAAATTCAAGCTGACTGCTGAAATTTGCATAATTTATAAGGAGCCGAATGTTAATCCTCAAGACAATGGGGAAAATGTCTTCCACATTTTCAGGTATCTTTTCAGCAGCACCCCACTCTACTGGTACCAATTTACCATATTAGCTTGTTTTCATGCTGCTGATAAAGACATACCCAAAGCTGGGGAGAAAAAGCAATTTAATGGACTTACAGTTCCACATGGCTGGGGAGGCCTCACAATGATGGCGGAAGGCAAGGAGAAGCAAGTCACATCTTATATGGATGGCAGCAGGCAAAGAGAGAGCTTGTGCAGGGAAACTACCATTTTTAAACCATCAGATCTCGTGAGACTTATTCACTATCATGAGAACAACATGGGAAAGACCCACCTCCATGATTCAGTCATCTCCCACCACGTCCCTCTGACAACATGTGGGAATTACGGGAGCTGCAAGATGAGATTCGGGTGGGGACAAAGAGCCAAACCATATCACCAAGAATCTTAATTTCTCTAATAACGAATTTGTGTGTGTATGAGTGAGTGTGGGTGTGGGTGTGTGTTTTCCATTGATATACATACATAGAGATATGCAAACAAACAGAGCAATAATTTTAGAGTCAGGTAGATCACTGATTGAATCTTAGAATTTTCTCCAGGTGTGTGACTTTATGAAAAATCACTTCACCTTTCTAAGCCTGTTTCCTCATGTATTTACGTGACTGTTTTACACAAGATTATTTTTGTTTGAAGTCAAGACCTTATATATCAAAATTAGCAGAAATCCCAGCACATAGCAGAAACTCAATAAATGATGGCATAATTAAAATATGATTATAATTATGATTATTATATTTGTGTACCTTAAGCCACTCTACCTCTACTACCCATCCTCCTAATTCTTCCCCTGCCCCCAGCAGTCAGTAATGAATCACGGTAGATAGAGAAGTCATAGGTGAAACTGGGCATTTAGAATTCCTTAGCATGGAAATTAATAAAAATTTTGAATTTGTTTCATAGTAGTCTAATGAATATATGTGGTTAAACTTGATGACCTAACCTCCCTCATTTATAAATTGGAGATCTAAAAAAATACCTTCTTTGAAGGCTGATTTTGAGAACTGTATATAATGTATGTAATTTAGCACAGATCCTGGCACATGGTAGAAACTCAAAATGGTGGCTATAACTGTAAATATCATAATTAATTATATGTGCTTATTGTTCTCAAAATGAAAACAATAACTAAAATGTATCTTTCATTCCAAAGAGTCCTGATAGGATGTAAAGAAAGTGTCAGCATTCTCCCATTTCCTTGCAGCCCATGACACTCTGCCCACGTTGGTACTGCTAGGACATCAAAGCATGTCTGGGAAAGCTAACACCTTAAAGGAGAGCATCTAGCAACTCTAGATGGAATGTGCTGTAGACAGCTGTAAGTACACAAGAATCCAGGCACAAAGCAGCCTGCGTAACTCACTGTGAATTAGATTTTTGATTCTTTATATTTCCCCTTTAATCCCCATGACTTTGGTTTTAAGTAGCATTGGGTCATGTGGAATTTTAACAAAGGCTTCTCTGAAAATCCAAAAGAACGATCCTCTCTCTTATTGTGTAGCCTTTTTTATGACCTTGTTACATAGACAGGTTTAGTTAAACAAGATTTTCTCTTCTTCAGATTAGTTCAGAACATACTTTATTTTTTGTGTCTTGGCAAGGTTTCTAAAATCCTTCCCACACTGGGATTCATTTAGCCCAGCTAAGATTCCACAAACAGAAGATAAACTACAATGTTTAAAAAGACAGACAGGGAATGTAAACTGGTCTGGCCATTTTGGAAAACAGCTTGGCAATTTCTTAAACAAAAACAAAACAAAACTAAAACTAAACATGCAACCACAATAACACCCAGCAGTTGCACTCCTGGAGACACTTCCTAGAGAAATTAAAATTTATGTTTACCAAAACAAAAACCCATACACAAATATTCATAGCAGTTTTATTTACAATAGCTAAAAACTGGAATCAGCCCAGATGTTCAACACATGAATGATTAAACAAACTGTGACAAGTACATTCCATGGAATACTACTCAGCAATAAAAGAAACAAACTATTGATACAAGCAAGAACTTAGATGAATTTCAGAAAATTATGTTGAGTGAAAAAAGCTAATCCCAAAAGGCTACATAGCACTGTTAATTTCATTTATGTAACATTTTGAAATATGAAAAATAATTTAGATGGAGGTAGATGAGTAGTTGGCAGGAGTTAGGGGATGGGGAGTGGGGGTTGGAGAAGGAGGGTGGCAAGCAGGAGGTGAGTGTGGATATAAAAAGGCAACAAGAGGATCCTTGTGGTGTTGGAACTGTTAGTATCATTACTGTGGCAGTGGATACAAGAACCTGCACGTAATAAAACGGTATAAAATTTAATACACACAAATACACACACACACATAAGTATAAATAAAACTTGGAAAATCTGAATAAGATTGCTGAATTTTATCATGGTCAATATCCTAGTTCTTATAATTTTGACAAGCGTAACCATTGGGAGAAACTGGGCAAAAGGTACCTAGGAGCTTTCTGTATTATTTTTTACAGCTGTATCTTATCTACAGTATCACACAAAGTTTTATTTTCAATTAAAAAATAAACTAAATAAAGCCACTGGAAGAAGCAAAAGGAAAAAATATTTTCTATGTTATCATTGAAAAAAATTATGAAGTTCAAACCTCCAGAAAATTATTGAGTTATTACATAGTGATTGCTTAAACTCTCTTCAGCTGAACAAAGAGAGAACTTACCTCCTGAAAGAAAGGCCAGGCATAGTGTTTCACACTTGTAACCCCAGCACTTTGGGAGGTTGAGGTAGGGGGATCACTTGAGGTCAGGAGTTTGAGACCAACCTGGCCAACATTGTGAAACCCCATCTCTACTAAAAATACAACTATTTGCTGGCTGTGGTGACAGGCTCCTCCTGTAATCCCATAATCCCAGCTACTCAGGAGGTTGAGGCAGGAGACTCACTTGAACCTGGGAGGCAGAGGTTGCAGTGAGCTGGGCAACACAGTGAGACTCTATCTAAAAAAAAAAAAAAAAAAAAAAAAAACCTCCTGGAAGTATTAATAATATTTCCTAAATCTGAAAAAATTCTTCCTAAAAGAAATGGAATCCCTTTAAAAAAAAAAAAAAAACACTATATCTGTTGGTCTTACAGAACAACTCTAAGTCCTCAGACACATGGGAGCACTCCAAAATCATGGAGAGCTATATATTTTACCCTGAGCTTGATTTTTATTGTGATAAATACTGTATTCTTGGTTATTTTTCTTCATATGTCATGTTTTTGTGCTTCCCCCTGATTCTAAACAGTTCTTCTCTAAACACATTTCAATGTCACCAATTTCTTTCTTAAAGTGATTGTAGTGTTCTAAGTGTGATATAAACAGAGAGGCAGGATTGCTGGCAAGATGGCCAAACAGGAACAGCTGTGGTCAGCAGCTCCGAGCGAGATCAAAACAGAAGGCGGGCGATTTCTGCATTTCCAACTGAGGTATCCAGTTCATCTCATTGGGACTGGCTGGACAGTGGGTGCAGCCCACAGAGGGTGAACTGAAGCAGGGTGGGGCGTCGCCTCACCGGGGAAGTGCAAGGGGTCAGGGAATTTTCTCCCCTGCCCGAGGGAAACTGTGAGGGACTGAGCCTGAGGAACTGTGCACACTCCGGCCCAGATATCGTGCTTGTCCCATGGTCTTCACAACCCACAGACCAGGAGATTCCCTCTGGTGCCTACCCCACCAGGTCCCTGGGTTTCAAGCGCAAAACTGGGCATCCATTTGAGCAGTCACCGGACTAGCTGCAGGAGTTTTGTTTTTTGATTTTTCTTTTTTCCATATCCCAGTTGTGCCTGGAACACCAGTGAGACAGAACCTTTCACTTCCCTGGAAAGGGGTGTTGAAGCCAGGGAGCCAAGTGGTCTGGATCGGCGGGTCCCACGCCCACGGAGCCCAACAAACTAAGATCCACTGGCTTGAAATTTTTGCTACCAGCACAGCAGCAGTCTGAGTTCGAACTCGGAAGCTCACGCTTGCTTGGGGGAGGAGCGTCCGCCATTTCTGAGGCTTGGGCAGGCGGTTTTATGCTCACAGTGTAAACAAAGCCACCAGGAAGTTCGAACTGGGTGGAGCCAACTGCAGCTCAGCAAGGACCCTGTGGCCAGACTGCCAGATTTCTCCTCTTTGGGCAGGGCATCTCAGAAAAAAAGGCAGCAGTACCAGCCAGGGACTTATAGATAAAACCCCCATCTCCCTGGGATAGAACACCTGAGGGACAGAGCACCTGGGGAAGGGGCAGCTGTGGGCGCAGCTTCAGCAAACTTAAACATCCCTGCTTGACAGCTCTGAAGAGAGCAGCAGACCTCCCAGCATAGTGTTCAAGCTCTGCTAAGGGTCAGACTACCTCCTCAAGTGGCTCTCTGACCCCCATGTATCCTAACTGGGAGATACCTCCCAGTAGGAGCCAACAGACACCTCATAAAGGAGAGCTCTGACTGGCATCTGGCAGGTGCCCCTCTGGGACAAAGTCTCCAGAGGAAAAAGCAGGAAGCAATATTTGCTGTTCTGGAGCCTCTGCTGCTGATACCCAGGCAAACAGAGTTGGGAGTGGACCTCCAGCAAACTCCAGCAGACCTGCAGCAGAGGAGCCTGACTGTCAGAAGGAAAACTAAGAAACAGAAAGGAATAGCACGTCCACTCAAAAACCTCATCTGAAGGTTACCAACATCAAAGACCAAATGTAGATAAATCCACAAAGATGGGGAGAAACCAGCACAAAAAGGCTGAAAATTCCAAAAACCAGAATGCCTCTTCTCCTCCAAAGGATCACAACTCCTCGCCAGCAAGGTAACAAAACTGGACAGACAGTAAGTTTGATGAACTGACAGAAGTAGGCTTATGAAGGTGGTTAAAAACAAAACAAACTCCTCCAAGCTAAAAGAGCACGTTCTAACCCAATGCAAGGAAGTTAAGAACCTTGAAAAAAGGTTAGATGAATTGCTAACTTGAATAAGCAGTTTAGAGAAGAACATAAATGACCTGAAGGAGCTGAAAAACACAGTATGAGAACTTTGTGAAGCATACACAAGTATCAATAGCTGAATTGATCAAGCAGAAGAAATGATATCAGTGATTGAAGATCAACTTAATGAAATAAAGTAAGAAGACAAGATTAGAGAAAGAAGAATAGAAGGAATGAACAAAGCCTCCAAGAAATATGGTACTATGTGAAAAGACCAAACCTACATTTGATTGGTGTACCTGAAAGTGACGGGGAGAATGGAACCAAGCAGGAAAACACTCTTCAGGATATTATCCAGGAGAACTTCCCCAACCTAGTGAGAAAGGCCAACATTCAAATTCAGGAAATACAGAGAACACCACAAAGGTACTCCTTGAGAAGAATAACCCCAAAACACATAATCGTCAGATTCACCAAGGTTGAAATAAAGGAAAAATGTTAAGGGCAGCCAGAGAGAAAGGTCGAGCTACCCACAAAGGGAAGCCCATCAGACTAACAGCAGATCTCTCTGCGAAACTCTACAAGCCAGAAGAGGGTCAATATTCGACATTCTTAAAGAAAAGAATATTCAACCCAGAATTTCACATCCCCAAACTAAGTTTCATAAGCAAAGGAAAAATAAAATCCTTTACAGAGAAGCAAATGCTTAGAGGTTTTGTCACCACCAGGCCTGCCTTACAAGAGCTCCTGAAGGAAGCACTAAACATGGAAAGGAACAACCAGTACCAATCACTGCAAAAAAAATACCAAATTGTAAAGAACATCACAAATATGAAGAAACTGCATCAACTAATAGGCAAAACAGCCAGCTAGGAACATAATGACAGGATCAAATTCAAGCACAACAATATTAACCTTAAATGTGAATGGGCTAAATGCCCCAACTTAAAGACACAGAATAGCAAATTGGATAAAGAGTCAAGGCCCATCAGTGTGCTGCATTCAGGAGACCCATCTCATGTGGAAACACACACATAGGCTCAGAGTAAATGGATGGAAAATATTTATCAAGCAAAAGAAAAGCAAAAAAAGCAGAAGTTCCAATTCTAATCTCTGGTAAAACAGACTTTAAACCAACAAAGACCAAAAGAGACAAAGAAGGGCATTACATAATGGTAAAGAGATCAATGCAACAAGAGCTAACTATCCTAAATATATATGCACCCAATACAGGAGCACTCAGATTCATAAAGCAAGTTCTTAGAGATGAACAAAGGGAGTTAGACTCCCACACAATAATAGTGGGAGACTTTAACACTCAACTGTCAATATTAGACAGATCAATGAGAAGAAAATTAACAAGGACATTCAGGACTTGAACTCAGCTCTGGACCAAGTAGACCTCATAAACATCTGCAGAACTCTCCACCCCAAAACAACAGAATATACATTCGTTTTTAGCACCACATCGCACTTATTTTAAAATTGATGACATAATTGGAAGTAAAACACTCCTCAGCAAATGCAAAAGAATGGAAATCATAATAAACAGTCTCTCAGACCAAAGTGCAATCAAATTAGAATTCAGGATTAAGAAACTCACTCAAAACCACACAACTACATGGAAACTGAACAACCTGCTCTTGAATGACGACTGGGTAAATAACGAAGTGAAGGCAGAAATAAAGTTGTTCTTTGAAAGCAATGACAGCGAAGACACAACGTACCGGAATCTCTGGGTCACATTTAAAGCAGTGTGTAGAGGGAAATTTATAGCACTAAATGCCAACAAGAGAAAGCAGGGAAGATCTAAAACTGACTCCCTAACATCAAAAGTAAAAGAACTTGAGAAGTAACAGCAAACAAATTCAAAAGCTAACAGAAGAAAAGAAATAACTAAGATCAGAGCAGAACTGAAGGAGATAGAGACACAAAAATCCCTTCAAAAAAATCAATAAATCCAAGAGCTGTTTTTTTGAAAACATCAACAAAATAGATAGACTGCTAGCCAGACTAATAAAGAAGAAAAGACAGCAGAATCAGATAGATACAATAAAAAATGATAAAGGGGATATCACCTCTGATTCCACAGAAATACAAACTACCATCAGAGAATACTATAAACACCTCAACACAAATAAACTAGAAAATCTAGCAGAAATGGATAAATTCCTCGACACATACACCCTCCCAAGTCTAAACTAGGAAGAAGCCAAATCCCTGAATAGACCAATAACAAGTTCTTAAATTGAGGAATAGCCTACCAACCAAAAAAAGTCCGGGA
Organism: Homo sapiens; assembly: GCF_000001405.40. Classification (NCBI taxonomy): domain Eukaryota; kingdom Metazoa; phylum Chordata; class Mammalia; order Primates; family Hominidae; genus Homo; species Homo sapiens. Next base: position 67,778,236 of record NC_000003.12, on the reverse strand, counting down.
CCAGATGGATTCACAGCCGAATTCTACCAGAGGTACAAAGAGGAGCTGGTACCATTCCTTCTGAAAGTATTCCAAACACTAGAAAAAGAGGGACTCCTCCCTAACTCATTTTATGAGGCCAGCATCATTCTGTTACCAAAACCTGGCAGAGACACAACAAAAAAGGAAAATTTCAGGCCAATATCCCTGATGGACATTGGTGGGAAAATCCTCAATAAACTACTGGCAAACCAAATCCAGCAGCACATCAAAAAGCTTTTCCAGCACAATCAAGTCAGCTTCATACCTGGAATGCAAGTCTGGTTCAACATACACAAATCAATAAACGTAATCCATCGCATAAACAAAACTGAAGATAAAAACCACATGATTATCTCAATAGATGCAGAAAAGGCCTTTGACAAAATTCAACACCCCTTCATGCTAAAAACTCTCAGTAAACTAGGTATCGGTGGAACATATCTCAAAATAATAAGAGCTACTTATGACAAATCCATAGCCAATATCATACTGAATGGGCAAAAGCTGGAAGCATTCCCTTTCAAAACTGGCACAAGACAAGTATGCCCTCTCTCACCATTCCTATTCACCACAGTATTGGAAGTTCTGGCCAGGGCAATCAGGCAAGAAAAACAAATAAAGGTATTCAAATAAGAAGAGAGGAAGTCAAGTTGTCTCTGTTTGCAGATGACATGATTGTATATTTGGAAAACCCCATCGTCTCAGCCCAAAATCTCATCAAGCTGGTAAGTGACTTCAGCAAAGTCTCAGGATATAAAAGCAGTGTGCAAAAATCGCAAGCTTTTTTATACATCAATAACAGACAAACAGAGAGCCAAATCATGAGTGAACTCACTCTCACATTGCTACAAAGAGAATAAAATACCTAGGAATACAACTTACAAGGTATGTGAAGGAGCTCTTTAAGGAGAACTACAAACCACTGCTCAAGAAAATAAGAGAAAACACAAACAAATGGAAAAACATTCCATGCTCATGGACAGAAAGAATCAATACCGTCGAAATGGCCACACTGGCCAAAGTAATTTATAGATTCAATGCTATCCCCATCAAGCTACCAATGACTTTCTTCACAGAATTGGAAAAAACTACTTTATATGGAATCAAAAATGAGCCCACATGGCCAAGACAATCCTAAGCAAAAAGAACAAAGCTGGAGGCATCATGCTACCTGACTTCAAACTATACTACAATGCTACAGAAACTAAAACTGCATGGTACTGGTACCAAAACAGATACATAGACGAATGAAATAGAACACCACACTCCTACAACCATCTGAAATAACATCACACTCCTACAACCACCTGATTTTTGACAAACCTGACACAAACAAGCAATGGGAAAAAGATTCCCTATTTAATAAATGGCATTGGGAAAACTGGCTAGCCATATTCAGAAAACTGAAACTGGACCCCTTCCTTACACCTTATACAAAAATTATCAGAAGATAGATTAAAGACTTAAGCATAAGACCTAAAACCATACAAATCCTAGAAGAAAACCTGGGCAATACCATTCAGGACATAGGCATGGGCAAAATCTTCATGTCTAAAACACCAAAAGCAATGGCAACAAAAGCCAAAATTGACAAATGGGATCTAATTAAACTAAAGAGTTTCTGCACAGCAAAAGAAACTATTATCAGAGTGAACAGGCAACCTACAGAATGGGAGAAAACTTTTGCAATTTATCCACCTGACAAAGGGCTAATATCCAAAATCTACAAGAAACTTAAACAAATTTACAAGAAAAAAAACAAACAACCCCATCAAAAAGTGGGCAAAGGATATAAACAGACACTTCTCAAAAGAAGACATTTATGTGGCCAATAAACATATGAAAAAAAAGCTCATCACTGGTCATTTGACAAATGCAAATCAAAACCACAATGAGATACCATCTCATGCCAGTTAGAATAGCGATCATTAAAAAGTCAGGAAACAACAGATGCTGGAAAGGATGTGGAGAAATAGGAAGGCTTTTACACTGTTGGTGGAATGTAAATTAGTTAAGCCATTGTGCAAGACAGTGTGGCGATTCCTCAAGGATCTAGAACTAGAAATACCATTTGACCCAGCAATCCCATTACTGGGTGTATACCCAAAGGACTATAAATCATTCTACTATAAAGACACATGCACATGTACTGTGGCACTATTCACAATAGCAAGGACTTGGAACCAACCCAAATGTCTACCAATGATACACTGGATAATGAAAATGTGGCACATACATCATGGAATACTATGCAGCCATAAAAAAGGATGAGTTCACATCCTTTGCAAGGACATGGATGATGCCAGAAACCATCATTCTCAACAAACTGTCACAAGAACAGAAAACCAAACACCACATGTTCTCACTCATAAGTGGGAATTGAACAATGAGAACACATGGACACAGGGAGGGGAACATCACACACAAGGGCATGTTGGAAAATGGGGGGCTAGGGGAGGGATAGCATTAGGAGAAATACCTAATGTAGGTGACAGGTTGATGGGTGCAGCAAACCACCATGGCACATGTATACCTATGTAACAAACCTGCACATCTGCACATGTACCCCAGAACTTAAATTATAATAATAATTTTTTTTAAAAAGAGGCTATAGTTGTCAAGGTTTAAGGACAGGGAGAGGGGAAAGGGAAGTAGACGTGATAGAGGCATTAGGCAGACAGGGGCAGATCCCCAGTGAAGCCCCACCTTGAAGGCAAACAGCCTGAAACCCCCAGCCCAAGGTGAGAACTAATCCTGCTTGCCCACTCTCTCCCAATTGGCTCTTTCTGAATAATGCCTTTTTGCCAATCCAATGTTGCCTTTTCCTAAACTACCTATGGCCTACCTCCCCCACTATTCTGTGCCTATAAAGACCTGAGACTCAGTCAAAAGAGGATAGAGGGTGGCTTGACTGGAGCGAGGCAACTTGGCTTCCGGGAGACAGCTGGACTTCAGAGGAGAGCCAGCCGGACTTCGGGGAAGAGATGGCTGGACTTCGGGAGAAGACTACCTGACAGGCCCACCCTCTCTCCAGCTCCCCTCTCCACTAAGAGCCATTTCCATTGCTAAATAAAATTCTCCACCTTCGCCATCCTTCAAGTGTCCACACGATCTCATTCTTCTTGGATGCCGGACGAGAGCTCAGGACCCACTGAGTGTGGGTACTCAAAAAAACCTGTCATACTGGCTCTTTGCCCTTACCAGGGGAGGGCAGCCACCCCACATGATGAGGCAAGGGGTCAACGGAGCTGATAACACAGCACCATCTGCAGACAGCAGAGCTAAGAGCATTGTAACACACCCTCTGGGGCTTTGGGGTTGCACCTGGGCACCACTGTGGGCCCCACATAGAACTTGTTTCTGCTGGAGTCGAGTGGCTGGCTTTGCTCGCTCTGAGTAAACAGAGCCTGCTCCTCCCAGTGCCCAGAGTGGTGGCTGGCTGGATCCTGCACTTGCTCGCTCACGTGCTCCCTCCTAAAAGGGGTTGAGCGTGGTGAGCCCAGTAAAGGGGCACCCCTGTCGCAAGTCCATCAAAGGGGTTGAGAAAAATCCAGCATCCAATGCAGCTATAAAAGGGCACCTAAAACTAGAGTTCACTGTGGTTATGGAATTGTTTTGTAGCTTGATTGTATCAGTGTCAATATTCTGGTTGTAATATCATACCATAAGTCTGCAAGATGTTGCCATTGAGAGAAACTGAGTAAAAGGTACACAGGATATCTCTGTATTACTTCTTAAAACTACATGTAAATCTATATTTATCTGAAACAAAAAAGTTTAATTAAAATGAGAGAGAGAGAGAGAGACAGAATGGCAAAGCCTGCCTCAACTAATCTGTCATAAAAGTTTGAGTACTTGTAAAAACAAAACAAAGCAAACCAAAAACAACCATACTCCAACCAAGTCTACATGGGTCACTACTGAATGTTCGTAAATAAACTGAAGTGGTGTGTGTCTTGGCTCCAAACTGCATACCAAAGAAAACTTGCTATATGAACTCCAGATCTGAATGTTTTAAGAAATATATATACTTCTTGATTACACTGTCTTCACATTTTGTCTCTTCAAAATGATGTCCAAACACACTAAAAACCTTGATATCCTTTTTTTCTTTCTTTTACACCACATTTGTAATCTGTCAGCAAATTATTTTGTCTCTGCCTTCAAAATATACCCAGAATCTAGCCACTGTTTCATTAATTTCACTGCTACCACCATGTCTTAGCTGGATTATTCTAATATACTCATGAATGGTTTCTACAGTCTCCCTGTTCCTGTACAGCGTTATTTTCAACAAGGCAGCCAGAGTGACCCTTTAAAGCATAAGTCAGACCATAACATTCTCCTAAGAACCCTTCAATGGCTTCCAAGCATAAACACAATAATGATAGAAATAAAAATTCTTCGTTGGGTGCGGTGGCTCACGCCTGTAATCCCAGCACTTTGGGAGGCTGAGGAGGGCAGATGACGAGGTCCGGAGATTGAGACCATCCTGACTAACACGGTGAAACCCCGTCTCTACTAAAAATACAAAAAAAAAAAAATTAGCCAGGCGTGGTGGCGGGCGCCTCTAGTCCCACCTACTCAGGAGGCTGAGGCAGGAGAATGGCATGAACCCAGGAGGCAGAGCTTGCAGTGAGCCGAGATCGGGCCACTGCACTCCAGCCTGGGCAACAGGTGACAGAGCAAGACTCCATCTCAAAAAAAGAAAAAAAAGAAGAAGTAAAAATTCCTGCCAGCCTTTTCCAAGTCCTAAATGATCTGACTGTCCTGTCCTCCACCCCTCAACCTCGTGTCTTCTACTATCCCTTCTCTTTATCCTTCAGCTCCAGCCTCATTTATCTCTTTGGTATTGTTTGAATATGCCAGCCAGATGCCTGTGTCAGTGCCTTTGCACTGGCTTTTTCCTCTACCTTGGCTGTCTTTCCCTAAGATATCCACATAACTAACTCCCACACCACCTCTAGGTGTTTGCTTGAATGTCACCTTCCCACAAGCTCCCTGTTCCTTTCCCTGCTCATTTTCTTTTTCTGTAGAACTTCACATCATCCACATATTATTTATCTCATTTTTTAATCTCACCATTAAATTTGTATTTTGTTCATCAGCACCAAGAATATTGCCTAGCACATAGAAGGCACTCTGCAACAATTGAAAAAACTAAATGAATAAGTAATCAAAATGAATGGATAAGGCAGTTTAATACTGGGAAAGATTAGTTAGAAATTTTGATGAAATTATTTTTCTTCAAGTCCAAGTTTCTTTCCATAATGAACAATTCTACACTTTCCCTGATGTACAGTTCCACAATTTCCACAATGTACAACTTCTTCACCAAATTTATAAACTCCTCCTTATCACACATTACTTCTTTTTTTTTGTTTTAATTATTTTATGAATGGCTAGTCGTCTCAGCTAAATTTGAAGCTCAAGAGTAAGAGCCATAGTCTAGCCTTTTTTAATCCTCCGTCATTTCTGTTAAAGCGCTACACACAATTTATGATTTCTGTTCGTGGATTTCATGATCCCTCCTATATTGTTCTCATTTTGATATATTTCTTATATTTTAATCTTATGTTGATCGTGTCTCTTTTCCTAATGTAATTGAGTGTCAACAGCACTCTGGCTGCTAAAGATCCTCTGCTGAATTGATTGAATATAACCTTTCACTACCCAACCCACTAACATTCCTCAGCAGTAGAATCTGTCACCACGTTCTTGCCATTAGCTAACCTGGAAGGTAAGGGCTGTCGCCATGAATATGTAAGTCACAAAGAAAGAGAATTCACGGGAAAGTTCATCATCAGGAAAGGAGAAACAATTCTGTAGCTCACAGAACCAAGGAAAAGCTTGGATTAAATTCTCCTGGCGTTGGAGCTTTTACCTTGCCACGCATAATGACTGAAGCAACCATTTCTGCTAGACTTCAGAAATGCAGATTCAGAGAATACATTTTAGAGTAAATCAGAAACTTATCTTTTTATCTGGCTGTTTCTATCCTTAAATGTCACTCTGAGTTTAAAGCTCTTGAATATTGTTTTATGTAGAGTCCTTAGAGATAGCTTTATATATTGCAAATTTGGTTTGTATAGCACTGAGTTTGAAGAAAAGGACTAAGGCAGTAAGAAAAACTATAGGGAATGAAAATTCATAAAGGAGACCCTACTGATATAAAAAGGGGCAGACAGGGAAAAAAACACATTTTTGCAAAAGATAATAAAATACCATAAGTGTTGGAGGGAAAACCCGAAAACTCTTTTCTTTCAGCCTCTTCATATTATGCAGGTAAGAACTTCTTCCCAAAACGCGAAGTAAATTGCCCAAGGTCACAGAGTAGTTAAAGACGAAGCTACTCATTAGCAGCATAATAATGGCAATGATAATAATAACAACCTCCTCTACAGGGCTTCATAAATCATTGAAAATAACCATTCTAATTTATATTACCATTTTCCTTAAATCTATTACACATTACTACTTAAGTTGGAGGTTCATTCAAACCAGATGGAAAGTTTATGCCTCCAATGTCCAATTTCTTAGTATGGTTATTATTATTATTATTATTGTTCTAAGAACACTTAACATAAGGTCTACCTTCTTAACCAAATTGTGACACAACACTATATTGTTAACTACAGTTGCAGGATCATACACCAGATCTCTAGAACTCATTCATCTTGCGTAACTGAAACTTTATACCTGTTGAATAGCATCTCCCCATTTTCTCCTTCCCCCCAGCCCTTGGCAACAACTATTCTACTCCCTGCTGCTATGCATTTGACTATTTTAGAAACCTCATATAAGTGGAATCAAGCCATATTTTTCCCTCTGTGACTAGCTTATCTCATTTAGCATAATGTCTTAACTGCCATTGCAAAATTATGACTGAGACAGTGAAAGATCTGACTTAACAAACTCCGTCTTGGGCCGGGTGTCGTGGCTCATGCCTGTAATCCCAGCACTTTGGGAGGCCGAGGCGGGTGGATCACAAGGTCAGGAGACGGAGACCATCCTGGCTAACACAGTGAAACGCCGTCTCTACTAAAAATACAAAAAATTAGCGCGCGTGGTGGCGGGTGCCTGTGGTCCCAGCTACTTGGGAGGCTGGGGCAGGAGAATGGCGTGAACCCAGGAGACGGAGCTTGCAGTGAGCCGAGATCACGCCACTGCACTCCAGCCTCCGCAACAGAGCGAGACTCCATCTCAAAAAAAAAAAACCTCCATCTTGCTTCTAATCTCTAAGCTGTCCTTGTTCATTCCTGGGCGTAGGCTGAACTAACTTCGGGAGAAACTTAGTTTGTAGTTTAAAACAAAGGTGATGCTGGGTGCAGTGGCTCACACCTGTAATCCCAGCACGTTGGGAGGCCGAGGTGGGTGGATCACCTGAGGTCAGGAGTTTGAGAGCAGCCTGGCCAACATGGTGAAACCCCTGTCTCTACTAAAAATACAAAAATTAGCTGAGCGTGGTGGTGTGCGCCTGTAATCCCGGCTACTCGGGATGCTGAGGCAGGAGAATCGCTTGAGCCTGGGAGGGAGAGGTTGCAGTGAGGCAAGATCATGCCATTGCACTCCAGCCTGGGCGACAAGAGTAAGATTCCATCTCAAAAAAAACAAAAACAAAAACAAAAAAACGGGCGATAGTGACCCTTTCCCAAAACAAACTTCCTTCTTGCCTGGGGACTAGACTGCCTTAGTAGGACTAACAAATTAGCCACAGGATTAGAAAGTATACTTTAGGAGTCATGCAGCTGGAAGCTAAAAGATTCTGACCCTCCCCAAATTGTTCCTGGGGATAAAATCACTAGTGTAAAACCTAAGACCAGTGCTTGAGATATTTTACAGACCCTGCACTTGATGGATCAGCTGGCACCACCCAGATTGATAAGCTGGCGTATCTGATCTTGTGGCCCCCACTCAAGAACTGACTCAGTGCAAGAAGACAGCTTCGACTCCCTGTGATTTCATCTCTGACCTGATCAATCAACTAATCAGCACTGATGGTTCACTGGCTTCCCCCATCCACCAAGTTGTCCTTAAAAACTGTGATCCCCTAATGCTGGAAACTGATTTGCGTAAGAACTCCGGTCTCCCACACAGCTGCCTCTTTGTGAATTACTTTTTCTCTATTGCAATTCCCCTGTCTTGATAAGTTGACTCTGTCTAGGCAACAGGCAAAGTGAACCCATTGGGAAGTTTCATATATACCATATTTTCTTTTTCCATTTACCTGTTGATGAACATTTAGGTTGTTTCCATGCCTTGACTATCGTGAATAATGCTGCAATAGGCATGGGAATGCACATACCTCCTTGACATACTGATTTCATTTCCTTTGGATATATATCCAGAAATGAGATTGTGGGATCATATGGTAGTTCTATTTTTAATTTTTTAAGAAACCTTCATAATGTTTTTCATAACAGCTTCACAGTTTTATATTCCCACCAACAGTGTATACAGGTTCAAATTCCTCTACATCTTTACCAACACTTGTGATCTTTTGGGTTTGGGTTTTATTGTTTGTTTGTCTTTGACACTTCCTAACATCACATTAAGGCTTTGATTTGCATTTCACCGATGATTAGTAATGTTGAAAATCTTTTCATATGCCTGTTGGCCATTTGTTTGCCAAGCCAGAGCAATTAGGCAGGAAGAGAAAAATGAAAGAAAGAAAAAGGATCAGAAAAAAGAGGTAAATGATCTCTCTTTGCAGATGGCATGATGTTATATATAGAAAGTCTCCACCAAAAAAAAAAATTAGAACTAATAAACAATAAAGTTGCAGGGTGCAAAATTAACATACAAAAATGTTGCATTTCTATACACAAACAATAAACTATCCCAAAAGGAAATTAAGAAAATAATTTCATCTATAATATCATCAAAAAGATAAAATTCTTAGGAATAAACTTAACTAAAAAGGACTTGTACCTGAAAATTACCAAACATTGATGAGATAAATTAAAGTAGACACAAATAAATGGAAAACAGCCTCTGTTCATGGATTGGAAGGCATATGTTGTTAAAATGGCCGTACTACCCGAAGCAACCTATAGATTTAATGCAATTCCTATCAAAATCTCAATGGCATTTTTTACAGAAAAAGAAAAGAAATCCTAAAATTCATTTAGCCTGAGTACTTTTATTGTTAGTCAGGCCTGCCTCTAACATTGGCAGAGTCCACAGTAAGATTTCAAATAGACATTTAAATCTCATATCGCACATTAACTATGAAATAAATTTATTCTTTCTTTCTACATGGACAAATATATCCTCACAAAAACCTGGGACATCAGGTTTGAATTCTGAATTCCCAAAGTCTATGGAGCCCCGAAAGAGAAAATGATAGCATGGGGAGAGTCATCTTCCATCCTTCAATCCCTGGCCTGCCCACCTTTCTTTCACATACAACCATCTCCATTTCACTTCAAATAACTGCCCCTTTAATATTCTTCAGATCCAGGGATTTCCATTCTGGCAGCATGATCTGCCCTTGGAAGGAGAGAATCAGAAAGAACCCACACAGACTCTGCAAGTGAAATCAGGGAATTTCAAGTCTAGGCACCAAAAACATATTCTAGAAGAAGGATGCATGAGCTCCCTGTAGGCACATTCTCCTACCCCCATGAACTGTTTACCCTGAGGAGGGCCAGAGGTGGGTTTTCTAAAGCCAGGGGCCCAGGACCCCCTTTTGTCAAAGGCTAAGGTGTAACATGATACATGTGTTCTGAAAAAAACTTTGTCTTCTGCAAAATAACATATTTAAAAATAACAGTACTTACAGAAAAAGTATGGTTAAGGATACTCCAAACTTATTCAACTTCATAACCAATTCGAAATAATAACAATTGATACTAAGGCAGTTACTTGAACTGCCTTCCAGCAACTAGAAAGGAACAAGAAACAATAAAATGTAAATGTTTTCTTGCGCTCTGAGACAATGCAAATAGAATAGAAGTTCTGAGCCAGTCGGGCTGCTGTTAAGGTGAACATGGGAAGAAGTACAACCTGCTACAAGGCAAGAGCTCTGCAAGGTTGGGGTGCACCTCTTTGGGGAGGAAGTTGGATACAGTTGTTTATTTTTAATTTTCTTAAAAATGGAGTTTAAAAGTCTCTTGCATATCCAGCAGAAGAACTTACTAAAGGCTTTTTCCCCCCACTAAAGGTTGTTATTCTACTCCCTTCATTCCATCTTCACTTGCCTATTTAAGAAAAAGCAAGTATGACTCCAGCATCACTTTATGTTTAACTGATATCATTCCCTATTTACAACTGCATGGAAACTAATTTGTGTTACAGAAGCACATGTATTAGCAGAACAGACTCTCTACTTTTGTTATGAATGATTCCACTGATAATGATTGAAAGAACGAAATGCAATCTGCCATCCAATATGTAGATTCCCAGCATGCAAATATACACCATGCTAATTCCTACTCCTTGTTCAAGGTCCCATTCAAATGTCACCTTCTCTTGCCTGCTTTCTTTTCTGTTACAAGTTTAAAGTGATCTTAAAGTTTTAAAGTCTGCTCCTGCAAACTTTTTACATCTTCTCCCTACTTGGTCTTTAAGTTATTTATACATTGTATCATCTCCTTGAGGGCAAATTTAGGTTGCATTTATCTTTCCATAGGCCACTTTACCTCATCCAGAGCTTGGTTATTAAAACTGTTTAGTAAATGCTCAAGCAAATAAATAAAACCCCAATCTGGAAGCCGTAAGTCTCTGCCAAAACTCAGTCTTGAATGATAAAAATTAAATGGTGATTCTTGTTTTGATTATCCACCAACTCTATGACTGCCCTGAGAGGTTAAATGAAGCTATAGAAAAACAGACAATAAGACACACAACAAAAACAGTTATAGCATTTTTAGAATATCAGGCATAAAGCTAACTGCATAATGTACATTAGCTTACTCAATGACCAGCCTAGAAGTAAATGGCAGTATACACTGTTATACAAATGAAGAAACTGATACTTAGAGAGGTTAAATAATTTTTCCAAGATGGCATCATCGGTGGAAGTGATGGACCTAGTATATCCTCTGAATCTCAGTTTCCTCATCTATAAAATAAAGTCAAATATTTTCCCTGAAGACCTCACAGAACTACTGTGAGGTTTGAGAGAGCTTCAGAAAAGCCCAAGACAATATTAACTTCCTATATTTGCAGAAAACATTAGAGGGTTTTTAAGTGATTTCACATGCATCAAGTATTTTAAAAGCCCTAAGGTTCTGTGCAAATGTGAATTATTATTAATCTCTTATGCTGTTTTTAATCATTACATGTTGTAGGCACTGCAAGACAATAATAATATCAACAGCTAATATTAAAATATGCTAAGATTGGTGCTAAGAGTTTTACACTGATTGTCTTAATTTATACTAAAAGAAAAGCAGAAGTGAGTATTCTTAATCACCTACTTTAAAGATAAGAAAAATATATAGAAATTAAGCAATTTACATAATTCACTTTTAATGCATTAACAGGTCAGGATTTAAGTTTATATCACTACTTTAAAAAATAATGATTTATTTTATAACAGATTCAGTGTACATATAATTGTCACTGATCATGATAATCTACAAGGATGGAGAGATGTGTAAACTTCCAATAAATTGATTCCTCTAAACGTCATATATACAAAAAATCCATAGCTGGATTCTATTGAAAAATTCTATGTCAATCATTTCCATTCAGGAAGGTCTCAATTCGCCCCACAGTTATAACACTATAGAATTATATAATTGCAAAAAAAATTTGTAAATAAAATCACATTGTGGATGTGCTAACTGGGGCAGTTCATCTTTAAAGAAGCCCTGAAATTAATGATTTTATAAAATAACAACCAAAACGTAAATTATACTTCGGAGCTATACCATAAATTAATACTTTTATGTATCAAATTTTCTCAATGATAATACATTACATTTTGTATTAACAAATTTTATTTTTAAAAGCAATTTTAGGTTTATAGGAAAATTGAGCAGCTGGTACTGAAAATTTTAATAATAACCCCTCTACCCAGTCTTTGCACACAGTTACTCCGATTATTCATCTTTCACTAGTATGGTACTTTTGTCATAATTAATAAAGCAATACTGATACATTGTTATTAACTGATTTCTTTCTTTATTCAGATTTCCTGAGTTGTTACCTAATAACCTTTTTTCTGTTCCAGGAATTCATCCAGTATACCATACTAAATTTAGTTGGCCTGTCTCTTTAGACTCCTCATGTTGAGGACATTGTCTCCGACTCCATTTTAATGACCTTAACTCTTTTAAAGAGTATAGTGAGGTATTTTGTAGAATATTCCTCTATTGGACTTTGCTGGGTTTTTTTTTTTTTTTTTTTTTCATGATTATACTGAGATAATGAGCCTGGGGAGAAAGACCACAGAAGTGAAGTGCTATTCGTTACATCATACCAAGTGTACATACTGTTCACATGATTTATGGCTGTTGATGTTGACCTCAATAACCTGGCTGATGTAGTATGTGTCAGATTCCTCCACTGTAGAGTTACTCATTTTTTATCAGTTTTCCATATTGTAATTTTTGGAAGGAAGTCACTATGAATTCTTAAGAATGAGAATTTGTTTAGAAAGTCATATCTACAAAATTTATAAGAAATTCTTTTACGTAGAACTTATTTATTCTCCCTCCCTCTCCCAGTTATTATTCAATTGTGCTTTATATCAGTAGAGACTTATGGATATTTACTTTATATTTTGGGTTATAATTCAAAGCTAGTTTACTTTCTTGCTCTACTTCTTCCAGCTTTGGCCTTTGGGAGCTCTTTCAGTAGACTCCCTTGTTCCTTTGACATATTATTACCAATGTGACTTATTTTTAATGCACTTGTTTACTTTCTGGCCCTACAAGATTTTCCAGGATTATCTTGTATATTTTCTACTCCTGCCTTAGTATCAGCTGTTTCTCCAGGGAGTCCTTGTTCCTTTTATTATAAAATGGTATTAAAAAAATCAACATTTGGCCAGGTGCAGTGGCTCATGCCTGTAATCCCAACACTTTGGGAGGCCGAGGCAGGTGGGTCACCTGAGGTTAGGAGTTCAAAACCAGCCTAGCCAACATGGTGAAACCCCATCTCTACAAAAGATACAAAAATTAGCTGGGTATGGTGGTGAGTGCCTATAATGCCAGCTACTTGGGAGGCTTAGGCAGGAGAATCACTTGAACCTGGGAGGCAGAGGTTGCAGTGAGCCAAGATTGCACCATTGCACTCCAGCCTGGGTGACAAGAGTGAAACCCTGTCTCAAAAGAAAAAAAGGCCAAATAGGAATAGCTGTGGTCTACAGCTCCCGGTGAGATCAATGCAGAAGACGGGTGATTTCTGCATTTCCAACTGAGGTATCTGGCTCATCTCATCGGGACTGGTTAGACAGTGGGTGCAGCCCATGGAGGGTGAGCCAAAGCAGGGTGGGGTGTCACTTCACCTGGGAAGTGCAAGGGGTCAGGGAACACCCTCCCCTAGCCAAGGGAAGCCACGACAGAATGTGCCTTGAGGAACTGTGCACTCTGGCCCAGATACTATGCTTTTCCCACGATCTTTGCAACTCACAGACCAGGAGATTCTCTCAGGTGCCTATGCCACCAGGGCCCTGGGTTTCAAGCACAAAACTGGGCAACGGTTTGGTCAGACAGGAAGCTAGCTGCAGGAGTTTTTTTTTCATACCCCAGTGGTGCCAGGAATGCCAGTGAGACAGAACTTTTCACTCGCCTGGAAAGGGGGATGAAGCCAGGGAGCCAAGTGGTCTAGCTCAGCAGATCCCACCCCCATGGAGCCTAGCAAGCTAAGATTCACGGGCTTGAAATTCTCACTGCAGGCACAACAGTCTGAAGTTGCCCTGGGATGCTCAAGCGTGGTTGGGGGTGGGGCATCCAACATTACTGAGGCTTGAGTAAAGGAGCTGCCAAAAATTTTGAACTGGGCAGAGCCCACAACAGCTCAGCAAATCTGCTATAGCCAGACTGCCTCTCTGAGTTCCTCCTCTCTGAGCAAAGCCTCCAAGAAATATGGGACTATGTGAAAAGACCAAACCTACATTGGATTGGTGTACCTGAAAGTGACGGGGAGAATGGAACCAAGTTGGAAAACACTTTTCAGGATATTATCCTGGAAAACTTCCCCAATGTAGCAAGACAGGCCAACATTCAAATTCAGGAAATACAGAGAACACTACAAAGACACTCCTCAAGAAGAGCAACTCCAAGACACATAATCATCAGATTCACCAAGGTTGAAATGAAGGAAAAAATGTTAACGGAAGCCAGGGAGAAAGGTCAGGTTACCCACAAAGGGAAGCCCATCAGACTAACAGCGGATCTCTCTGCAGAAACCCTACAAGCCAGAACAGAGGAGGGCCAATATTCAACATTCTTAAAGAAAAGAATTTTCAACCCAGAATTTCATATCCAGCAAAACTAAGCTTCGTAAGCGAAGGAAAAATAAAATCCTTCACAGAGAAGCAAATGCTGAGACATTTTGTCACCAGCAGGCCTGCCTTACAAGAGCTATTGAAAGAAGCACAAGATATGGAAAGGAAAAACCAGTATCAGCCAGTGCAAAAACATACCAAATTGTAAGATCATCGCACTAAATATGGAAAGGAAAAACTGGTACCAGCCACTGCAAAAACATATCAAATTGTAAAGACCATCGACATTATGAAGATACTGCACCAACTAACAGGCAAAACAACCAGCTAGGATCATAATGACAGGATCAAATTCACACATAACAATATTAACCTTAAATGTAAATGGGCTAAATGCCCCAGTTAAAAGACACAGACTGGCAAATGGGATAAAGAGTCAAGATTCATCAGTGTGCTGTATTCAGGAGACTCATCTCACGTCCAAAGACACAACATAGGCTCAAAATAAAGGGATGAGGGAAGATTTACCAAGCAAATATAAAGAAAACAAACAAACAAACAAAACCCAGGGGTTGCAATCCTAGTCTCAGATAAAACAGACTTTAAGCCAACAAAGATCAAAAGAGACAAAGAAGGGCATTACATAATGGTAAAGGGATCAATGCAACAAGAAGGTCTAACTATTCTAAATATATATGCACCCAATACAAGGGCATCCAGATTCATAAAGCAAGTTCTTAGAGATCTACAGAGAGACTTGGACTCCCACACAATAATAGTGGGAGACTTTAACACCCCACTGTCAATATTAGACAGATCAATGAGACAGAAAATTAACAAGGATATTCAGGACTTGAACTCAGCTCTGGACCAAGCAGACCTAATAGACATCTATAGAACTCTCCACCCCTAATCAGCAGAATATACATTCTTCTCAGTACCACATTGTGCTTATTATAAAATTGACCACACAATTAGAAATAAAACACTCCTCAGAAAAATCCAAAAGAGCAGAAATCACAACAAACCATCTCTCAAACCACAGTGCAATCAAATTAGAACTCATGATTAAGAAACTCCCTCAAAACAGCACAACTGCATGGAAACTGAACAACCTTCTTCTGAATGACTACTGGGTAAAAAACAAAATTAAGGCAGAAATAAATGAGTTCTTTGAAACCAATGAGAACAAAGATACAATGTACCAGAATCTCTGGGACATAGCTAAAGCAGTTTTTAGAGGGAAATTTATAGCATTAAATGCCCACAGTAGAAAGTGGGAAAGATCTAAAATTGACACCTTAACATCACAATTAAAAGAACTAGAGAAGCAAGAGCAAACAAATTCAAAAGCTAGCAGAAGATAAGAAATAACTAAGATCAGAGCAGAATTGAAGAAGACAGGGACATGAAAAACCCTTCGAAAACGTAAATGCATCCATGAGCTGGTTTTTTGAAAAGATTAACAAAATAGATAGACTGTTAGCCAGACTAATAAAGAAGAAAAGAGAGAAGAATCAAATAGACACAATAAGAAATGATAAAGGGAAGATGACTACTGATCCCACAGAAATACAAACTACCATCAGAGAATACTATAAACACCTCTATGAAAATAAACTAGAAAATCTAGCAGAAATGGATAAATTCCTCAACACATACACCCTCCCAAGACTAAACTAGGAAGAAGTCAAATTCTTGAATAGACCAATAACAAGTTCTGAAATTGAGGCAGTAATTAATAGCCTACCAGCCAAAAAAAGCCCAGGACCAGATGGATTCACAGCCAAATTCTACCAGAGGTAAAAAGAGGAGCTGGTACCATTCCTCCTGAAATGATTCCAAACAATAGAAAAAGAGGGACTCCTCCCTAACTCATTTTATGAGGCCAGCATCATTCTGATACCAAAACCTGGAAGAGACACAACAAAAAAGGAAAATTTCAGGCCAATATCCCTGATGAACATCGATGCAAAAATCCTCAATAAAATACTGGCAAACCGAATCCAGCAGCACATCAAAAAGTTTATCCTCCACAATCAAGTCAGCTTAATCCCTGGGATGCAAGGCTGGTTCAACATATGCAAATCAATAAACATAATCCATCACATAAACAAAACTGATGACAAAAATCACATGATTATCTCAATAGACGCAGAAAACGCCTTTGATAAAATTCAACACAGCTTCATGCTAAAAACTGTCAGTAAACTAGGTATTGATGGAACATATCTCAAAATAATAATAGTTATTTACAAGAAACTCACAGCCGATATCATACTAAATGGGCAAGAACTGGAAGCATTCCCTTTGAAAACTGGCACAAGAAAAGGATGCCCTCTCTCACCACTCCTATTCACCATATATTGGAAGTTCTAGCCAGGGTCATCAGGCAGGAGAACGAAATAAAGAGTTTTCAAATAGGAAGACAGGAAGTCAAATTGTCTCTGCTTGCAGATGATATGATTGTGTATTTAGAATACCCCACCATTTCGGCCCAAAATCTCAAGTTGATAAGCAACTTCAGCAAAATCTCAGGATACAAAAGCAGTGTGCAAAAATCACAAGCATTTGTATACACCAATAATAGGCAAACAGAGAGCCAAATCATGAGTGAACTTCCATTCACAATTGCTACAAAGAGAATAAAGTACCCAGGAATAAAACTTACATGGTATGTGAAGGACCTCTTCAAGGAGAACTACAAACCACTGCTCAAGGAAATAAGAGACGACACAAACAAATGGAAAAACATATCATGCCCACGGATAGGAAGAATCAATATCATCAAAATGGCCATACTGCCCAAAGTAAGTTATAGATTCAGTGCTATCCCCATCAAGCAACCATTGACTTTCTTCACAGAACTAGAAAAAACTACTTTAAATTTCATATGGAACCAAAAAAGAGCCCGCATAGTCAAGACAATTCTAAGCAAAAAGAACAAAGCTGGAGGTATTACGCTACCTGACTTCAAACTCTACTACAATGCTACAGTAACCAAAACAGCATGGTACTGGTACCAAAACAGATATATAGACCAATGAAACAGAACAGAGGCCTCAGAAATAATGCCACACATCTACAACCATCTGATCTTTGACGAACCCGACAAATACAAGCAATGGGGGATGTATTCCCTATTTAATAAATGGTGTTGGGAAAACTGGCTAGCTATATGCAGAAAACTGATACTGAACCCTTCCTCAGACCTTGTACAAAAACGAACTCAAGATGGATTAAAGACTTAAACATAAAACCTCTAACTATGAAAACCCCAGAAGAAAACCTAGGCTATACCATTCAGGACATAGGCATGGGCAAAGACTTCATGACTAAAACACCAAAAGCAATGGCAACAAATGTCAAAATTGACAAATGGGATCTAATTAAACTAAAGAGTTTCTAAACAGCAAAAGAAACTATCATCAGAGTGAACAGACAACCTACAGAATGGGAGAACCTTTTTGCAATCTACTCATCTGCCGAAGGGCTAATATCCAGAATCTACAAAGAACCTAAACAAATTTACGAGAAAAAAAAACAAACAACCCCATCAAAAAGTGGGCAAAGGATATAAACAGACACTTCTCAAAAGAAGACATTTATGTGGCCAACAAACATATGAAAAAAAGCTCATCATCACTGGTCATTAGAGAAATGCAAATCAAAACCACAGTGAGATACCATCTCACGCCAGTTAAAATGGCGATCATTAAAAAGTCAGGAAACAACAGATGCTGGAGAGGATGTGGACAAATAGGAAGGCTTTTACACTGTTGGTGGGAGTGTAAATTAGATCACCCATTGTGGAAGACAGTGTGGCAATTCCTCAAGGATCTAGAACCAGAAATACCATTTGATCCAGCAATCCCATCACTGGGTATATACCCAAAGGATTATAAATCATTCTACAAAGACACACACCCATTTACTGCAACACTGTTCACAACAACAAAGACTTGGAATCAACCCAAATGCTCATCAGTGATAGACTGGATAAAGAAAATGTGGCACATATACACCATGGAATACTATGCAGCCATAAAAAAGGATGAGCTCATGTCCTTTGCAGGGACATGGATGAAGCTGGAAACCATCATTCTCAGCAAGCTAACACAGGAACAGAAAACCAAACACTGCATGTTCTCACTCATAAGTGGGAGTTGAAAAAAGAGAACACATGGACACAGGGAGGGGAACATCACACACTGGGCCCTTTGGTGGGTAGGGAACTAGGGGAGGGATAACATTAGGAGAAATATCTAATATAGATGACCGATTGATGGGTGCAGCAAACCACTATGGCACGTGTATATCTATGTTCCAAACCTGCACATTCTGCACATGTATCCCAGAACTTAAAGTATAATAAAAAAAAAAAAAAGAAAAAATCAACAGGCCAGGCCTGGTAGCTCATGCCTGTAATCCCAGCACCTTGGGAGGCCAAGGAGGGCAGATCACAAGGTCAGGAGTTCGAGATAAGCCTGGCCAACATGGTGAAACCCTGTCTCTACTAAAAATACAAAAATTAGCCAGGTGTGGTGGTGAGTGCCTGTAATCACTGCTACTCTGGTGGCTGAGGCTGGAGAATTGCTTAAACCCAGGGGGCAGAGGTTGCAGTGAGCCAAGATCACGCCATTGCACTCCAGCATTTGAGTACTAAGTGTGCCCATGGTTACCAGGGTGTTATTTATTTTAGATGTGTCATGGTTGTGCTTTTGTGTATTTACATAAACATCTTTGAATATTTCTATATATAACCACCCATATCTATATTAAGTTAAACATTAGTTCTCCTTGATGTCTCCAACTGTAATGATCATCACATTGATTATTCAAGACTGTTCCCCTAGTTGATCTGTAAATTTCCACACCGTGAGAAATATAACTCCCAATGTTTGCCATTTATAGGCTTAATTATTCAATTCCCATATATATGTATAGCAGTATCAGAACTGTTAACCAGAAGCCAATGAGAAATAATTTTATCAGCTAGAGTACAGTGCTTTTGTGCAGCTCATCTTGCCTATAGTCTGACAGATTCCATTCATTTTTAAAGATATTTATGTTAAGACCATTTTCTCTCTCCACCTTACTAAGGTTATCTGATGCTTTGTAATGCAGTGAATTTCTTCTGTAAAGTCCACATTGCTTCTGGGATCCTCTGACCTTCTAAATAATTTTCTAAAATTTGCCTGCATTATGGTAACTCTTTGTGTCAAAAACTTCTATTGCCTTTGGCAAATGCATAATGTTGCCAAAATTCCACCAATATTGCACAGAATCATTTCACAGCTCCCCAAGTCTCCTGTGCTTAACTTATTCTTCCCTTTCCCTGAACGCCAGGCAAAAACTGATCTTTTTCTTTACAGTTTTGCTTCTTTCCAAAATGTCATCTAATTGAAATTATATAGCATGTAGCCTTTTCACACTGGCTGCTTTCATGTAACAGTATGCATTTGAGTTTCCTCCATGTCTTTTCATGATTTGAAAGCTCATTTCTTTTTACTGCTGAATAATATTCCATTTTATGGATATCTTATAGTTTATTCACTCATCTATTGAAAGACATCTTGATTGTTTTCCATTTTTGGTAACTACCAAGTAACAATAAACCTGCTATAAACATTTGTTTTCAGGATTTTTTTGTAGACATAATGTTTCAGTGTAATTGGGTATATACAGAGGAACACAACTGCAGATTATAATGCAAGGCTATGCTTAGCTTTGTAAGAAACAGACAAAATGTCTTCTAAAGTGGCTGCAGCCTTTTACAGTCACATTTGAAAATTGGATGAACTAGAGTTTCTCTTGCATTGCATTCTCAACAGCATTGGTTGTTGTCAGTAATTTGGATTTCAGCCATTCTAATAGGTGTAGTGGTTTCTCATTGTTGTTTTAATTTACTATTCTCTAATAACATAAGATGTTGAGCATCTTTTCATATGCTTATATGCCATCTGTACATCTTATTTGGTGAGTTGAATGTTCAGATCTTTTGATCATTACATAGAATTATTTAAATACCTTGGTGTCATTTGGATTTAACTCCTTTACTGGATATGTTTTTAAAATATTTTCTCTCATTCTGTGGCTTGTCTTCTCATTTACTTAACAATATATTTCACATAACAATTTTTAAATTTAATTAAGTTCAATTTTTTTTTAATTTTTTTCTTTCATGGATCATGATTTAATCAAACCCAAGGTCACCTAGATTTTCTCCTATGCTATCTCATAGAAGTTTTCTAGTTTTTGTTTTACATTTAGAACTAAGGTCCATTTTAAATTAATTTTTGTGAAAAGCATAAGGTATATGTCTAGATTCATTTTTGCATGTATATGCACAATTTTTGATGATTATTTGTTGAAAAGACTGTCCTTTCTCAATTGAATTTATTTTGCTCTGTCAAGGATCAGTTGAGGGTCTAAAAGAGGCTCTCTCCTCTTTTCTATTAATCCATTTGTCTATTCTTGTACAAATACCTCACTGTCATAATTACTGTAGCTTTGTAGTACTATGAGTAGTGTCAGTTCTCCAACTTAGTCCTTTGGTCAGTATTATGTAGACTATTCTGGGTCTCTTGCATTTCCATATAAATTTTAAAATCATCTTTTGAGATGAAGCTAAAAAATAGAATAAATTTGTCAATAACCACAAAATAACTTGCTGAGAATTTATTAGAATTGTATTAAATGTATACACCAATTCGTGAAGAATTTATATCTCAACATTATTGAATCTACTTATCCATGAAAGTGGTACATCTCCATTTATTTAGATCTTCCTTTATTTCTTTCATCAGACTTAAAATTTTCCATATACATAATATACGTTGTATACATATTTTGTTGTTTATATTTCATTTTTGCTGGGGGAAGGAATGAAATTGTATTTTGTTTTCAACTTCAATTTTCACTTGTTCACTGGTGGTACATGGAAACACAATTGACTTCTATTAACCTCGCATCCTGCAACCTTGCTATAATCACATATTAATTCCAGGAGTCAATTCTTTCAGTTTTACTAAATAAGTAATTATGTCATCTTGAACAGAGGTAGTTTTCTTTTTTTCTTTCTAATCTGTATATATATTTTTTCTTGCCTTGTTGCACTAATTAGGACATCCAGTAGGATGGTGAATAAGAGTGGCAAAAAAAGAACCTTGTCTTGTTCCCAATATAGAAGAAAAGCATATCATTTCTCACCATAAAATAGCGTGAAGTCCCATTTTTTAGATGTTCCAGATTAAGTTGAGGATGTTTTTTATTCCTAGTTTTCTAAGACTTTTTCTCATAAATAGATGTTGGAGTTTGTCAAATGCTTTCTCTGCATCAATTGACAGAATCATAAAATAGTTCTTTAGCCAGTTAATAAATGTCAGATCAGTCTGGTATGCCTAAAATAAATTGCACTTACTGTGATGTATTACTATTTTTATATATTTTTGGATTCAATTAGCTAATATTTTATTGAAAATTTTTCCATCTATATTCATAAAATATATTGAGCTGTAGGTTTCATTTCTTGTAGTGTATTTCCCCGGTTTTGATATTAAGATAATGCCTGCCTCCTTGAATGAGTTAGGAGGTATACCTCTTACTTCTATTTTCTAAAAGTGATTATAGAGAACTGACATTATTTCTTCCTTAAATGCTTGGTGGAATTCATTAGTGAAAGAATCTGGGCGAGACGCTTTCTTTTTCGAAAGATTATTAATGATTTATCTATTTTTTAAATAAATATAGATCTATTTAGGTAATGTATTTCTTTTCCATAAGTTTTGATGGTTTATGTCTTTCAAGGAATTGATTCATTTCATCTAAATTACCAAAAGTGTCAGTATACATTTGTTTGTAATGTTCTTTTATTATCTTTTTAATGTCTATGGAATCAATATTTATAATTTGTGTCTTCTCCCTTTTTCACTTGGTTAGCCTGGCTATGGATTTATCGATTTTATTGATCTTTTAAAGGCATTGCCTTTTGGGTTTATTGACTTTCTCTGTTGACCTCATGTTTTCAATTTTATTGATTTCTGCTCAAAGTTTTATGTCTTTTCTTCTGCTTACTTGAGGCTTAAATTGCTCTCCTCTCTTTACTTTCCTAAGGCACATTTCTATTAGTGATTTTAGATTTTTCTTCTTTTCTAATATATGCATTTGCTGCTATAAATTTGCCTCTAAGAACTGCTTTTACAGCATTCCATTAAAAAATAAAAATAGGACTTGTAATGCAAAATACATCTGCAATCCCAGATTTTATGAATATCTTAAGATTTGAGACACATTTATTTAAAGACACAACAGAAGGACTATTAGGAGACAGGAAACTGTGGGTGAAAGGAATTATCCTTTCTCTTTCTTTTTTAATCAATTTTTATTTTCAGTTCCAGGGTACATGTGCAGGATGTGCAGGTTTGTTACATAGGTAAACGTGTGCCATGGTGCTTTGCTGCACAGATCAACCCATCACCTAGGTATGAAGCCAAGCATCCACTAGCTATTTTTCCTGAGCATCCCATAAATTTTGATGTACATTTCATTTTGTTTAGTTCGAAATATTTTTAAATTTCCTTTGAGACTTCTTCTTTGACCTATGTGTTATATAAAAGTATGTTATTTAATCTCAAACTATTTGGGGACTTCTGAGTTTTTTTCTGGCACTGATTTCCAGTTAAATTTCATTATAGTCTAAGAACACATGCAGTAAACCTTCTATTCTTTTAAATTTGTGAGGGCATCTTTTTCAGCCCCAGAATGTGGTCTATTTTGCATAAAGTCCCATATAAACTTGAGAGGAATATGTATTCTGCTGTTACTTGATTAATTATTCTGCTGCTACTTGAACAGTTAGATCCTGTTCATTGTTAGTGCTATTCAGTTGAACATTTTCCTGATTTCTGCTTGTTGAAATTAGCTGTTATTAATATAGGGATGTTGAGATCTCCAAAAATATTATTAAATAATATTAAATTTGATTATTTCTTCTTGCAGTTTTATAAATTTTTGTCTCATGTATTTAGATGCTGTGTTACCTGCATAACTTAAGAATTATTATGTTTTTTGGATAATTGCCCCTTTCTCATTATTTAATGCCCATCTTTATCCTTAATAATTTTCCTTTTTTTTTTTTTTTGAGACAGGGTCTCATTCTGTCACCCAGGCTGGAGTGCAGTGGCCCAGTCAAGGCTCAGTACAGCCTTGACTTCCTGGTCTCAAGCGATTATCCCATTTCAGCTCCCTTCCACCCCACACTGCCCCCCACCACACACCCTCCCACCACCCCGAGTAGCTGGAACTATGGGCATGTGCCACTACACCTAGATAATTTTTTGTATTTTTTGTAGAGATGAGGTTTCACCATGCTTCCCACACTGGTCTTAAACTCCTGAGCTCAAGCAATCCATCTGCCTTGGCTTTGCAAAGTGTTGGGATTACAGGCATGAGCCACCATGCCCAGAAATAAACATTTCACAAGTTTTCAGTTGTGCTTGGTTCTGAGTATTGTTATAATTTTTCTATTTTATTATACTGTTAAACTCTTTTTATGCCTAATTTATAAGTTAAACCTTATCATAGATATGTACATATAGGAAAAAACATAGAATGTATAGGTAGGGTTTGGTACTATCTGCATTTTCAGGCATCCACTGGGGGTCTTTGAATGTATCCACCATGGATAAGAGGGAACTACTGTACTTCCTCTGCACTTCCTCTGCTCCTTTCTTCTTCTTCTAGTACTTCAATTATGCATATGTTATATTTTTGTAATTGTTCTTGGATATTGGAATGGAGGTTGTAGTCCTTTTTCTCTTAGTATTTCAATTTGCAATGTCTCCTTTGATATATCTTTAAATTATTGATTATTTCCTTGTTTATGTTCAGTTTAGTAATGAGCTTATCAAAGGCATTCTTCATTTCTGTTGCAGTGTTTTTCATTTCTGTCATTTTCTTCTGATTCTTTCTTAGAGTTTTCATTATTCTGCTTATATTATTCATCTGCTCTTGCATGCTTATACTTTTTCTATTACAGTCCTTAACATAACTAATCATAGTTATTTTTAATTATCTATTTGATTATTCCAAACTTTGTTTCATGTCAAAGTCTAGTTCAGATGCTTACTTTGTCTCTTCTGACTGTGTTTTTCCTTTTCTTTTTGTATAGCCTTCCTTATGATTTTTTGTTAAAAGTCAAACATGATGTATCAGGTAATGAGAACTGAGGAAAATAGGTCTTTAGTATGAGGTTTTATGTCAATCTGCCTAGCAGATGGGTTGTGCTTCATGTTTTCCATAGCTATAGATGCCAGAGACTTTAGTTTCCTCAGTGTCTTTGTTTTCTCCACATTGGATTTCCCTAAGAATTCCTTCTTAAATAGAGTCTATGTTTTGCAGCTCTTTCCATTGTAACCCATTGTGATTATTCTGGAGCTGTGTTGATGTGGTGGTAAGGTGTGGAGGAGGTAAGTATATTTCAGTCTTTTAGTGGGCTCAAGTCCCTGAATTGGACTTCAGAAGTGTTTCTTATCCTTTTTTTCCTTCCACTAAGTAACACAAGAAAGCTAGAGAGGGATGTAGGGGGCTAACTGCCCTTCTCCATGGTCAACTAAGGCTCTGGTAAAGTTGTTTCCGTTGAGGAGTAAACCTTGGCTATGGAGAATGCTCTAGGATTATTTCAAAATGCTACTTTCCCCCAACTGACCAAGATATGAGAGATGTTTTCTAAGATCTTCACCATGAAAATCTGGTGGGCTTCCTGAAGATAAAATCCAAGAAAGTGTGAGGGGCCTCCTTCAGAATGGACCTCCCCAAATTTTTTACTGTCAAGCTAGTCCATAGTCAGCCTCCAGCAATTCATCCTACCATTTTATGGCTTCAGTGGCACCTGCTCCAGGTAAGTTTATTTAGGTTATGATCTAACATTCCACTCATGAGATTTCTTCATGCTGTTGTGTGTAGGTTTAGATTATTTATTCTTTCTGCTGTATAATTTTCAATTGTATAAATATTAACACAACTTATTTATCCTACTCATTGTTGATGAACATTTCCAGTTTTTGTGCCTCATGACTAGTGATACCATGAACATTCTTGAACATGATTTCTGGTGAACACACACCTGCATTTCTGTTGGGTATACACCTGAGAGTAAAAATTCTGGGTTATAGGGAATGCATATACTGGACTTTATTAGACACTGCCAAGTTGTTTTCCTAAGTGGATGTTCCTAGAATGATGTATAAGAGTTTCAATTACCCCACTTTCTCATCAGCACTGAGTATTTTCCAACTTACTCTTTTTAGTTATTCTGGTAGGGGTGGTATAATATTGCACTGTGGTTTTAATCTACATATCCCAGATGACTCATAAAGTTGAGCACCTTTTATTTCTGTTTATGGACTATTTTAATATATTCTCTTTTCTGAAGTGTCCAAGTCTTCTTCCCACTTTTCTACTGAGCTATTGCTTTTTTTCTCATTGACTTTTAAGAGTTCTTTATATATTCCAAATGTGTGTTATTTTGGGAGGGAATATAGATATGCCAATGCATTTTTTAATTTGTATTTTCATTGGGATATTGTCACTTAAAACTGTGACTTTTAAAAGAATGTGTTTTGGCTGAAACACTCAGTACAGGCTAGTAGCCTGTATATTCACTGTTCCACCAAAGAGAAGGCACATACCGTATGTCTTGGTTGAATTATGGTTAAGAATTCCTCTGACTCTCCAAAGTAGGCCTTTGGTTCATGCAAAGGTAATTGCAGTTTTTGCAATTACTTTTTTCCCCATAAGTTATTGAGGTATAGATGGTATTTGGTTACATGAGTAAGTTCTTTAGGGATGATTTGTGAGATTTTCGTGCACCCATCACCTGCGCAGTATACACCGCAGCATATTTGTAGTGTTTTATACCTCACCCACTTCTCACCCTTCCCCCCAAGTCCCCAAAGTCCATTGTATCATTCTTATGCCTTTGAGTCCTCATAACTTAGTTCCCATATATCTGTGAGAAGATATGATGTTTGGTTTTCCATTCCTGAGTTACTTTACTTAGAATAAGTTTCCAATCTCATTCAGGTCACTGCAAATGCTGTTAATTCATTCCTTTTTATGGCTGCATAGTATTCCATTATATATACATACCACAGTTTCTTTATCCACTTGTTGATTGATGGGCATTTGGGTTGGTTCCACGATTTTGCTATTTTGAATTGTGCCACTATAAACATGTGTGTGCAAGTATCTTTTTTGAATAGTGACTTCTTTTCCTCTGGGTAGATACCCAGTAGTGGGATTGCTGGATCAAATGGTAGTTCTACTTTTAATTCTTCAAGGAATCTCCACACTGTTTTCCATAGTGGCTTTACTAGTTTACATTCCCACCAGCAGTGTAGAAGTGTTCCCTGTTCACCGCATCCATGCTAACATCTACTGTTTTTTGATTTTTTTTTTTAATTATGGCCATTCTTGCAGGAGTGAGGTGGTATCGCATTGTGGTTTTGATTTGCATTTCCCTGATCATTTGTGATGTTGAGCGTTTTTTCCTATGTTTGTTGGCCATTTGTATATCTTCTTTTGAGAATTGCCTATTCATATCCTTAGCCACTTTCTGATGGAATTGTTTTTTTCTTACTGATTTGTTTGAGTTCATTGTAGATTCTGGATATTAGCACTTTGTCAGATGTACAGATTATGAAGGTTTTCTCCCACTCTGTTTGTTATCTGTTTGCTCTGCTGACTCTTCTTTTTGCCATGCAAAAGCTCTTTAGTTTAACTAGGTTCCAGCTATTTATCTTTGTTTTTATTGCATTTCCTTTCAGGTTGTTGGTCATGAAATCCTTGCCTAAGCGAACGTCCAGCCCTATACAAAAAATCAGCTCAAGATGGATTAAGGACTTAAACTTAAGACCTGAAACTATAAAAATTCTAGGAGATAACATTGCAATTACTTTTAAATGGCAAAAACTGCAATTACTTTTGCACCAATCTAACACAATTTTGTTAAGCATGAGCATGGAGTCATAGCTCATCTCCCCTTCTCTGCTAGAAGAGAGGAATTAGAGAGGAAGACATATTTAATTTGGAATGGGCTGCATGGTTGAATTTTCTGCATTTTCAGTCTTCGGTATTTTCTTTTATCTGTTTACCTTTTAAAGTAGGTTGCATTAGAAAGCACTGTATTGCCACTCATTGCTCCTGTGTCCACAAGAATCTCATGATCTTCAGGTTGGTTTCTAATGATCTTTCAAAAGCCCACACAAAGAAACCAATGAATCACTGATTTCAATCATGGAAAGTAGGGAGGGGAGCTTCTGTGTTCTCAGATTCTTCAAGGAATTGCCTAATCTGAGAAACTCTCAAATTCTTCCTTTTTTCTATGTTATTATTGGAAAACTGAAAATGAAACACAGGAAGTATAATCAGTGGGGAAACAATTATCTTTTCTATTCTTCTGAATCCCACCCCCATTCCCAGGTAAAACATGTAAATATGGATCTGAGTCTTCCTGTCTCTACACAGCCTTGAAGTTAATTTGCCCTTAATATTTATGCAGGTATGGGATTCCATTTTCAATTTTTTAAAGGTAGCTAGGAGGCTGAGAGAAAAAAGAAACCAATAAATCTGTTGAAATGGCAAATCTAAAATAAACATGCGTTAATAGTTAAGACCACATCCATCTAAGGATTACTAAGAATTATTGGCTGGCCATGGCACTCTGTGAGGCCAAGGCAAGTGGATCACCTGAGTTCAGGAGTTCAAGACCAGCCTGTCCAACATGGTGAAACCCCGTCTTTACTAAAAGTACAAAAAAATTAGCCATGTATGGTGGTGCACACCTGTAATCCCAGCTACTCGGGAGGCTGAGGCATGAGAATCGCTTGAACTCAGGAGACAGAGCTTGCAGTGTACCGAGATCATGCCACTGCACTCCAGCCTGGGCAATAGAGTGAGACTCTGTCTCAAAAAAAAAAAAAAAGAATTATTAATATATTTGGTTATTTATGAATCAGATGCACAGAAAGGTTAAGAGATCAGATAATGCACACAAAATATTTGATTAACCATTTTGCCGATTTGCAAATAAATCTTACACCCATAACAAAAGGTATTCACTGATACGTACAAATAGTTAAGTTTGAATTTGCTGTCCATGAAAGAAAGAAAATAAATCAGAGAAGTGACTTTAAACACATTTAGCATGGGAACCCAGTTCAATTCTCCTTCTCAACATGTTGCCATTAAGTCTTAAGATCAATTAGAGTGAATTTTTGCAGATGATCTGACAGGTATTTTGAAGGAAGTGAGGCTCAAAGGATTTAGAGCTAAATATTCACTTTTTCTTATCCATACTGCCCAACAACGAGATAGCAAACAATTACATAAACCTGTTAAAATGTTTTTGAAGGTTGACACATCCTATGGAGATCAACATTACTCATATAGTGATATTGATACAGTCTGTAATCTATCAGGTGTGTCGAAGCACCTTGCTTTACCTTGGTAAGAGGAAAACAAGATGATCAGTTTGCAAAACCCATCGACTTTGATATTTGATCTTGTCTAGATGGTTGATGTCCCTTCCTTTTAAGACAGTAGCCAACTGCTTTGCATCAATAATTTGATACTAGGGCATTTTTAAGATGCCACACACTCCTGCTATCCCTTACTTTCCCAAACATCTATATTTCTACTTTCTTTATGACTTAGTAACTCAGTAGGCTTAGTTATGCTTAGTTGAATGAAAATTTCTCAAGACCAAGAACTAGGTGGGCTCACCAGCTTACTACTGTCTGCGAACTAATTAGAAAAATGTTAACTAAATTTTAAGTCTCTAAAATAGTTGTGCAATGTGGATTCGTTGTAATAGCATTTGAACACAATTGTGTTGTCTAAACTTGAATACTAGTTTTTCAAAACCTGACATAATTAAAGTTTATAATAAATAGATGGATTCAAGATAGTATGGTCAACACTTTTTAAGAAAAGGAGAAAGAAAATGGAGCTGCAAAGAGCAATGAATGAATCAGAGGCCTATGATACCGACAAAAATGGTGGTAATATTGCCACCTATACATTTGTATAAACTTCATTTTATATCAATTACACCAATAGACTAACCCTGTGGGGTTAAAGTCAGCAAAGAGTATTATACCCATTTTAAAAGAGGAGGCATTAGATGACTGGAGTGAATTCTTTTTAACAACCGAGCTAGGCCTAGAATCAGAGTCTCTAACTTCTTAGTCTACGTATATAGCAATGAAAACATGTCAAAGCAGAAACAAAACTTCCAGAGAATTCAGATTGACTTTTGGAAGCAAATTTACATTTATTTATTTCCAATGAATTTGTAATAATACCATTTAGAGTTACTATTTGTTTCCTTTTACTCCGTGCACTATCCTAGTGAATCCATTTAAAATGTACAACAGTCCTATGAAGTAGAAATTATTATTTCCATGTTTCAGATAATTTGCCAAAAGTTACATTGGTAATCACTAGCAGAATCTTTATCAATACCTTATCAACAAACATATAAACTAAAAAAAAATTTCTGAAGAACCTAGTGCCAAGAACTTGATTATTAATTACAATGTACAGTAAAAAAGAGCAAGGGCTACTTGAAGAAATGGTTGAATCTTGGGCTGGGGCAGGATAGATGATGAAACTAGAGCCTCTTGTAGTGCCAAAAACTAAAGAAATATCTGCAAAAAAGTAAAAAGAAATCCCACAATGATAGAGGTATGTCAAAATGACATGGGCATTAAACAAAAGAGCTTCAATGGCCAAAACTGAAATAATTTAGCAATAAAATAATATAATATTGGGTTATAACTTAAGGATAAAACAAATGTCCATGAGTTCATACTGCCATCAATAAATGATTGTCAGGTGCAGTGGTGCATGCCTATAGTCCCACCTGCTCAGGAGGCTGAGACAGAAGGATTACTTGAGCTCAGGAGTTTGAGACCCATCTAGGCAACATAGCAAGGTCTCATATCTAACATAATAATAATAGATTGAATAAATAAATTGGAAAAATAGACAAATCTCCTGGGCAGAAAGATTTCAAATATTTAATGTAGTTACTCTGCCCTCAAGGAGATGGAGCTCTCTTTAAGTATGGCCTGTGCATAGTGACTTCCTACAAAAGAGTATAGTATGGAAAGTGGGGAAAAGTAACTTTACAGTGGAGAAATCTGACAAATGTTATCTCAGTCAAGTGGTCAATGTCAACATCATCAGTAATAAGTTGTATTGATGGCATGGTATCTTTGACATGATGTGACAAAAAGGGCTCATGATCTTTCTTCTGAAGACCCATAGTCCCAATTCAATCATGAGCAATTCATCAGTCAAAGCTCAGTCGAGGGACATCCTAAAAAACACCTGTCCAGTACTGCTCAAAACACTCAAGGCCCTTAAAATTTTGGCCCTGAAACTGTACCTACGAAGAGGAGTCTTAGGAAACTTGATATCAATATGAAATGTGATTTCTGGGATGGGTTCCTGGAACAGAGAAATGGCATTAGGTAAAAACTGAGGAAATCTTTATAAAGTATAGAATTTAGTTAATAATAACATATCATCAATACTGGTTCAATAATTGTGACAAATGTACCATACTAATGTCAGAAGCTAATTATAGGGTGAGGCAACTTTCCATATCTTTGCAACTTTTCTGTAAATATAAAGCAATTCAAAAATAAAGTTTTATTTTTGTAAAAACTGTATAACTTTGGAACAAAGTTTAAAACAATTTTTTTTTAGTTTGGAAAAGTAAATCTGAAAGAAGTAAATTCATTTAATCAATACATCAGCTCATTAATTTATTTGTTCGTTCATTGATACCTTTTATTATTCAACAAATACTCTTCTGTCTAATTTGTTGCAGCATAGCACTATATCGTAAGGGCTCCACAGCTCTATAATGGGTGTTTTCTCTATCTGATGACTTGTATACCCTTGAGAAGATGTTGTTTACTACTCTGGGGAGTTCAAAATTCCAGCACAGTGCAGCAGACCATTTGATGAAATCCTGAAAAGAAAGGAGGGAAATATTGAAGGGCAGGTGCTACTCAAAAGGTTACTGTGGATGGAGAATTTCTCATAACTGGATTTTTATGATAGATTATATTGCACACATTGGTCTATTGAAAATGTCTTTGATTATTTTCTGACTATGTGGTCTTCAAATGCACTGTAGTGTTAATCAGAGCCTGTAATAACTACCTGTTATTGGTTGACCTGTGACATTACCATGTTCTCATAGTGGCAACAAAAGTCAGTCTTTGAGTACTATGTTCAATTAACTAAAAATATTTAGAATACTAAATTGTTTCCAAAGAGAAATCTTTTGTGTGACAGATGTAAAATAACACCCATAAGCTGAAGGGTCTTTCTTAGAAAAGCATTCTGTAGCAGCTTTAACAAGAGTATTGGGTGTCACTTTAGGAAGCTCACTTCTTTTGGCCTGCAAATAATTTAATATTTAAATTTGATTTAATTATTAAATTGATTTTGAATATAAGCTGATCTCATATTCAAAGTCCTGTACTTTAGAAGAAATGATTGAGGCCAGGCACAGTGGCTCACGCCTGTATTCCTAGCACTTTGGGAGGCCGAGGTGGGCGGATCACGAGGTCAGGAGATCAAGACCATCCTGGCTAACACGATGAAACCCTGACTCTACTAAAAATACAAAAAAATTAGCCGGGCGTGGTGGCGAGTGCCTGTAGTCCCAGCTACTCGGGAGACTGAGGCAGGAGAATGGCGTGAACCCGGGAGGCGGAGCTTGCAGTGAGCCGAGATCACTCCAGTGCACTCCAGCATGGGCGACAGAGCAAGACTCTGTTTAAAAAAAAAAAAGAAGAAGAAGAAGAAGAAGAAATGATTGAATTATTCTAATTATTCTCATGGTCATTTTGCCTTCTATAGGAGTACACTCTGATCATCAAACTCATTTTCCACTGCAAAATATGTTGAACACAAAAACTGAAGTTCTTGAGGCATTTAGATACACATTTTTTTTTGTAGTGACCACTGCAATGTGGATTAAGTCTGACTAGAAATATACCTTCAACTTAATGATCTAATGGTTGTCCCCCAAGCCCACAGAAATAGCACATAGCATAAATCTGTGTTTTCTGAAAATATCACATTGTATTCTTGAGGTCATCAGCATGGAAATGATCTCCAGTGTAAAATCTATATGAGATATATGGGACTCTCTACAAGGAATATTGGATTATTGCACTCTGTAGCTTTGAAAACCATCTTTCTTGGACGACAGCAGAAAGCTTCAATATACTTGCATGAATTATAAATGACACCCAGTACTCTTGTTGAAGCAGTTGCAGAATGCTTTTCTAAGACAGACCCTTCAGCTTGTGGATATTATTTTACATCTGTCACACCAAAGATTTGCCTTTGGGAATACTTTAGTTTTCTAGATATTTTTAGTAAATTGAACATAGTACTCAAAGACTGTTTTTTTTTTTTCTTTTCTTTTTTTTTAATTCTCAGAATGGAAGAGACATGTATTTAACCTGAAAATGAAGTCATGGCTTTTAAACAATTAGCCCCAAACAGGAATTGATTTAAAAAAAAAAAAAAAAAAAAAAAAAGCCTGTCTGTGAAGGAGTGAGAGACAAAACTAACATTGATTTTGGAGTATAGCTTCTTAATAGTTCAGACTTTTAGGTGCCTTTGAACATCTTTACTATCAGTAGAGAAATATCAGTAGAGAAATGGGGTAGCATACAGATCAGAAGCCCCAAATCAACACTCTCTTTTTCAAAGACAAACTGCTGGCTTAATTCACATTCTTTTACATATCTTTTTTTTTTTTATATTCTCTCTAAACACTCCACATATTTTTAGGCTTGGTACTTATACCATGGGCTTTTACCATGTCAGCAGTTTTCTTTAGTGACAGCCTAAATAAATAGTTGAATTTTAAGGACATACCTGTCATTGAAAAACCAATAGAATGAAATCAGACTCCTTCAGTATTCAAAGTGAAGATCACTCAACAACCAAAAAAAAAATTTTAAACTGTTCATACATTTCCACTTTTACTCAACCAAAAAATACCTTTCTAATACCTTTAAATGATTTTTTAATGTGTTATAAGTTGGTAGACTCCCTGGAATCTACAAAGGAAAGCAAATAATGTGTATGCTATTGAATTATGTATTATAATTTTTCCCCAACAAGATAACAGAAAGTACACTAGGTTCACAGTCATACCATGGTTTGAAAGAAAATTATAGAGTGAAACCAGACCTTAGAAAGATGCAGAGGCAAGATCACTGAGCAATGTGTCCAGAGGACCAGAGAGATTTGGGTCTCTTCTCTGGGGTTAGTTAGTTGTGTGACTGAGGCTGAGTTACTCAGCTTATTGAACTCCAAAGTAGTCATTTGTTATAAATTTTTCATAGACTCATGAATGATTGGAATTTAGAATAATGGGCCAGTTATCCTGGCTCACATCTATAATCCCAGGATTTTGAGAGGCTAAGACAGGAGTATGTTTTGAACTCATGAGTTTGAGGCCAGCCTGGGTAACATAGTGAGACTCCACTTCCACAAAACGTAAAAAATATTAGCCGGGTGTGGTGGCACATGCCTGTTGTCCCAGCTATTCAGGAGGCTGAGGCAAGAGAATCAGTTGAGCCCAGGAGTTCGAGGCTGTAGTGAGCTATGATTGTATTACTGCACTCCAGGCTGGGTGACAGAGCAGGAACCTGTTTCAAAACAATTTTTTAAAAGAAATTTAGAACAATGAAGTTAAAAGTGACTTGACTATCATTCCAGTGTCACTAATCCGTACTAAAAAACACGAATTTTGTAAATTAGTATCAAAAAAACACAAAAAAGATTCCAAAAAGAATAAAAAGTGAGTCCTCTAAAACTTTAATGTATAAGCTTCCCATTTCAGTTCTGATATGTAAAGTGGTAGTCACATTCCAATCATTTCCATCCTTAAAACAACAATAAAAAGCTGATCAAATTGAAAATCAATGGCTTTTCTTGGATCCATCAGAAAATTGAGGTCCCAAAGTAAAACATCATCTTGACACCTGGAGAATGTCATTACTACAGAAAACCACCATATCACAAAGATAAATCACAAGACATAAATGAAGGAACATAGGATATATAAAATAATTAGATAACGATGAACAAAATGACAAGAGTAAGTTCTCTTCCATCAATAAAAACCTTGATTGTAAAGTTTGAATTCCCGGTTAAAAGATACAGACTGGCTGAATAGATGTTTTAAAAAACTCAACCATATGTTGCCTGTGAGAAGGTACTTCGTCCATAAATACACACATAGACTTAGAGTTAAGGGATATAAAAAGGTATTCCACACAAATGGAAATCAAAAGCATGTAGAAACAGCTGTACTTATATCAGAAAAAACAGACTTTAAGTGAAAAAAAAAAGAAATCAAGAAGGTGATTATATAATGATAAAGGGACAAATTCAGCAAGAAGATATATGTTGTGGGGTGGGGGGAGGGTGGAGGGATAGCATTAGGAGATATACCTAATGTTAATGACAAGTTAATGGGTGCAGCACACCAACATGGCACATGTATACATATGTAACAAACCTGCACATTGTGCACATGTACCCTAAAACTTAAAGTATAATAATAAAAAAAGAAGATATAACAATTATATATGTACCCAACAAAGAAGCACCCAGGTATATAACAAGTTAGCTCTAATAATATAGTAAGAGCTGGGAACTTCAACACCTCACTTTCAGTATTGCACAAATCACCTAGACAGAAACTCAGCAAGGAACATTGGACTTAAACTGCACTATAGACAAAATGGACCTAAGAGACTCTTACAGAACTGTAAATGCAAATTAAACATGTTTCTGAATGATTATTCAGTTAATGAAGACATTGAGAAAGAAATAAAAAAAAGTCTTGAAACAAATGAAAATAGAAACATACCAAAACTCATGGGATATAACAAAAGCAGTACTAAGAGGGAAATTTTTAGCAATAAATGACTACATCAAAAATGTACAAGGATTTCAAATAAACAACCTAATTACGCACTTCAAGGAACTAGACAAGCAAGAACAAACCAAACCCAAAACTGATAGAAGGAAAAAAATAATAAAGATTATAGCACAACTAAAAGACGTTGAGATAAAAAAAATACAAAAGGCCAACAAAGCAAAAAGCAGGTTTTTTTGAAAAGATAAACAAAATCAACATACCATTAGCTAAATTAAGAAAAGGAGAAGACCCTAATAAATAAAATCAGAAGCAAAAAAATGGAGACTTTACAACTGATACCACAGAAATACAAAGGACTATTAGAAACTGTTATGAACAATTATACACCAACAAATTGGAAAACCTGCAAGAAATGTATAAATTCCTGGACATATATAACCTACCAAGACTGAATCAGGAAGTCATAGAAAAACTGAAGAGACCAATAATAATTAATGAGATTCATTGTTAATAAAAAGTCTCCCAACAAAGAATAGCCTAGTCTGAATAGCTTTACTGCTAAATTCCAAACTTCTAAAGAAGTCACATTAAATCTTCTCAAACCATTTCAAAAATTGAAGCGGAGGAAATTCTTCCTAACACATTCTATGAGACCAGCATTACCCTCATACCAAAACCAGAAAAAGACATAACAAAAAAAGAAAACTGCAGGACAATATCCCTGATGAAGAAAGCTGTAAAAATTCTCAACAAAATACCAGCAAACTGAATCAAACAGTGCATTGAAAAAAATAATACATCATGCTAAACTGGGATTTACCCCAGGGATGCAAGGTTGGTTCAACATTTGCAAATCAATGAATGTAATACATCACATCAACAGAATAAAACCCAAAAATCATGTGATCATCTCAATAAACACAGAAAAAATATTTTATAAAATGATTTTAAAAACTTTAAACAAATTAAATATAGAAGGAACATACCTCAAAACAAAAACAGCCATATATAGGACAAACCCATAACTAACATTATACTGAACGGGGCAAAGCTGAAAGCCTTCGCTCTAAAAGGTGGAGAAAGACAAAAATGCCCACTTTCACCACTTCTACTCAACACAGTATTGGAAGTCCTAGCTAGAGTAATTAGCAAGAGAAGAATTAAAGGGCATTCAAATTAGAAAATAGAAAGTCAAATTGTCCCTCTTCACAGAGTACATTATCTTGTATATAGAAAAACCTAAAGATAAATAAATACCCTTAGCACAGACAAATCTAGTAAAGTGGCAGAATACTGCATCAATATATACAAAAATCAGTAGTGTTTCTATACATCAATAAAGAACTAGTTGAAAAAGAAATCAAACTGCAATTCCATAGCTACAAAAAATATGTAAAATACCTAGATATAAATTTAACCAAGAAGGTGAAAGATCTCTATAATGAAAACCACGAAATGCTGATAAAAGAAATTGAAGAGGCAACACAACAACAACAACAAATGGAAAGACATATCAGGCTCATAGAACAAAAAAATTAACATTGTTAAAATGATTATACACCCAAAACAATCTACAGATTCAATGCAATTCCTATCAAAATATCAATGACCTTCTTTACAGGAACTTTTAAAAACTGTTCCAAAATTTGTATGAAACCATAAAAGACCTTGAGTAGCCAAAGCTATGCTGAGCAAAAAGAACAAAGCTGAAAGTACCACACCACCTGACTTCAAAATGTACTACAAAGCTACAGCAAACAAAACAGCATAGTATTGGTATAAAAACAGACACACAGACCAGTGGAAAGTAACAGAGAACCTAGCATTAAATCCATATGTTTACAGCCAACTAATTTTTGACAAAGGCACCAAGAATACATATTGAGGAAAGCACAACCTCTTCAAAAAGAGATGGTAGAAAAACTGGATATCCATATGTAGAAGAATGAAATGATCCCTGTCTGTCACCATATACAAAAATAAACTCAAAATGAATTGAAGACTTAAATATAAGACCTGAAACTATAAAATCACTAGAAGAAAACATAGGGGAAACACTTGAGGACATTGGTCTAGGCAAAAAACTTATGACTAAGATTTCAAAAGCACAAGCAACAGAAACAAAAAAAGACAAATGGCACTATATCAAACTAAAAAGCTTCTGTACACCAAAGGAAACAATCAACATGAGAGAGAGACAATGTGTTGAACGAGAAAAAATATTTGCAAACTATTAATCTGAAAAGGAACTAATATCCAGAATATACAAGGAACTCAAACAATTCATACAAAAAAAGATCTGACTTAAAAGTGGGCAAAGGATCTGAAAAAACACTTCTCAAAAGAAGATATACAAATGGCCAAGAAGTATATGAAAAAAATGCTCAATATCACCAATCATTAGGAAAATGTAAATCCAAACTACAGTGAGATATCACCTCACTCCCATCAGAATGGTTATTATCAAAAAGACAAAAAATAACAAATGCAGAAGAGGATGCAGAGAAAAGGCAATTCTTTTACAAGCATATATCTGCCCCCCATGTTTATTGCAACACTATTCACATAGCCAAGATATGGGATCAACCTAAATGTTCATCACCAGATGAATAGATAAAGAAAATATGGTATATATACACAATAGAAGCTATCCAACCATTAAAAAGAATAAAATCCTGTCATTTGTGGCAACATGAAAAAGTCTGGAAGGTATTATGTTAAGTGAAATAAGTCATCAAAGAAAAATAAATACTATGTGTTCTCACACACATGTGGGAGTTGAACAACTGAACAGAGGAAAATTGTGGTTATAGAGGCTGGGATGAGTAGGAGGCAGGGAAGGATAGGGAGAGGTTGGTTCAAGATACAAAATTACAGCTAGATAGCTAGATAATAAGAGGAATAAGTTCTCATGTTCTATGGCACTATAGGGCAAATACAGTTAACAATAATTTATCATATATTTTCACAAAGCTAGAAGAGAGGATTTTGAATGTTCACAATACAAAGAAATGATAAACATTTAAGGTGATGGATATTCTAATTACTCTGATTTGATCATTACACATTGTATACATGTATTAAAATATTACTCTGTATCCCATA
The DNA here is from genome assembly GCF_000001405.40 of Homo sapiens. Classification (NCBI taxonomy): domain Eukaryota; kingdom Metazoa; phylum Chordata; class Mammalia; order Primates; family Hominidae; genus Homo; species Homo sapiens. The sequence continues at coordinate 67,739,714 of NC_000003.12, read as the reverse complement.
AATATGTACAACTATTATGTGTCAACCAAAAATAAAAGGGAGAAAATAACAAGTCAGATGCAAAAGAGTGCATACTGTATGATTACATTGGAACAAAGCACAAAAAGTAAAACAACTAATATATGCTGTCAAAGCTAGTGGTTATCTTTGGAGAAAAGCTGAAAAGAGGCAAGAGATAGGCAGTTGGAAGAGTGGCAAACTTTGGTCTCTTAACCTGGGTCCTGGCTACATGGCTGTGGTCAGTTTGTTAAAATCATCAACCTATACACTTATGATTTATGAATATATATCTTACTATAATGAAAAGTTTAAACAATTGGCTCCTATAACTGAAATACACATGGTTAGTGTTCAGGAACAACTCTGTAATGATACCCAAACGATGCCTTCAGAATCTGTCTCTCTAGCTCTCTGCTTATCTGCCCTGGTTTCTTCTTTGTTGGTTATTATCTTGGACAGGCTCTTCCCATGTGGTATCAAAATGTCCACGAGCAGCCTCAGGTTGTCTGGTTAGAAACATAGCAAAAGGAGAGTTCCTCCACTCTTCCTCAAGATCAAGGAACTGCATCTCATTGGATCAAACTGAGGCACGTGTCCCTTCCTCTACAAAGTAATATTGGCAGGGAGTTAAAATATACGGATAAGTGAGGTCTAGATCATGTGCCCATCCCAAAGCCATTATATCATTATTGTCATTATCATCATCTGTCACAGTTCTGGGAGTTGACTGCACCAGCTAATCTGTTCTCACTGGGGGTCTCACAGTGTAGTTGCATCCAGATGGTGGCTAAGCTGGACTCATCTTGAAGGCCTCCTCCTCACATACCTGCAAGGGAAGATGGCTTGGACGCTGGGGCTTCATGAGCATCTCTTTCTATCTCTATGTATTCTTTCCTCATAACCTCTCTAGCATGGTGGCTTCAAGGTGAAATAAATTTTCATCAGAAAATAGCCAAGGTTGTCTGTATATTATCTATGGCTGCTACATGCTACAATAGCAGAGCTATGGAGTTGTGACAGAGGCCATGTGGGTATGGCCTGTGAAGCTGAAAATATTTACAATGTGAGCATTTGCAGAAAAAATGCGCTGACCGCTGACCTGTGCTCAAATGTCAGACAGTGTAATTTCTGCTGCATTCTATTTATTAGAAGTAAATCACGGAGGCCAGTTGATATTCAAGGGGAGAATTTGTAGGTATATTCTAAACCAGGGGTCCCTAACCCCCAGGCCATGGACCAGTACCAATCCGTGGCCTGTTAGGAGCTGGGCCACACAGCAGGAGGCAAGTGAGCATTACCGCCTGAGCTCTACCTCCTGTCAGATCAGCAGGGCATTAGATTCTCATACGAGCATGAACCCTATTGTGAACTGCACATGCAAGGGATCTAGGTTGCACATTTCTTATAATAATCTAATATTTGATGATCTGAGATGGAACAGTTTCATTCCAAAACCATCCCCCACCCCCAGCCCATCTGTGGAAAAAGTGCTTTCCATGGAACCGGTGCCTGGTGCCCAAAAGGCTGGGGAGTACTGTTATAAACCACCACAGAGGTGGAGTCACCTAATATATGTGCACTGAGAGGAAAAGGAGAGTGCTGTTGGCTACAGAAGGTACAAAGATGTTGAAAAGACCAAAACAGGAAAACCACTTCAGGTGAGATAGTGTGTTTTTAGTTCTCCGAGCAGGTTAACTGAGTTAAGTTACAGATGGTGCATTTCTTCTCCAAGCAAGCTATTACCATTTTCCATACCAGGAAAGTAACAGCGGAACTTGCTCCCCTCCAAAATTATCCCTATTGCTCAGGGGCACTTATGTTAAAGTCATTATGACAACTTTTACAATGCTCTAATTGAGCTGCTTGGGCACAGAAGAATTGCTTCTTGCTAAAGGAAAATAGCTGGGAGAATTACAAAAATGGCATACCAGAAAAAATGCGACATATTCCTGGGCTTTTGAAATGTCAGACTTCTGGGCACCAATTTATCTGACTTACATTACAGGGCTACAAATAGTCAGCAACTCTTATTTGGCCATTTTTCACAATAAAAATACATTTCTAAGTGCTATTTTAGCTCAATAATGATTGTACAGATCTACTTATTTTTCATTTATATGTGTGTATGTTTGGAGGAGGGGGTGGTTCCCTAAGTATTACCTTGCCCTTGGCAATGTTTGGCAACAAAGGAGAATGTACTATATTAATCAGATTGGACCACTTGCTTAGTGGAAGATTGTGATCTGGATTTTAACAAAATACAAAGCATTAAAAACCTACATGGAAAATTAAGCAGTCACTGAGTTCTTCCTACAGGAATATGTCACTGACATCATCTCTTCAGCTCCAGCATAATGGAGGAGGCTGAAGGCCATTATTATAATCAGGAAGAGATTCACTGTGATTGTATGACTCCCAGAGAGGCAGCTGAAATGTGGGTTGGAAATGCTGAGGAGAGGGGTGGGAGTAGGATGCAACCAATCCAGGAGAATAGCAGGCTCCTTTTGACTGGCCATACTTCTCACGTTAGTAGATGCATAGCATCTTAAGAGAGAAATACTGCCCAGCAAGGACATTATGAAACACAGGCTAGATGTTGATGGAAATGATTTTTTCACCTATATTTCAAGTGCTGGAGTGGAGAGGAGATTACTTTTAAGGGGCAGGGAGGGGGCCTTTACTCTGCAAGCTCATCACCTAATCGGAGAGTTGGGCACATGCACAACTTATTATAATGCAAGGCATCATGTAAAGAGGACCCATCACAGAGTAGGAATTTAACAAATACAAATGGGTGAGAGCTAACATTTAGTTAGGGTTTGTACATAACAGACAATATAATAAATGATTTACATACATTCAACCCTCACTGTCAATTTATTAATTACATAATATTATTATACTTATTTGAGATGCAAGGAAATTAAGGCTTCATGATCAAGTAACTTGATCAAGGTTACTCAGTTTGGTTTTGGAATCTGACTTTTGAACTAAGAAAATCTGGTTCCAGAGCTTGCCCTCTTAATTACTATGTATGACAGCCAATGAATAGGTGGGTGGATGGATGAAAGGATCAAAGGATGGATGGATAGATGGATGGAAAGAGAGATGATATAACCAAAATGTTGTGAAAATGTAGGGGAAGGAGTAAATAAATCTGACTAGCTATTAGATAAGGTTAAACAGAAACGGTTACATTTGACCTGAGTCTTGGCTAAGACAGATGTGTCCAAGCGGAGGAGCTGGAGATGGACTTCCCAAGCTGGCAGCAGAGTCTGAGCAAAGACACCTGATACCCAAGTCTCCATTAATCTAAAGGGTCCAGTCCTGCAGGACTGGACACAGGGCAACCAGGGCAGTATCCCAGAGAAGAGGCTCTGAGTAATAAAACACAGTGAAGGGATATCATGTTGACAAGGATAGGCTTTCTTCTGTAGGCAGTAGAAAGCCTTCAAAGATTTTTTTAAAATGGTAGATAGCATTTATTGAAGACTTAATTTATGCTAGCTACAAAGTGTTAAAATCCTCACAAGAACATTATTGAGCCAGGTGCTACGAATCACTTGCCCAAGGTCATATGATCCTGAACTGTTTGAATCATAATTTGAACCCAGGTAGCCATCCAGAGTGACAGAGCTAAACAGAGCAAGAGAACAGCATGATTTATTTGTGTTTAAAGAGCTAGTCATAGCAGCAGTGTGGATAAGGATAAAACTAAAGGTAAAGAAACTGATTAGAAGGCTATTTATGTTCAGACAAAAGAGGTTGAGGAAATGAGCTAAGGCAGCATTCTCAACTTTGATGCTACTGACATTTTGGGCTGCATAATTCTTTGCTGCAGGGGCTGTCCTGTACATTGTAGGGTGTTTAGCAATATCCTTGGTCCCTACCCAGTAGATACCAGTAGCATCTGCCTTCAAGTTGTGACAAACAAAAATGTCTCCAGGCATCCCCAAATGTCCCCAGGAGGGCAAACTGGCCCTGGTTGAGATCCAGTGAGTTAAGGTATTGATGGGAGGTTGGAGAACAGGAGACATTTTACCAACAGGATAAATAGGACCAAGTGATCAAAGGGTGAAAGGACTAAAGACGTGTCCAGATGTATACCATAGCCATGGAAGGCAGTAATATGCCCAGAGGTTCATAAGTCTAGGTTCAGCAAACCTGGACCTCAGGGTCTAGATTCAGCAAAACTGTGTCCAAAATTCAGCTCTCTAACCTGCTATATGAATTTGAGCAAATTTGTCACACTCTCTAGTTCATAAAAGGACGATCCTAATGGCATCTACTTCAAAAGTTGTAGAGATTAAACCTGGACATTATGAGTAAGTGCTTAGAAGAGTTTCTATCACTTAGTGAGTGTTCAATAAACATCACTACTGGCCAGTAAAGGAAACACAGGGGAGCTTTCTTCAACCCTAGCTTGTGGAGCTCATGGTTTTAAAGTTTTTTCATAAGTGGGCATGGTAAACTTTATAAAGAATTTTTCATTTGATAGAATATTTTTCAACTCATTAAGGTTAAACTGAAAAAAGACTACATAGCTGAATATTTGGTTTGTTACTAATATAGTTTTGTTCTGGGTCCCCACCCAAATCTCATCTTGAATTGTAATCCCCACATGTGGAGGAAGGGACTTAATGGGAGGTGATTGCATCATGGAGGCAATTTCCCCCATGCTGTTCTCATGATAGTGGGTGAGTTCCCATGAGATCTAATGGTTGAAAAGTGTTTGGCAGTTCCCCCCTCACTCGCTGTCTCTTCTGCTGCCATGGAAGACATGCCTTGCTTCCTCTCTGCCTTCCACCATGATTGTAAGGTTCCTGAGGCCTCCTCAGCCATGTGGAACTGTGAATCAATTAGACCTCCTTTCTTCATAAATTACTCAGTCTCAGTTGGTTCGTTATAGCAATGTGAAAATGAACTAATACAGAAACCAATTGTGAGTGTCTGGTGTGTGTGTGTGTGTTTCTAGAAATATCTGTCTGTATGCATATATACATATATATATAAATTAGATGATTGGAGTCACACCAAAAGATTAATAACATTATTACTGGTTGGTAAGATTACGAGTAAACTTAGTTTCCTTGTCTATTTTTTTATTCTCCTTTATATTTTTCTAAAATGAGTATTACTTTTATAAATACAGGACAAAAGCAAACGTACTCAAGTGTCTTTCTTTAAGATATATTAGTTAATATCCCACTATGTGCTAGGAAGTTTGCTACAAACTAAGAATACAATAATGAGACACCCACTCTCCACACACACATATTCACACACACATATCCACACACATGTCTCTACACACAGAGCAACAAAAAAAGCAACAAAACCACAATAAACCATGTGTAGATAACTGAAAATTAGAGATTGAAAAAATCAAGTTCAAATTTAATACAGACACTCTAAAAGCAAGGAATCTGGTTTTGGCGGTGCCATCCTAATTAATCATGCATGTAAGTCTAGCAGAATATTCAAATAATTTTCTAATTCTACTTTGGAAATGGTTCAGTAGAAAACACCATCATCTTCTCATTTTTAGGATTTTGCTTCTCTCATTCAGTAATTTTTATTCCAAAGGAAAAATCATACAATTTTGTAATGTTCCAATCAACCTTGAGTCTGATTAGTAGGGATAGCTCACCTGAAAACTATAATTTTCCACAGGGAGACTTATTTCTGTAACAAAGTCTTTCCTTAACAATGGAAAACAAGAGGTTTTCCATTTCAGAATAAAAATCTTTGCCTCCATGCACATTTAGGAAAATTTAAACAGTATGTATTTTTATAAGCTCCCATAGACTCATGAAAACAGTAAGTTGAGCCTCAGGAAAATTCTCCAACATCCTGACTGTGTGTTTAAGCAAGAAAGAAGTGACCACGTGGGACTTGCTCCAACACTGTGATTCTGACACAAAGTTGTCACTCTCAGTTTCAACTGGTGTCTCTGTGTAGAGTGTAATTAAGATGGTCAACCACGCATGCTCACTCCACCCTCTGTATCTTTTAAGATTAAGTATACACTGAAATGATGGAAAGTATGCAGCTGATGGAATAGGCATTCTGTGTCTGCCCCTTGTCATTCTTTCTCACTGCTATATTTCTAGAATTAGGCTTCATGTTCTGTCATCTTAAATATTTTAATACTTTACTGATCTCCAACATGTTTAGCCATAGGAGGATAGCAGTAAAATAAAATTTTATAGCCAACAAAGTCCTTTATACCTAAAGTTTATTGCACATTTTATATTTTGTTTAACAACACATTGTTCCTGGAGACTCTGAAATACACACGGGTTCCTCAAATTGCAGTGTGCTTATGTTTTTTTCCTTATTGAGGGTTTATTTCATTGTCAAGGTAGAAATAATTCCTGATAATTGGCTAGGGTGGCTGAAATTCTACTGGGAAGGCACTTATTTCTGCAAAAGTATGGAGGCAACCTTAAAGCTCTTCTGTGTTAGGAAAAATACCCTCACTTTAATGTTGGCTTCCAAAATACATACATTCTCCACTCAAAGTGACCATTTTCCATGAACTCCCCAATTTTCCTCAATATACTCAGGATTTAATTCCATTTCAAACAACAAAACAGGGAAGTCAATTGATGAAATAAGAAGGAGCCCAGTGGATCTTCATATAGATGATGTTATATGGTGACAGCTTTCCTGTTGCTTGGCTAGGGTTTGTAAAAATATTGTTTCATAGTACTGACCAAGTAATTGTTTTCTGTAATGATGATTTTTAAGAATAATGAGCACCACCCTTTTATTGCTCTTTTGTTTAGAAAGTTGCCATGGTGGCACCGAATTGATGGAAAAATTTTAACCTGGTACAAGACATTAAAGTAGTTGCCATTTTTCACATTTTTCACAGATTGAGAAAAAAAAACTATCTTCTTACATTTTTTGCTATAGGGATAAAAAATAAACAACTACAAAATTCTAGCTTTTTCCATAAGGTAAGGTGCAGAGAGAACTGGCATCCTAGAAGAGAGTAACGGAATGGAAACACCATCACACTGGATTGAATTTGCAGCACCCATGCTATTATCCAGATGGCAAATGACTCAGTTGCTCCACCAGTAAAAACTAAATGAATAATAATATAATTAGATTTGATTTCTGAGGTCCTTTCCAGCTCAAATTTTCTATAAGTCTAAACAAAATACATTAACCTGATTGCATCCAAACTATACTATTGTCAAAGAGTCACTGGATCACATTCATACTTTCTACTAAGATTTATTACACAATTAACATTCACCAAGACCTCAATATTCTGCATTTATCTTCACCATTAACATTTTCTCACAGGATATATTTCAGGATATTCTTGTGAGAAAGGGTTAAAAAGAACACCAACCGCCGTACAGAAATAAATCACTGATCTTCTTGGTCCTACTGAGCTCTTGACCTATTTTCTTGCCTGAATTGCCAGAAAAGAAATTCAAAAGCCTTTAACCCTCCTCATACTTAGAAATAGAATCTAAAAATATACACGTCACATAGAAGTTTCTCATCACCTCTTATTATCTCCAAGGATGAGATCACTGAGTCTTAGAATGCGAGGGGTGTCAGAGGGGTCACCGTTTCTGGATGCTGACCTCAGATCTGCAAAACTTTTGGGCCATTGCTGTCAGATACTGAGTTACTGAGTCTTCTATAAGGCCATGTTAAGAACCAAAAGATATCAAAAAGAGTGGAATTTAGCTCTTGGATTTTTTGATGACTTCTTTCCCCTAATATTCTTGTAGTCAGGAAGTTCATTCAATTGTCTACCTTCTTTGGCTTCAATATAAATGTATTTTGTGTCCAGTCTGTCTTCTACTGAGATGGAAATAATGCCTCACGTCTCTTTGAATTTCCCTCCTTACTCTTGAATAAGGTTGTTAAGGTGTCCTTCAGCTACCATTACTGTAAGCCCTGTATCTTTTGCAATAAACATAACTACAAACTGCTCTAGGGTCTTCTTAAAGTAATGTGAAATTTTTCCCTTTTTATGCCTGGCATGGGTGATATTAAAGCAAGTAGCACTGGGATGGAAAGATAGAAGAGATGTCAAAAGGATACCCTCCATCCTTAATGCTCCCTTGATGGAAGTGACAGTCTTATTTGTTTTGTTAACCAGTGCATAATTAAAAGTCAATATTCAAGATCATAATAAAAATCTGTATAACTACTCATGTTGTGAGTCTGTGGTTTGGAAGGAGAATCCACTAAAACACAGCCATGTATAATTTACAAGAAATCAGCAATAAAATATTTGCTCTCAACGTTATCTACCAAATGGTCTGTATATTACCAGAATAAATCCATATTATTTGGAGCCTGTAGATAAACATCCATAGGCAAAGTTCACATTGAGGTTATCTGCCTCCTGCTCTGAACTGGGGAGTGCAATTTAGAGGAGATAAATTGTAGTTTACTTCTCCAAGTCTCAAGTATGTCATGCAGAAATGAGTTTAGTTCCTGAGAGGATATCTGTCATATCCAAATAGGAAAGCATGCCATTACAGGGTTGTACCCATTTCAAAAAGAATATAGCTTTTGCCCTCACTGGGAAACAAAAGGAAAATTCTTAACAATTAAAAGTCCTGGATGCACCTTCTGTTCACATAAAAAAGAGAGATTTAATGGCTTATAAAATGCGGATTCACTGGAGGTATGGTTATATTTTAAGTCACTGGTGAATTCACGGCTCATGTATGTGGAATTATTTATGTGGCTATACTTTGGGTTTTGAAGGTATTAATTTTTATTAGCTTTTTAATATATTGGAAAAAATCTAATAGTAATAGTCTGGGGCACTGAACCACCCTGAAAGAGAAGTTTAAGACTATGTCTCCCTAACAAGCCCAAAATGGTTTAGAAGAGAATAAAAGTTGTTGGGCTGATGCTCTCTCATTAGATGAGGTACCTTCATTTCTTCATCCATTACACAAATACTCATTAGGTGCCTCCTAGGTTTTAGAAGTGCAAAAATGAACAAGACAAGGACATTTTTTCAAGAAGCTTGCATCATCTGGGGACATCTAGGAATCAGGGAAGAAAGGCTTCTCAGAGATGCAAGGGCTAAGGGGTGACCTGAAAGACAAATGGGAGTTACCACTCCCTGCCTTTCAATGGCCAGAACCTGCTGCTAGTCTTCGGGAGCCCAGCAGGTTTGCCCAGAGGCACTAGGCAGCTATTAACCAATACTAGTCAGTGCACTGGATGTGAATACCCATCTCCCTTACCTTAGCTTGGGATAACTCTGAGATGAAATTACACTCAAGTTCCCTCGGGGACTCAAGCTGAAGCCTTCCCTTTATGGGCCTTCTCCTGGTATCAAGATAGCACACTTGGCTGGGCTACTCAGGAGGCTGAGACAGGAGGATCACTTGAGCTCAGGAGTTTGAGACCAGCCAGGGAAACACAGAAAGATGGAAACATAGCAAAATAAAATGAATTTTAAAATTGTACAAAAAAAAGAGAGAGAGAGAAAAGAAAGATGACACATTTGCTCAGCTTCCCCCTCTGCTTGTCCTGCTTCCTCCAGGCTCTTACTGGCCTCCCTGGAGCGCTTCCTCAAAAAAATCACCTCCAAGTAAATACACCTTTCAGGGAACCCAACTTCAGACACTTTCAAAGAATCTAAAGTTAATTTGGCTAGAACCTGAGGTGCAGCATGGAGAAAAAGTGGGAGATGGATAAAGAATATTTTATTTTTGTCTGTTTGTTCTGGCTGGTAAGTGATCCTAGGGCCAGCTTCATGGCTGTGCAACCTGCACAGTCACACAGGGCCCTGCACGCAGGCGCACACTGCAGTTGCTTTAATGCTCTGCTGTTGCTGCCTTGAAAGTCTTAGTTTCTAAACATGGACGCTGTGTTTTCAGTTTGCACTGGGCCTTGCAAGTCTAGCCTTGATAAAAAGGCAGTTTTCCAGCCTTTGAAGTACTAAAATCCTTTAAAAAAAAAAAAAGATTATTCTAAATAAAATGTTTGAATTAGTGATTCTCAGGGTGGTGACTAAATTTTCATTTTGCCCTCACCTGTTCATTTAGGGCCATTTGTACTTCACAGAAGGCCTGTCACATTTTTTGGAAGTCCTTAGAAGTCCTTATCGGGTACTTCAAGTGGGCTCCCAAATAACTGTGATCTACCAGGCTCTGTGGCTATGCTGCCCGGCCAAATGGGACATCAGACTCTATCTAATTTCTCCTCTGAAAGCCAGCATTCTCCATGGCCACCCCACCCATCAAGAAGGCAAAGATCTCAGTATTCAGCGACAAAGCAAGAAGAACGCCTGTCCTTCTGCTTAGAACAAAAGCCTGAAAGCAGCGCTGTTGGGCCCCAATGTACAACAGCATTTAAAGAGTTTTTTGAGACTGTACCTGAAAATAAAGAGATACATCCAAGAGCCAGACTAGGAATAAATTAGAATATCATTCACTACACCATCCCTTCTCCTCCCTCGACAACCACAGCTTTGTGAAAGGGACATTTGCAGACTGCCTGCTTTCCTTCCGTAAGACGAACTCCCCCTCAGGTGGTTCCTTAGACCCCTCAGGCAGATTTCCCTTAGCCCCCGTCACCAGTTCACCAGAAATTCTCCAGAAATGCCCAAGGCCTAATGGTCAGCAGTGCCTAGGCCCCAGCTTAGATCCCAGCCATGGTGGAAGCCACCTAAGATTCCAGTGTCTAGCAAGATCTTGGCCCAAAGTATCAATAGAGAGCTCTTCAGGGTCATTTGTTGAAATTTTGGAACTAAATAAAAGGTGAAGATTACAAGAGTGTGGCATTTTAAACAAATATATGAAAATCACATTATTTATAACATGTTGAGTTACCTCTGAATTATATCTGTCCTGGAAATAACATGACAGGGTTAAAATGTAATCCCTAGCACCACCGCCCCTTCTCCCAGAATACTGTTGTTTTCTTTATCTGCCCTCCTTTTTCTTTGGCGCTCCCATTCTGATGAGTTGTTGTGAAAAGACACACTTCTGCTTGCCCAATTTAGAACAGTCACATTCAGGTAAACCAAGAGCTTTGGGGTTGGGTGCTCAGTCCTGCCAGTTTTACCCTCATTTTCCCTGAATGGCTCTAAGCCCAAGGAATGAAAGAGCTGTCTGCTTCTGGTGTTGACATTCTCTGCAAGCTCCCAGCAATCTCCCGGTGTGTTGTTGCTTCTCTCTCCTAGCCCTCATGCACTGCATTCTGTGCTCAAGTGTGTGCGGTTGGCCTGTTGTCTCCATGTGGGCAATACTAAGCCCGCTCCTGGGGAACTCAGCTTCTTCCCTATGGACAGTCTCCCTCCTTGTCTTTTGAGAGCTGCTGACCCTCTGCGTGTCTACCAAGTGGCAAAATCTGCCTGGTTCTACAGATCCGTGCACTGTGCTGTGTCCACTCCCTGGAGTACTCTCCAGCTCTTTATTCTTGGCTACCTTTGCATCCCCTCACTCAGCCACCAGAGTCTCATAGGAACTTCTAGATTTATTCAACATCATGCACAAGCCATACAGAAAAAGAAGAGCCATGTCTCAGACCCCTTTCTTGCCCCTGGATGCCATCCACCATGGCGAGTTCTGCAATCACCTCATGATGGCACAGAGCTTCCTGAGAGGCCTAAACCAAGCTAGGCAAGAATATGGGCCCCATCTTTGGCTAGGCCTTAATTTCTCCAAATTAACCACTAATTGCTACTTCCAATGATTTACACTAGACTCTAAGATGGTGTTAGGGGAAAGGCAGTAAGAACATTATTTATTTATTTATTTTATTTAGTTTTTTTTTTAGACAGTATCAGTCTGTGGTCCAGGCTGGAGTGCAATAGCACAATCTTCAGCTCACTGCAACCTCCTCCTCCTGGTTCAAGCAATTCTCCTGCCTCAGCCCCCTGAGTAGCTGGGACTACAGAAACACACCACCAAGCCTGGCTAATTTTTGTATTTTTAGTAGAGACAGGGTTTCATTATGTTGGCCAGGATGGTCTCAAACTCCTGGCCTCAAGTGATCAGCCCACCTTGGCCTCCCAAAGTACTGGGATTACAGGCATAAGCCACTGCACCTGGCTAGGAGTAAGAACATTCTATCTTTTCTTAGTCATTTTGTCTCCTTCCCCACCTCTGTCCAGTAGCAGCAGGATTTTTTGTCCTGTCTGGCAAGGCCTACTTACATCTATTTATGGTAAAACCAGTTTTAGAACTCCAGGTTTTGGTATTGATATGGAAATGGAAACTCTAAAATTTATAAATCTTTGTTCTATCTCAGTAAACTTGACTTTCAAGACTATTATCTCTCTAGGTTGCTTTCAAAGTGCTCTAAACATCAGCATGTTAGAAAAATATGTTAGAATGCAAATTCTTTGGCCCCATCCCAAACCCAACACTCAATCAACAATGATCTCTTTCTTCTGGGTGATACTTGCCCATTCCTAACCTATGAAGGCTATGGATCTGATGGGTGAGGAATCACAGAGCAACAAGATTTCCTTAAATGAAAAGGAGGGTGGAGCCAAGATGGCCAAATAGGAACAGCTCCAGTCTACAGCTCCCAGCATGAGCGACGCAGAAGACAGGTGATTTCTGCATTTCCAACTGAGGTACCGGGTTCATCTCAATGGGGAGTGCCGGACAGTGGGTGCAGGACAGTGAGTGCAGCACACTGTGGGTGAGCCGAAGCAGAGCGAGGCATCACCTCGCCTGGGAAAAGCAAGGGGTCAGGGAATTCCCTTTCCTAGTCAAAGAAAGGGGTGACAGATGGCACCTGGAAAATCGGGTTGCTCCCACCCTAATACTGCGCTTTTCCAATGGGCTTAACAAACGGCACACCAGGAGATTATATCCTGCACATGGCTCGGAGGATCCTATTACCATTTGAAATTTTTTTTCCATGAAAAAATGGTTTTAAAATGTGGTTAAGTTTCCAGTCTAGTCCCCAAACTTATGTAGCCTGTAACTTTGCTAGAGTAAAGCATATCCACAAATACGGTTCATATTGCCTTGTTGGTACAGGTTAAACAAAGCAGAAGAAATAACATTGAATAAAAGTTTCTTTTTAAAATGCATCTTGAAAACTCATGCCTTTTAATTAAAAAGGACAAGATAGATAAAGACTTTTAGAAAGATTCTAAAACAGATTTTAAGAATAACTGGAACCTTGAGGATCCTACCCCTAGTTCAGAAGAGATACCTAAACCAACAATAGCAAGGATAGCCTTGGTGTTCATGGGATTAATTCTCCCTGACCTCATTATGTATCCACATTACTATCTTCTCTGTGGGTAGTAGATACATGTTGATTTAACCTTCTGGCATCCTTTGCTCTTCTTCTGCTGATAGAATTTCAATTTTGGTGGGCAGAGGAGGAGAGTAATTCCTTTCCTACTTTCAGTTTATGTTTAAATAGAACTGACTCCATAACAGAGGTCAAGAAGTCAGAAAATTAGAGGAAGTCAAAAGATGTGCATATAACACTAGCAGTTCTAGTCACAGCCAATGTGCATGACTTTTACTGAAACTATTGGGGAAAATATCTTAATTCCCCAAGGGTCTCTAATTTTGTAAGACACAAACCTCGTGCTGCTTACATTTTTTTTTTTAATGACAAGCCTACTTGGAAATTAAACCAATACAGGATGGCAAAGCTAAGCAATATAAAAAATGAATTCCTGACTTCAACTTTTTAACACCTAGATCCACCTGTGCCTCAAGCTTGTTTCATAAATACATGAGCCAAAAATTTTCCCTTTATGTTTCAGGATTTTTTTATTGTCTTTCCATCACTTTCAACCAGAATAAAAGACTTCATTTGTTTTACAACAAATATCAACTAATAGTATATGTTTTCACCTTTTTCTATGAGAATACCAAGGAGAACCTACTCAGTTCCTCTTCAGCTTGATACCAGGTGGGTTGTATTCCAGAAATGTCAAAAAGGATTCACATTAGAGGACACTGGCTATTTATCAAACTTCACTTGTCTATGCATGGCTTTTTTGTTTGATTTGGGTTTATTCCTGCCATTAATCACCCATTGTTAGTGGTGTTTTATTTTTCCCTTCCTTGCCCCCAGGGAGATTACAGAAATATAACAAAGAGAGAAAGAGAGAGTTACAGAAATGTAACAAAGACAGGAATACCTTTTTTTGTTAGAGAACAAGAGATCTTATTCTCTCTTTCCACTATTAATATACATATTTTAGCAAAATCACATTTGATTTTCTCCAGGTCTTTGCCTCATACTTGTATAAGAAGCAACTATGATTCTGAGATTTTTGAAGCATTTGGAAGGGAAAGAGTTGTGGACCGGGATTAAATTAAAGGCGAGAGCACAAATAAGAAAGGGATTCCCTAAGATGTAACCAACTGAGCTAAGAACAGTGAAAGACAGGAAAACTGAGCATGCTCTGGACACAATATCAGTGAATGAAAAGGCGGTGGTTGGAAGGAGATGCTGAGTCAGGTGACTCTCAGTAAGACCCTGCTCACTGTATCATCAGCCCCAGGCAGGGGCTTGTACATCAAACATCCACAGATTCATAAGGAGTTGCCCATTGACTGAAAACTATAATCTTCATTTTCATGAACATACCCAGGAAGGCTATGCTTAATAATCTGGTCATTTATAAGACTATGATAGTAAAATCCAGATGAGGAAACACTTAACTTTTTATAACAAAGAGGTTGTGGGGGAGGGGGGTTCATGTTTTGACAGAGGGGGATTTTTTTCCTCTGAAAATGAACATAACCCTAGTTAAAATGAGCAAGAATTTTCAACCTATGGGAATAATTAGTTGACATTTGGCTATAAAATAAACCATTTTTAGAGTGCTAATTTCTGCTTTTTCTACAGCTTTTTAAAAACCCCAGAAAGGTTTTAATTAGGTGGCTGGTAGTATGTTAAAAAGCTACTCAGTATATAAAACTATATAATATGCATAGATATAAATGCAGAAATATAAAGCCAGCACCGAATTGTATGTATAACATATTTGTCAACATGCTTCATTAGGGAGACTTGACAATGTTAACTTATTGCCACAGGGTGTTTGACACGTGGCCTAGGGTGCTCTCTTGGCTCAGGTGATGTGCATGTGAAAAGAAAAACTGTCTGTGTCAAATCTAGAACAGCCAAAATCCACATTGGAATAATTGCAAAATCATGAGCAGTTAAATGATAGAATTCAGGGGACTTCCACATCAGGGAAGATGTAGACATACTTTTTCCTATTCCACCTGCTAAGTAGAACTACAAACCCTGGGCATTATACATAAAACAAACATTAGGAGAGTCTGAAAGGTAGAGGGAAGACAGATGAGCTAGGCAACTTAACCCCCAAAGAACAACATAGTGGAACGTTCCCTGGGTTTGTTTGGTTTGGGGTTTTGGGTCTTTGCTTTTTCACTTCACATATTTCAGACTTGCCACTGAAGAAGCCAGAAATCCAGAAATGCTAATAGGCACAGACAAAAGTATCCCCACAAATTCTGCTCTTCAGCTAAAGGCTAGCAAATGGGCTGCCCAGCAAGGGGAAAGCTTTTAGAAAATAACTGGTCTACTCCAGCCACATACCACAGAAATAACTGTGGCCCCTTCCTGAGCCACAGCAGCCAAGGCTGACTGAGGTGCCCAGGCTTCTCTCCTGAGAGGCTGTTTAACAAAGCACAACAAAGCACTCTGCTGTGTAGGAAGGAAGAGCTGGAAGGCAAGACTTGTATCCCACAGGGCAGTAAAGTCCCTCATCCTTTCATAATATAAGGCCACTGGCGAGCTAGAACTCTTGCTTTGCCCACTAGCATCAGAGGAAGCCAGCTAAAACAGAAAGTTTACATAACATCCAGAGTCTTCATAAAACCCAAAATGCCCATATTTCAATAAAAAAGCATGCATCATATGAAGAACTGGAAAGATCTCAAATTAAATTTAAAAAATGTATAGCTGCCAACACGAAACTTGACATAGATGTTAGAATTAACTGACAAAAACTTTTAAAGCAGCCTCCACAAAAATGCTTTAACAAGCAATTAAGAACACTCTTAAAACAAATGAAAAAACATCATTTTAGCAAAGAAATAGAAAGTCTCTCCAAAGAAATAGAAAATATGAAGAACAGCAATACGTAAATTATAGATTTGAAAAATACATTAACCAAAATTAAAAAACCTCAACGCATGGGCTCAAAATTAGAATGGGTAGAACAGATGAAAGAACAGTCAACTGGAAGATAAAGCAATAGAAATTACCCAATCTAAATAAAAGAATATAGATTACACAAATAAATAAATAGAGCTTCAGGAAGTCATGGGACTACAACCAAAGAGTCAACCTTCACGTCATTGGAGTCCCAGGAGGAGAGGAAAAAGAGGGCAGAGCTGAAAAAGCATCTGAAGAAATAATTACCAAAAACTTCCTAATTAGGCAAAAGACATAAACCTACAGAATCAAGGTTAGCAAACCACAAACAAGATAAACTCAAAAAAATTTACACCAAGTATATTAGTCTACTCAGGCTGCCATTACAGAATATCACGGACTAGATGGCTTCACCAACAGAAACTTATTTTCTTACAGTCCAGATGCTAAAAGAAAGGAAAATAAATCTTGGGGCCCCAAAATCACTAAGCTGAAGGGAAAACTCAAGCTGGGAACTGCTTAGGGCAAACCTGCCTCCCTTTCTATTCTAAGTCACTCCACTGCTCACTGAGATAAATGCATATCTAATTGCCTCCTTTGGAGAGGCTAATCGGAAACTCAAAAGAAGGCAACAATTTGTCTCTTATCTACCTATGACCTGGAAGCCCCCTCCCCTCTTCTACTCTTCCCACCTTTGCTTCGAGTTGTTCCACCTTTCCAGACTGAACCAGTGTTCATCTTGCTTATGTTGATTGATGTCACATGTCTCCCTAGAATGTGTAAAATCAGACTGTGCTCTGACCATCTTTGGCCCATGTCATCAGGACCTCCTGAGGCTGTGTCAGTAGAGTGCATCCTCAACCTTGGCAAAATAAATTTTCTAAATTCGCTGAAAGCTGTCTCAGATTTTTGGGGTTCACAAGTCCAAGATCAATGAGCTGGCAGGGTAGGTTCCTGGTGAGGCCTTTCTTCCTGGTTTGCAGATGGTACCTTCTCACTGTGTCCTCACATGGCCTTTCCTCTACATCCACAGACAGAGAGAAAGGGAGAAAGATCTGGTGTTTCTTCCCCTTCTTGAAAGGACATTAGTTCTATAGTATTGGGGCCCCACTCTTATGAGCTCATTTAGCCTTAATTATCTCCTTAAAGGTCCTATCTCCAAATTCAATCATATTGGGGGATTTGGGCTTCAACATATAGATTTGAGGGGGAGGAGCAGTGGTGGTGGAGATAATTCAGTCCAAAATACCAAGAAACTTCATAGTCATACTTCTGAAAACTAAAGACAAAGTAATTATCTTGAAAGCAGCAAAAAACAAATGACACCTATAAGACAAAAACAATCCAAATGACAGTGGCATTCTCATCAGCAACAATGGAGGCCAAAAGGAATTCTCACAACGTCTTTTAAGTGTGGAAAAAAAGAAGTGCCAAACCAGAACTTTATATCCAGAGAAAATGTCCTCCATAAATAAAGGAGAAATTAAGACATTTCTCAGATAAAAGAAAACTAAGAGAATTTGTCTCTAGCATCCCTACCCTAGAAGAAAGATTAAAGGAAGTCCTCTAAACAGAAAGGAAATGACAAAAGCAGGAACTGTAGAATATCAAGCAGGAAAAAAGAGTATGGCAAACAAAAATACAGATAAATAAATAGACTTTCCTTCTCCTCTCCAATTTTCTCATTTACATTTGATAAGTGCAACAAAAATTATAACATTATCTGATGTGATATTAAATGTGTGCACAGAAAATATTTAAAACAATTATAAAAGAGAAAGGGTAAAGAAACTTGGCTGGGAGCAGTGACTCAAGCCTTAATCACAATACTTTTGGGAGGCCAAGGTGGGAGGATCACTTGAGTCTAGGAGTTTGAGATCAACCTGGGCAACATAAAAAAATAAATAAATAAATAAAAATAAAGAAAACAAAATAAAAATAAAGAAAGACAAATTTTCTATAATTTATTCAAACTGGTAAAATGACATCAGTAGACTATGCTAGGCTGTGTACATATAATACATAGAGCAATCACTAAAACACTATAAAAAGAGATATCCTCAGAAACACTATAGATAGGCCAGGCGCAGTGGCTCACGCCTGTAATCTCAGCACTTTCGGAGGCCAAGGTGGGTGGATCACTTAAGGTCAGGAGTTCAAGACCAGCCTTATCAACATGGTGAAACCCTGTCTCTACTAAAAATACAAAAAAATTAGCTAGGTGTGGTGGCACATGCCTGTAATCCCAGCTACTCAGGAGGCTGAGGCTTAAGAATCACTTGAACCCAGGAGGCAGAGGTTGCGGTGAGCTGAGATCATGCCACTCCACTCCAGCCTGAGTGACAGAGTGAGACTCTGACTCAAAAAATAAAAGGATACACTATAGATAAACCAAATTCTAGAAAATGAAATCTAGAAAATGTTCAAGCAACCCACAGGATGACAGAAAGAAAAACAAACCAGAGAAACAAAATGAAATCAGAAAAATCAGACAGAATAAACGGAAAACAGAAAATAAAATGGCAGGCTTAAGCCCTAACATATCAACAATTTCATTAAATGTAAATGGTCTAAATACAGCAAATAAAGGAATAGAATCCATGCTGTCTACAAGAAATTTGCATTAAATATAACAAGATAGGTAGGTTAAAGTAAAAATACAGAAAAATATATGTCATGGAAGCATTAATCAAAAGAAATGTATTCACAGAAATGAAATTGGACACTGTAACTCACACCTTATATTAAAAAAAAACCTCTAAATGGATCAGGATGTAAATATGAGAGCTAAAACTATAGAACTCTTAAAAGAAAACATAGGTGAAAAACTTCATGACCTTAAATTAGGCAATCGTTTCTTAGATATGACAGCAATGAAAGAGAAAATAGGTAAGTTGGAATACATCAAAATTGGAAATTATTGTGCTTCAAAGAACAGTACCAAGAAAGTGAAAAGACAACCCACAGAATGGAAGAAAATATTTGCAAATCATATACCTGATAAAGGTCTAATATCCAGAGTATATAATGAACTCTTATAAATTAATAATATAAAGACAACACCAATTTAAAAATGGGCAAAAGTGCTAGATAGAAATTTATACAAATAACCAATATGTACATGAAAAGATGCTCGGGAAATGAAAATCGAAGCCACAATAAGGTACCATTTTATACCCACTACGAAAGCGTGTATCAAAAGGACCGACAATAAAAAGTATTGGCAGGATGTGAAGAAATTGGAATCCTCATACAATGAAAGGTAAAATGGTGTAGCCACTTAAAAAAAAAGT
The DNA here is from genome assembly GCF_000001405.40 of Homo sapiens. Lineage (NCBI taxonomy): Eukaryota > Metazoa > Chordata > Mammalia > Primates > Hominidae > Homo > Homo sapiens. Next base: position 67,720,299 of record NC_000003.12, on the reverse strand, counting down.
TTAGTCTGGGTGCAGTGGCTCACGCCTATAATCCCAGCACTTTGGGAGGCCAAGGCGGGCAGACCACAAAGTTAGGAGTTCGAGACCAGCCTGGCCAACGTGGTGAAACCCCATCTTTACTAAAAAAATACAAAAATTAGCTGGGCGTGGTGGTGGGTGCCTGTAATCCCAGCTACTGAGGAGGCTGAGGCAGGAGAATGGCTTGAACCCAGGAGACCCAGGAGGCGGAGGTGCAGTGAGCCGAGATCGTGCCACTGCATTCCAGTGTGGGTGACAAGAGCAAGACTCCATCTCAAAAAAAAAAAAAAATGTTTAACACTTTCTCAAGCAATTAAACAGAATTACCCAGCAATTCCACACCTGGTTATATATCCAAAAGAATTGAAAACCTATCTCTATATCCAAATGTTCATAAAAACATTATTAAAAATAGTTAAAAAATAGAATCAATCCAAAAGCTCATCGACTGGTAAATTAACAAGCAAAAGATGCTGTATTCATACAATGGAATATTATTCAATCATAAGAAGGAAGGAAGTATTAATTCATGCTAATTACATAAATGAATCTTGAAAACATTGTACTAAGTTAAAGAAGCCAGACACAGAAGGATACTGTTGTATAATTCCATTTATATGAAATACCTATAATAAGCAAACGATAGAGGAAGAAAACAAATTAGTGGTTGCCAGGGGCTAGAGAAATGGGTAAATGGGATATGACTAATAGCGGATATATTTTGAAGGGAAGTGATGAAAACATCACGGAATTAGACAGTGGTCATTGTTGTATAACTTTGTAAATATATTAAAACTATTGAACTGCATACTTTTAAAAGAGGAATTTTATGGTACATGAATTATATCTCAAGTGTTTAAAGAATGCAGGAGTCACTGCATTATATCATATAACATAGACATCAGCACACAAAAAAAATTACCAAAGACAGGGATGGACATTACATAATGACAAAAGTGTCAATCTGCCAAATGATAGCAATCCTAAATAAGTATGTACCAAACAAAATTGCAAAATATGAGATGCAAAAACTAATTGGAATGAAAGGGCAAACAGACAAATCGACAATTACTGTTACAAAGTTTAATACTCTTCTTCAACAGTTGATAGGACAACTAGGTAAAAAATCAGCTGGGATATAGAACTCAACAACACCATCAACAAACAGAATCTAATCAACATTTACAGAACACTCCACCTAACAAGAGCAGAATACATAATCTTTTCAAGTATCTACAAAACGTATACAAAAATGGACCATATCCTCAGCCATTCAACAAACATCAACAAATTAAAAAAAAATTGAAAGCATACAGAATGTTTTCCAACCACAGTGAAATCAAACTAGAAGTTAATAACAGAAAGATAACAGGAAAATCCCTAAGCAGTTGGAAGCTAAACAACACAATTCCAAATAATTCATGTGTAAAGAGGAAGTCTCAGGGAAGTTTAAAAAATACATTGAACTAAATGAAAATGAAAATACAACATATCAAAATGTGTGGGACACAGCTAAAGACATACTGAGTGGGAAGTTTAAAGCATTAAATGCAAGCATTAGAGAGAGGAAATGCTCATCCCGAATCTAAGCTCCTACCTCAACAACCAAGAAAGAGCAAAATAAATACAAAGCAAATAGGAGGAAAGAAATAAGAAAGATGAAAGCAGCAATTAATGAAATTGAAAACAAGCTAACAATGAAGAAAATCAATGAAACAAAAACCTGGTTCTTTCAAAGGATCGATATGATTGACAAACCTTAATAAGACTGACCAAAAAGAGACAGAGACAGAGAGAGAGAGAGAGAGAAGACACCAATTACCAGTATCAAGAACAAAATAGGGGATATCACTACAGATCCTGCAGACATCAAAAGCATAATAAGAAAACTCTATGAACAACTCTACACACATAAATTTGACAATTTATATAAAATGGACACGTTCTTAAAAAAAACATAAACTCCCACAACTCACCCAATATCCAATATGAAGTAGATCATTTGAATAGCCATAAAGCTATTATGAAAATTGAATTGTAATTTTAAAACTCCAAGAAAAAGAAATCTCCAGGCCTAGATCATTACATTGGAGAATTCTACCATATGTTTAAAGAAGAATTTACACTGAGTCTATACAAAATCTCTTCCAGAAAATAGAAGAGTAGAGAATATATCCCAATTCATTTTATGAAGCTAGTATTACCTAGATACCAAATTATGCATGATGATAAAAGTCAATCACAAAAGGTTAGTTACTATATGATTCCATTTATAGAATATTCTGAAAATGACAAAATTATAGAAACGGAAAACAAAAAATTTAATGTTTGCCAGGGGTTAAGGAGGGGGTGGAAGGGAGGTTGGCATGGCTATAAAAGGTCAACATGAAGAACACTGAAGTGACAGAAATGTTGTCTTTGACTGTATCAATATCCAAATCCCGGTTGTGATATTGTACTATATAGTTTTGAAATATGTTAGGTAAAGGGTATGTGATATTTCTTCCAACTGCATATGAATCTGTATTTTGAGATAATCACAATTATCTCAAAAAAAATTAAATTTTAAAATGCTGTTTATTAGTGTGAATGCAGCCATCTGCTAACAATATGAATATCTGTAAAATTATGCTTAACTCTAGTTAAAAATAAAATAAAGGATAATGTGAATGTAAAATATACACATCTATGTGTGAATTAAATCCTGAAGATTCTGAGTATATTCTCAGCAGTTTTCAACACAGATTTGAAACATCTGAATCCATAAGTCTTCAGTCCAACATGCATTTAAAATTGTTCCAGTTAAGCTTTAAACCACCCCCATCTTCCTTTGTAAAATTATTAGAAACTAAGCCTGTTTCGTAAAAGACCTGCCATAAAAATACATGTGTAATATGTATTACACATGATTTCCCCATAATTAGAGCAACCACGACAAACCTGTTCCTTTGACACAAACCTCAAAATTATACATAATGGTAATAAGTCAAATGGGTTGATTGATGAGATCCTGCAAGGCAGAATCCCTGGGGAGTAACACACACACACACACACACACACACACACACACACACACAAGCTTTCTCTATTATTCCCACTGCCTGATTGCTGGAGGCAGGGCTAGTGAGAAGCTATGTTTTTCTCCACCCCATGGTGTCTTGGTTATTAAGTATACCTTGACCACTGTCAAGCCTTCTTCTAACATTGAAACTCTGGTACTAGTATTAAATAATATTGGTTAGTGTCTTCTGAGTACTTACTGTGTGCTAGGCACTGTGCTAAGCATATATTTAGTATTATTAATAATAACCCTAAGTGCCAGGTACTATTTTTATCTCTGATTTGCAAAAAGACCTGGAGCTCAGAGGGGTCAAATAACTTGCCCAAAGTCATGTGGATTAGTGGTAAAGCCGGGATTGAAACTAAGATCTGTCTAGATTCAAAGTGCAAGCCTTTAACCATTACTCCATTGGTTCTCAAATTTTTCTGTACATTAGAACTGATGAATTTTTAAAAATAATTATGCCAGGTCACACTCCAGAAAATTAAATCAGAATGTCTGGAATAGAAGCAACCTTCAGTATTGTTTAAAAGATTCCCAGGTGATTTCAACGTACAGTTCATTTGGGAACCATTGCACTCTTGTGTGGCCTTTTGATTAGAACTCTGACTTACCTTGGTGCCTTCCATTGCCAACCTTCATTCACAATGCTTTGCCTATTCCATATCCGAGGTTCTAAGTACACTCTGCCCCCTTGAATCCCCTCATCTTGAATCCAGCTTCCCAGAAAATTGGTTAGATTTTCTGGATTACCCGGGAGAGTCATCTACACCAGGCTGTAGGCTAGTAAAGGCTCACTATCTTTGCCTTCTAATGATTCAGACAGAGGCCTTTGATGCTTCAGCTACAAACAGAACAATATGGGAATGCAGACATTTGGGGCCCTTGAAGCTTTTCTGAAGCCAATTTTGCAGCCAACTTAGCAACAGCCTACGTGAATAGACGTTGAGACCCATTTGTGAGTAAAGACTATTAAAAGTTAGAAAATATAAACAGGGTGGGAAAAATACTGGCTTTGATAAATAAAGACTTTAGCAATGACTTGGAAAGACTCTCAGTGTGAATTGCAGATTTGTTATGCTTTCAAGTTGGCAGAAGAAACTGCAGATAAGGGAAATAAGGCTCAGAGACTAGAAAAACCAAGGCACACAGCTTATCGGGGTGACGGTAAGATGAGTCTATCCTGAAGGATGTGGCTATGGTGAGGGCAGATGGGTTAATCCATGGCAAAGTTATTTGCACAGCACCCGCTCTATGCATATTTATCTATAGATAGTCAACCAATTTCTTTTTCCCTGTTCAACATGTTCAGAGATGTCGCAAAACTTGAGCGGGGGTGGGGCGGGGAGCGCAGATGAGTAACTAATGGGCACAAAAGTTGGTAGACCAGGAAAGAAAAATAGTAATGGAGGAGAGCTTATAAAATTCAGTAACCAAAAAGCAGACAATCGAAGTAGATATGTATGGCCCAAAATAAGTTGACTATATGGAAGAAATGGAATTTAGCTTCTGCTCTATGCAAATCCAAATCTAAGGCCAAAGCCAACTGGGAAACATGCAGAACCCGAAAGTATTTTGGCTGTCCTTGTCTCTTTCTCACCTCCACCAGAAACAGTTGAATTTATTAGCTTGTTAACAGTGGCTCAGAGAAACTCTATATATCTTGAAATTTTCCAGGACAATGCTGGCAATCATCCATTCACAATTACCCCTATAAGCAAGGAAGCTGTATCTCTCTGAGTTTGCACTCCAGTTTTCCTAGCCCCAATTAGTAACCATACATCCCTTTTTAAATTTTTCAGAACACCATTGATATTTCTTTCTTTCAAATTTAAACAATGATAAAGTCTTAGGGAAATTGTGTTTGCCTCCCAAGAACTGAATTTCCCTAGGTTGGTGATGGGAGAAGAAAACTACTCCCTTAAGCAGCAGACATTGGGTGATAGGAAGAGCAACCACGGGCAGTAGGGAGAGTCAGGACTCACTGTAACAGAGAGTCCAGAAATCCTTCTTTGAGGCCAAGGCTGGGAAAGTGCATCTGATACAGATGTTGGGTTTATATCTGTTCTTCTCAAGTAGACTTCAGGCCTGCCATGTGCCAAAGAGACAAAGCTGCAGAGAAATGCTCCGTAGGTTACAGAGTAGCTCTTTCCAAGGTCCTAATCCAGTGTGTTCCTCAGGGAAGCATTAATTCTACATCATTCCCTTCAGCTATCTCTCCACAGAATAGTCACTATCGGCTTCAAATATGGCCAGTTTCTATAGAGCAGAATGAAGAAATGTTCATAATAAACATATGAAGTATGTCTCTCAAGTTTCGATGCAAAAATAGTAAATTAACCAATATTTTGGACAATAAATCTGCTTATTCTGAAATAAGTAAAAATTTCAGTAGAAAGTATATTTATGCATCCTGAAAACATGACATCAACATGCATTAGTTATATATTGCTGTATAACACATTATCCAGAAACATAGTAAATTAAAATAACAAATACTATCATCGCCGTGAAAGCAAATTAAATCTTGGGACCCCAAACTGGTGAAGCCAAAGGGAAAAGTTAAGCTGGGAACTGGGTCATGCAAACCTGCCTCCCACTTTTTTTGCTTCCTAAATAAGATGGCTACAAGATGAAAAAAGCTATACACCTCCCCAGATTTTGTCCACAAGGAAATTCCTAGTGAGCTCCCAGATCTTTACCCCAAAGTGTTTCTGTTAAAATTTCACCATGGCATTTCATATTTCACATTGGGTGAATTTTACATTTCACCCAATGTAAACTGATAGCTTATCTTTACAAGTGCAGTCACCCCCCGGGCCCACTTGACACAAATGCATATCTGATTGTTCCCCTGTCCTATTTTGTCTGTGTTATCTTATGTAAAAATGCAGATTCCCTGCATTTCTCCTCTGCCCCATTTGTCTATGTCATCTTATGTAAAAAAAATGCAGATTCACTGAGCCAGACAATGGCATGAATGCATATTTTTCCTCAAACCTCTCTTACATGAAAATTGTGTACTTCTCAATATCCCGCCCTTTCCCCTTTAAATGTGGAGCCCTCAAAATCATCTTCAGAGAAAGGCATAGACCTGTCTCTTGGATGTGCTTCCTTAACTTTGGCAAATAAACCTCCTAAAATGAATGAGACTTGTCTCATGATTTTTCTTTATTGACATTGCACAGTTTCTAAGGCTTAAGAATTCAGGCACGGCTCATGTGAGTCTCTCTCTCTGAGTCTCTTGCCTGCCTTCAATCATCTCATCCCTTGACTGGGGAAGGATCTGTGACCAAGCTCTCTCACATGGTTGTTGGCAGGCTTTGTGTTCTTGGTATCTGTTGGCTAGAGACAGTTTCTTGCCACATGGACCTCTCCATGGAGCCACTCATGGCCTCTTTCCCCCAGAGCAAGAGCAACAGGAGAGAGAGGGAGGAAGCAGCAAAGCAGAAGTCATGGTCTTTTTTTTTGTTGTTTCTTTTTTGGTTTTTTTTTTTCAGACAGAGTCTCTCTCTGTTGCCAGGCTGGAGTGCAGTGGGGTGATCTCTGCTCACTGCAAGCTCTGCCTCCCCTGTTCAAGGGATTCTCCTGCCTCAGCCTCCCAAGTAGCTGGGATTACAGGCACCCACCACCACGCCCAGCTAATTTTTGTGTTTTTAGTAGAGACGGTGTTTCAGCATGTTGGCCAGGACGGTCTCGATCTCCTGACCTCGTGATCCACCCGCCTTGGCCTCCCAAAGTCCTGGGATTACAGGCATGATCCACCGCGCCCGGCCAAAGTCATGGTTTTTTGTAACCTAATCTCAGAAGTGACAGTCTATTTTTTTTTTCCTATTCTATTCATGAGAAGCCAGTAAACCCAGCCCACACTCAAAGGGAGAGGATTACATAAGGCCATGAATACTAACAGGCAGATTTCTCTGGGGGGTACCTTACAGGCGGACGGGCATCCACATAATTCCTTCTCACCCTGTTAAAGAACACTGAGACCAACATCCTTGCCTGACCCCAAGTTAAACAATTCTGGGGAGGGGCATACTTTCCCTACATTAAACAATACCAAGAAAAAACAAAAAATAACTTAGAGGCTTGCTCCTGGAAGATAAGAGCATAAACTAAGACCGCTTACTTAGCAAGACTAACATCTTGCTCACTGTGGCTGCTTTCCCACTTTTCACCTCACAGCATCCACCAGCCCAGACCTCCTCTGTCATGGACTCCGCCCCATCACAGCCAGTGTCCTCTTTAGCAAGACTCACCCTAAAATTGCACAGCCCACACTCTAAACACCTATACATATCCTCATCTAATTTCTTATTTTCATATGCTACCAAGACTTTGGTAAGGTGTGTTCTCTGTTACTGCAGTAGGTTTAACAAATTTAGTTTTGCATAACCAATAGGTGTTTCAGCGGGTCTTTTGGGTTGACATTCTTGTGTAAGAAGGATTGTTTGAGTTTTCCATTACTAACGAAATCTTGACCCACTGTCCCTATAGAAGGATATATTATTTTAGTCCAACTGGTCCAATATACAAGTAAAATAAAATAGATAAATAAAATTATAAGGAACCTATTTGAGAGAATGAACTGTGGCTTGCTACACATTCAACTGTTGTGTTAAATAATCTTATTTAAAAGTATACATTGAGTGAGATTTATGGGCAGCAAAGCATCCAAGTTAATGCCTATAGTTGCTTCACATCATTCTGCTATTTCTTACTTGCTTGTTGGTGATGGCACTTTTGCCACACTTCCCTCCTATCCCCAAGAAAAAAGGAAGTTGTAGAATTGCTAAACCCTCTTTTTCCTACACAGACAAAAGCTTCCCTAGATTCACCACTCACAAGATAATATTCTCTCACATCTCAAAATGTTACCTTGGTGTTTTAATGTTTTAAAGCTATTCTTTGATATATTTAGAATCCTTCTTGACTTTTTTATTTTTTGATGAAAAATAAAGCATTGAGATCTCCTTTCCATCTCCAGTGTCAAAAGCAAACACCACTGTGATTCACAGCAAATCTCTACGGTGCTTAATTAAAATGAAAATATTTCGTGGGGTAGAGTTTCTTGTTGTCATTTTAGCTTATAAAAATTAGTGGTGTTACTCATGTGAAAATTGTAGTTGATACTCAGAATTTTAACGTGATTGGGATATCCAAAACATAAAATAATCTGACTTCCTTAGAATTGTTTCTTATTTTTAAGATTTGTTTCAGAAGATGCATCTTTACTTAATAGCAGGTTTTATTCTACCTAATCTCTATCCTCACTCCAAGCTGCAGTGTTCAGTGATAATGATGGAGAAAATATTTTTAATATGTAAGAAATACTTGCATGCACTACTTATATTCTAATAATGATTAATGCTGCTAATTTGATGCTCAATTGAATTTATGAATTTTAAAATTTGGTTATTATTTAAACAGTCACATAGGCCACCATTGTAAAACAGCACCCATACAATTACTCATGGGAAATGGAGAAATGTTTGTCCATAGATGATCAAGCATTCAAAAGAAAAAACAGGGGCATGGTGACATGCACCTGTAGTCCTAGCTACTCCAGAGGCAGAGGTGGGAGAATCGCCGGAGCCCAGGAGTTAGAGGCTGCAATGAGCTATGATCATACCACTGCACTCCAGCCTCAGTAACTGAGTGAGACCCTGTCTCAAAAAACGAAAAAGAAAAGAAAAGCATACATATCCCAATGTTTTAACTTTGAAAACGCATGTAGGCAAATCGTAACCTGGTTATTGATCTCAAAGTGGGAACTTTTGATTGAATAAGCATATGAAAAAGAAGGGTTTCACTATGTTAGTACCAAGTAAGACCTTCCTAAAATAATTTCTCCCTCATTTTAGATCAAAACCATGTTCTTATAGCTCAAAATACAAATCCATTGAGACTTTGGGACCCAGCCAACCCTTTGAATAAAAAATCATTATGTTTTTTTGAGTCCTAGGGTATTTTAGTCCTTGCATTCTAATGAGTAATTAGTACCACTACCAACCCATTAATCACACATATGGCTGCTTTAATAAGTAATTTTTCTGTGAATATAGCTTAAAGATTATGATGGAAATGAAAATGACTCTGCTTTATCAGCTTATTGATATTCTTGATGAATTAATTCTAACCCCATGTTTTCATGTATTTGGAATTGGTTTCACAAAATAAATTATGTCATTTTTCATAAATGTTTCTACACTTGCTAATGTTCAATATTCAACCTGATCAAGCATTACAATGTGAAATATTAAGAGCCAGTAAAAAGTCTGATGTCAACATGTAATGAGATAAATTATTTTAAACATATTAATCTTTATTTTCACAGGAAATGATTACTTGTGGACTTACAAATATGCCTCTAGATGGTGTGTTAGAGGGATATTAAATGTCTACATGTATATAATTCCTTCAGCTATAGAACTCCTTGCCCACCAGTTTTCAGTTATCTTGGCTTTCAGCTGAGGAATTTGAAAGTCAAAAGAACAGAATCAAGTTTTCAGCTTTATTCCTTTTAGGACTCAGAATCTAAAGGACAAAAACTCCTCTTTTCTCAATGACCTAATACATTTATCTGCATCATCACCAGCACCAGCACCACCCAGAGGAGGGAAAACTGGTTTTAGCAGTGGGCAACATTCCATCAAAATTCTTTCCAGTGCCAGCTTCCCAAAGGTATTTATCTGTCCACATCATAATTCTGAATCTAAAACACTAATTTTTCAATCTATTGATTTTTTAAAAAATTTTAGTTGACAAAAAATTGCATATATTTATTGTGTACAATATGATGCTTGAAATATGTATACATTCTGGAATGGCTAAATTGAGCTAATTAACACATGCAACCCCTCACACACTTATCATTCTTTGTGGTGAGAACACTTAAAATCTATTCTTTTAGTGAGTACAATAGATCACTTGAATTCATTCCTCCTGTCTAACTGAAATTTTGTGACCTTTGACCAACATCTTCCCACCCAACCTCCTGACCCCTGGTAACTACTATTTTACTCTCTCCTTCTATGAGGTCAACTGTTTGGATTCCACACATGAGTGAGATTATGCAGTATTTGTCTTTCTGTGCTTGGCTAATTTTACTTAACATGATGTCCTCCAAGTTCATCGCTGTTGTCACCAATGACAGGATTTCCCTCCCTTTTTAAGGCTGAATAGTATTCCATTTTGTACATGTTTTCTTTATCCATTCATCTATTGATGAACACTTGGATGATTCCATATCTCAGCTATTATGAATAGTGCTGCAGTGAACATGTGAATACAGATATCTCTTCGACAGACTGATTTCATTTCCTTTGGATATATACCAAGTAGGAGATTGCTGGATCATCTGGTAGATCTATTTTTAATTATTTGAGGAACCTCCATACTCTTTTTCCATAATGGCTGTACTAATTTATAATTTTAAAATTCAGGTTGGATGTGGTGGCTCACACCTATAATCCCAGCACTTTGGGAAGCCGAGGCAGATGGATCACCTGAAGCCAGGAGTTTGAGACCAGCCTGGCCAACATGGTGGAACCCCGTCTCTACTAAAAATACAAAAATTAACCTGGTGTAGTGGTGCATGCCTGCAGTCCCAGCTACTCAGGAGGCTCAGGCAGGAGAATTGCTTGAACCCAGGAGGCAGAGGTTGTGGTGAGCCAGGATCACACCACTGCACTCCAGCCTGGGCAAAAAAGCGAGACTCCATCTCAAGAAAAAAAATTCATTTTCAAAAAATTCAAAGTACTAAAACCTCAATAAAAAAATTTAGACCATCAAAACAGTGCATGAAATAAACAGTAAAATCTTACCTGGCACATCCAGCTCCCCACTCCCATGGAGGTAGTCCTTGTTTATTGTTAAAACTTTCAGACATTTTTAAAAATCCATTTTCAAATTTTATATGCATACATATATATATGCATACATATATATGTTAATTTCAGCATTCTTTTTTAGTACTAGCAAAAGATCAGAGAAAATTGTAATACCCATTACCAAGAGACTAGCAAATGTTGCATCCATATAAAAGAATTTTCTGGGGCCATAAGAAACAAGTCAGGAAATAGATACGGCAAGGTCTGAAAGTTATACTGTCAAATGAAAAAAAAAGCAAGGACCAGAACACTGTATATTATATGAATCCATTTTTATAAAAAATGCATGAAATATCACTAAAAGAATGTTTTTTAAAACCTCAAAACCTAATACCCTCCAGGGAAAAGAATGAAATGACTGGGGTAGAGGTGAGAGGGAGTCATCACAGATAACCTTTTGCACATTTTTCACTTCAATAAGTAAATAAAATATATAATAAAATTAACTTTTCAAGTATGTAAACAAATTTAATTTTAAAAGCACTTTTTAAGTTGTACCTTGTGACTTTTTTATGTTAAGTATTAAGACACTTGACAATGTGTCTCATACATTTTTTGTTCTTCAGTACATAGGGGGCTACTGAATTCCTTTTCAAAGCAGCATATTATTTCAACATAGGTAAGCCAAAGTTTATTTTAAAAGTCTTCTATTTATATACTAAATCGCTGAGTGAGGGACCAGTCAATAAGCTCTCCATGGCTTAATTTAATTAAGCTCTTTTCATTTACTATTAACTCCTCCTTTGGTTTACTAGTATATAATAAATATAAACTAACAAAAATGTTCGACCTTACTAATAGTTAAGCAAACAAAAATTAAAATAACAATGAGAAAAAGCCCATTACTTGTAAAGGTATGAATGAAAGAGCATCATAATATACTACTAGTTAGAGATAAAATGTTACAGTTTGAAGGGCCTTTGGTAATCTGATTGAAAACATTAAAATGTACATTTTTTTCCATAAATTCCATGTCTGTTAGTTACTCTTAGCTAAGCAATTGGACATATTAGCCAAAATAAATGTGCAGCTTTTTATTACAACTTTTTTTTTTATTTTTTTTTATGAGACATAGTCTTGCTCTTGTCATCCAGGCTGCAATGCAATGGTGCACTCTCGGCTCACTGCAACCTCGTAAGTAAAAAACTTTGATATTTTGGAAACAATCAAAATATTTAACAATAATAAATAATCAGTGAATTTATTATGGTACATCCATACGATAAAATACTATGAAGTCATTGAAAACAAAGCTGCAGAGCATTATTTATTGAAATTTTAAAAAGAAAAAGGTTAAAAAACAGAATATAAATCATGATCTCATTTTGGTAAAACAATACATTTGCATTAAAAACTCTGTAAGAAGATAAATACTAAAACATTAATAGCAATCACTGTCAAAAAGTGGAAAATGAGGCCAGGCATGTAATCCCAACACTTTGGGAGGCTGACGCGAGAGTATCACTTGAGCCCAGGAGTTTGAGGTTGCAGGGAGCTAAGAAGATGCCACTGCACTCCTGCCTAGGCGACAGAGCAAGACCCGGTTTCTAAACAACAACAACAACAAATTGGAATCCTGGGTAATCTTTTATCCCATTCTTAATATGTATTCTATATTTTTTTCTGAAATTAACATGAGTTACTTCTATAATAAAGAAACAATACAAGCTTTTGTAACTAGTTAGTAGTCTCTTAAACTCTATCTAACATAAGATGAAATATATCAAGGGCTAAAGGATAAGAGTAATGGGTTTAACCATTGTCTCCTTTTGCATCTAAACATCAAATAATATTTAAAACTTGCAATTATTTGTGTGTATAGTGCCCTTGGTTGAAAAACATTGTTTAAAAGTAAAGTCAGCGTTGAGTAGACAAAGAATGAATCCGACTTTAACTAAGGATTAGATTCAGTAGTCTTTACAATCCACCTTGATATATCTACAAGATCACATATTCTCCTGAAAGATCCATAATTGATCTTACAAAAGTAAAAAGCAACTCTTAAAACTTCATACCAGATATGTACAACTAGTACTATACTGACCATGCAAACAAAGTTTGACAAGGGAAAAAATGTCTGAATGAGTAAACTAAACATAAGAAGCATGTGGGGAATGCTGAATGAAGAACTGTGCATGTGAAAGTTGTCCCCTAAGTTGCTATTATGCCGTTTTTCTTTGTAAATACTCTTTGAAGCTCCGCGAAGTCTTTAAGGAACTCCCTGTACTCTGATCTCATCTCAAGGGAGCTCAGAACAGAGCATTTATCACACCATGTTTATTGCTTGTTTACACACATTTCACCCCATGGAGTGGATATGGAGTTTGTGAAGAGACCTTGTGACGTGGTTTTGTGCTAAACATTGTATGAGGGTTTTGCTGTCCAGTTGCTCTGTTTTTATGTGTGGATTTAGAGAGATTGACAAACTATGCTCCCCAGCTGCAATCTTCCTTTCACAGTATATTTTCGAGTGAAAAGAGTAACTTACAAACAGTATAGACAATGGGATCAGAGGGTTACCAATGTCATTAAAGAGTATAGATAACCTATATCCAAGTATCTCTTGCTATCCAAATCAGTTCTCAGTTATTGGGAGTTTGCACAGCAAGTTCAGATAACAAAGGACTCTGTGTTTTCCCAAATCTATTTAGTTCCTGATTTCAGATAGTAAGTAGCAGCAGTTTGGACAGTGAAGGAATTATCAGAAAGTATATCCAAATCTATTCATCTCCTGAGTACAAATAGAGACATTCAAATTTTAATTGAACATTGAATGTTATTTCTGAATTGTAAACACTCAAGGTGAAGTTTAAAGACATCAGGTGATTTTTGCTTTCTTCTCTATTCCCTTCTGCAGTCTAGTAATTTTCTAAGTCAAACTCGAATGTTTCATTTTGTTTTAAGAAAAGAATTTGAGTAGTAACTAACATTTCAACATTTCTTTTCAGGAAATAATGATCTAAATCTGTACCAATGTGAATTGTCTTACAGACCTTTGGACTGTTTTTCATTCAGTATAAAAGCATCAAACAGCGAGAGGTGCCTTCTTAATCAAAATAATCTTTACAATCATCTGAATAAGAAATAGTTCAAGAAATGTGTTTTCTAACAGCCCCCAAACCATTCTGCACAATGCTAAATAAAATTCATCATCTTCTTCACTTACTATATTAAACCAATAAATTTTTGAAGGAAAAAAATCTGTAATAAAATAGGAAGTAAGATCATTTTTCTTGCAATGACTATTTTTTTAATCAGGTCACTGTGAATTCAATAAAACCAATTTATTTTTTCTCTGTCTGCCTTGTTGAAATCAATTCTTCCACAGCAAAAGCAATAGATGAAACAAATTTAAATGTCTGAAGTAAAATCAATATAATTTATTCCCGAATTCACTCCCATTTTCTTGAAATGATGTACTAAGGTCTTTGGATAATCCCTGCACATCCACTGATGTGTGTGTAAACATGAAAATTTATCCTAAATATAGCGATGTAAGTACAGTAGCAACAGCAAAACCAAGGAGGCATTTATTGTTTATAGTGTGCAGGGTATTATGACAGGTGGCACAAATGCAAATGTCTGGGATATGAATATATAAGATATGAATCTTATGTTCCAAAACCTGCCACTCATATGTAGGTCAGAATGAGCTTTCCCACAAAAAATATATCACTTGGGGCTTGGGGCAGATCACTACATAATAACAGTAATAACCCCTAATGAATCCTGTTCCTGGCCCCATGATCCATTGCCACCACTCTCAAGAGGCCAAATGTATTTCTCTACTTGCTTGAATTTGGTCTGGCCTTATGGCTTCCCTTGACCAACAGAAGCTGGAAGAAGTGACTTTGTGTATGTCCCAAAGCTTAGGCCTTCTTAAGATGCTGGCAACTTCTGCTCTCTTGTTGTCCAGGCTGGAGTGCAATGTCGCAGTCTTGGCTCACGGCAACCTCCGCCTCCCGGGTTCCAGCGATTCTCCTGCCTCAGCCTCCCAAGTAGCTGGGATTACAGGCATGCGCCACCACGCACGGCTAATTTTATATTTTTAGTAGAGACAGGGTTTCTCCATGTTGGTCAGGCTAGTCTCGAACTCCTGACCTCAGGTGATCCGCCTGCCTCGGCCTCCCAAATTTCTGGGAATACAGGCATAAGCCACCACACCCTGCCAGCTCTCATGTTCTTAAACCCTGAGACCACCATGTCTGAAGAAGCCTAGCATGAAATAATATGTAGATAGAGAAGCCAGGCACCCTAATTGTCCCAGCTAAGCCCACCCAGGCCAGAAAGCAGAACTGCCTGCCACCCAGGAAATCCAGAAAAAGTATAAATAGTTTTTGTTTTTAGCTACTTACTTTGTGGGTAGTGTGTTATGCAGCACTAAGTAAAGCACACTGTTTCTGTCATTTATTCACCCACAACTATTCATTCAATGCCAACCTTGTGCCCATCAATTGGCACTGGAAAAACAGAGGTGAACATTGACAAAGGTCCCTTCTCCCACAAAGTTTACATTCTCACATCTGAGGGCAGAGAGGGGCAAGACTGACAATTAGAAAACAGACAAATAAATAATAATTTCACGCAAAAAGAGGTGAATACTGTGATAAAAACAAAACAAGATAAAGGAACAGAGGGTGACTGAGGTGGGCAGGGAGGGAGAAGATGATTAAAGAAGGCTTTACTAGTTTGGTGACATTTAATCAGAAGAAGATATGACAGCCAGGCAAATATGTGAGGGAACAGCATTCGATCGAGAGATACAAAGGCCATGAGGTGGCATCAGGCTTCTACGCATGGGGGCAGGAAGGACTCGAGCAGGAGGACAATGAACTAGGGGTGCATGACTGAAGAGGAGGTCCAAGCAGCAGGTGCTGGAAAGAGCTTACAGGACTTTGCACACCATAGTAAGAAGGTCTTTTATATTTCATGTAGTGAGGATTTTCTTCACTCCTAACATGTAGTTATCCAGAGACACAAAAGTACATTATTATAAATGATTCAAACAACAGTAATAAACTCTCTCCCCCCAACCCCCACTCCACTCAGGCCGACTTTCTGTAATGGCCATTTAGTCCCTCCATTTAAAAATAAAATCGGCGTCATGGTGAGTTTTCAAAGGTGCCTGTTGCATGGATCACATTTGATGAGCAAAAAATCCCTGCTGAGAGCAACCTGTCTTCAAAGTAGCTTATTTTTACCCCAGAAATCCCTGACACGGGAGGGAAATGTAATTTGAATTTGGGTCCAATGACTAGGAGCTTAGAAAGCAGGTATTGTGAAGATAGCTCCACAACTGAAGAAGCTGCCCCTCGTCAGAAGCCCAGAGGGAAAGTTTCGCCAAGAACCGAAGCCTTTTCACTGCTCCTCACACCGCGTAGTTGAAACAGCAGTTGATTTTACAGCTAATAAGGCATTAAACTGAATCTCTTAAGCTTTTCATATGGAAAGTAATTGTAAATTGAATTTGCTAAAACAATAACTTAAAGAGGCAAGACTTGAATGTTATCGGAGCAAATCAAATGATGATGCGGAATTCAAAGAGCCACTGAAACAAGTGTCTTCAAGTACTTTATCGATCTGCCAGAAGCAGCCGCTGTCTACGCCGAGCTTTGCTTGGCAAGTGGAATTATCGCACATTGATTATTCATCATGGAGTCAGCCTGTAAGTCTCTAGCTCCAGGTGGGCTGGTCATGCATGTTTCAACACTGACTCTTAGTAAAGATAAGGCCACCTTGGAAGAAGTAGAGAGATAGCATCTGGTCTGGGCTCAGAGACGGGAGTTGGTCCATTTTCAGAAGGGAATGGGGACTGAAGGAAGCAGAACATTTTAAAGTTAGCTCTTTAAAAAACGCATTTATAAAGGCGCTGATTGTACTGTTCACTAGGGCTGCTATAACAAAGTGCCACATGGTCGGGGGTGGAGGGAGCCCGAAAAACAGAAATTGGCCAGGGGCAGTGTAATCCCAGCACTTTGGGAGGCTGAGGAGGGCAGGTCACTTGAGCTCAAGAGTTCAAGACCTGCCTAGGCAACATGTTAAAACCCTGTCTCTACAAAAAAAATAAATAAATAAGGAAATTTATTTTCTGATCATTCTGCAGGCTACAAGTCCAAAATACACGTGTACTGCAAGGGTTGATTCCTTCTGAAGACTTCGAGGGAGGACTCTGTTCCGTCCCTCTCTCCTGGCTTCTGCGGGTTTGCCTTGGTATTCCTTGGCCTGTGGTAGCATCACCCCAATATCTGTCTTTGTGTCCACATGGCATTCATCCTGTGTGTGTCTCTGGATCCGAACTTCTTTTTATAAGGACATAAGTTAGAACTCCTTCTAATGTCCTATTTTAACTTGATTACCTCTACAAGGTAATTACATTCTGAGGTACTGGGGGTTAGGACTTCAACCTATAAATCTTGGAGGGATATAATTCAACCCAGAGAAGTGACATTAACCAGTGACATAAAAAAAAAGGGCACAGAATAACTCAGTAATTGTCAACGTTGGGTGGAGCTCACAATATCCTGGGGAGCTTTAAAAATTAGCTATGCCTGGGTCTCACCTTCACTGATGTTGATTTAATTGGTCTGGGTTAAGCCCCAGGTATTGGTATTTTTAAGAGGCACCTTAGGTGGTTCTAATGTGCAGCCAGGACTGACAATCACTCATTAAATGCCTCATAAAGCCTGCTGTCATTCAGAGAGGGAACTATAAAATATATCAATTATTTTAAGCATTATGTTAAGTCCTGGAACTACATTAGTGATCAACGCAGATAAAGAAAATGCAGATACAGTTTGGATCCAGAGACATACTCTGGGTGAACAACATGTGAACATGAAGACAGGGATTGGCGTGATGCTTCCACAGGCCAAGAAGCTGTATCTGCACTGATCACATAATGTCTGGCCTGAGGTAGCAGCCCCATAAATATTGATAAGAGAATGAAAGAATGCATATATGAATAAATTCAAGTCAACACAAATTCATTGTCTACTATATGTTAAGCATTACATTAAGCACTGGAGAAATGTAAGTAATTTTTTAGTAAATGAATGTGTGAATGAATGGATGAATAAATGAGATCATAATCAACATTACCTTCTGGTCTACTGATAATTTCTGGTGAGGTGTTACAACATGGGATTCAGCATTTTCAACATGCTAGAAGAAATCCATTCTAGCAAAAATATTTTTAAATCAACTAAATAGCCTGACTTCTACCTAGGAATTTTTTAAAATTGTAATGACTCATATAATTAAGACCTTAGGACCATCCTTTTTTACAACTGAGCACAAAGAAGCTTACATAATAGACCATGAACCATTTGTAGACACGTTTCAGTATCCCTACAGAATGTCCAAGAGGTATCACTAATGTGTAGGACAGAAAGATAGACAGTCCCAATATAAAAAATCATAGTCATAAAAAATGCTTGCATTCAAAATAATACTATTCAGATACCACTGCCAAGAGAATTATCCAACCTAAGATGCAAATGTGAGGATTTATTCTTCACAGAATTAGTCAAACAGAAGTTGAATAGCATATAAGGTGAGCAGTGCCGAATTTGATCAGTTTTGATAACTGGACTAGATGATTTTAGTCTTGTGAAAAGGCTTCTTTTGTCTTTTTGATTATTTGTTTTGTATTATTAATAGCTGTAGAGGATTACGGGAAACTTCATTCACTTGTTTCTTTATACATCCATTCAACAAGGTCAGTTACTAGCACATACTATGTCCCTATGGAAATTGCATAAAGGGGCCCTTCTGGGTAAAGAAATTACAAAACAGGTGCCCCTCCTTAGGGTTAAGAGAGGTGCCCCTCCTTAGGGTTGTATCGTGACCAAGATACATATGGTCATGAGCTGGATTTTAGTGCCCTTTCCCTTGGCTAGATGTCTTTGTGCAAGATGCTAACCAACATACACAGCAGCCCAGTATCCAGCAAACATCTATAAAACGCCTACTTTGTGCCAGTCCTGTGCCGGGTCCCAGAAATACAAAAGTGAATGAGATTAGGTTCTGTCTCTCATGGAGTTCACAGTCCACTTGGGCAGACACAAACCACATGAACAAATGTAGGATAATGTGAACAGCGAAGGGACAAGTAACCTGTAGACAGCACCCAAGGCCTCATAGAGGAGGGAATGTTAGAAATGGGTCTTGGAGGAGAATGAGTAAGACTTTATTACACAGCAAAAATAAGCACAGCAGAGAGTGATGGTCAGTGTCAAAGTGTGATCACGGTAAAAGGTCATCAGAGGAAGTAAAAGTCCTACAAAGCCAGAAATCAGAATGAGTGGAAAGGGAATAGCTGGAAAATTAGTCTGGAAATGTACATTGGCACTACACTGCTCAGATTAGCTGGATAAAAGAAAAAATGGTTCATTTAAGATGGAGGAAAGGATTCAGGCAACGAAGGTGATGTTAGGAAGCAAGGAGACAAGCAAACCAGCACTGGGAAAAAGATCCACTGATTGTTTATCCCTGAAAACAGAAAATATCCAGTGTAATTTGGCATCTGTTCTTCATTGCACATTATCTTCATGGATCATTTCTGTAAATTACTTGGCTTATCAGATGAATTCACTTCAAATTTCTCATGTTGTATTTCACTTAAACTCTGTTTTCATTTCGAAGAAACTGAAGCCTGGCATGGTGGCCATACCGGTAATCCCAGCACTTTGAGAGGCCAAAGTGCCGGAGGCCAGGAGTTAGAGACCAGTTTGGCCGCAAAGCAAGACACCTGGCTCTACAAAAAAATAAAAATAAAAAAAAATAGCCAAGCATGTGCCTGTAGTCCAAGCTACTCGGGAGGCTGAAGTGAGGGATCATTTGTGCCCAGGAGTTGGAGGTTGCAGTGAGCTATAAACACACCAGTGCACTCCAGCCTAGGTGAAAGAGTGAGACCCCGTCTCTAAAAGAAAGGAAAAGAAAAAAAAAAGAAACTGAAGCATCAACCCAGATTGGCCAGGCCATTTTGGTTTTGATCTTTAAAATACAGGATAATTTTCCAATATTCTCTAATTTGCAAACAAAGAAACTAGAACATGTGCCTTCTTCTACTGGCATCGCTGATGAGGGAAAGACGCTATTAATTGGGAGGATGTGCACTGCTATGCCCTGAAGCCAGCAAATATTTTCCAGCGAAACTGGCATATGCCCTTCTGAGTCTTTAGTTTATGACCATCTTTTTTTTCTTCCCCATTTGACCTCCACACAGAAGTAAGAGGCTGTAATAATTAACAAACCCAGTTTATGGCCAGTACTGATTTGATAGTAAGTGGTGTCATAACAATATGTGACTGCCAAGTTTCTGTTAAATTTCAAATTTGATTGCTTTTTGGTAAGGCTGTCGGTCTCTGTTTTCTTTTTTCAATTGCTTATATTTTCTGAGCGCCTTGAGGCTCTGTAAAGTTCCTACTCAGCTAAAATAACATGGAATCTAATGTGAAAAATCCAGTGGAGTTTAACTATAAATTATTCCGTGTTATAGTCAAAGGCTAGAGGTTTTCATTGATCACATCAGCAACGGTGAGCTCTAATTGCATTAGGTTACTTGATAATGTTCTAACATACAACTTTTGCAGAGTATTGTTTGAAAGACAATTCTTTGAAATAAATGGAAGCATCAGACACTGCACCTTAAAGGAAACTGTCAGATCTGAAATCAGTTACCGAAATACATACGGCAAAATTAAATGCCTTGTCAGACTATATAATTGACATATATTGCTGCAACTGTGTGAACCGGGAAACTTTGAGCGATGATCACTTTTTTCCGTAATCTTGACTTGCTATCTGAAAATATTTTTTATACCATCTTTTGTGAACTCTGAACGTAAACTAAACAGGGTATCATTCACCTTTGCATCTCCAGCATTTGGCCTTCGTCCAGTATATATGAGGTATTCAAAAAATGAATAAATAGATGAATAATAATAACTTTTCCGTATATACCAAACTCTATACAAAATGTTTTATGTGCACTTCTTATTAATTCTTTGCAATAACACCATGAAGTCATTACCCATTGTTAATTTTACAGATGAGAAACTGAGGCTCAGAAAATTCATGTAACTAGCAAAGGGCAAAGCAGAGGTTTTGGCAGTTATAAGTTACCCATTCTTAACTGCTATGTTATAGTTGGTGAGTGCATAAAAATTTTAAGCATATAGTGATTGGCATGTATAAATATTCATTTGTACAGTGCGACCACAGTGCCAACATGGCAATGGGACACACACCCTACAACCCACAGGTTATGATGAGACGCTGCCAGTGGAAGCACTGTTACTGAACAAGAGGTTTAGGTTAAAATCATTCTACGTGGTTGCCATAATTTATGAAATCATCAGGATATTCTCTAATTCTAAATAGTCTCATCCACTTTTCCTATTGAAGGCACGAGGCAGTCATCTGTCACAGGCAAGTAGCCATCATGTGAAATTATGGATTTTTTCCAATATAGCCTTATATTAAATAAGCAAAACTTGGAAAAACATTATTTTGAATCAAATTTTTTTTCAGACAATAGGCAGATAGCTAAGACAGGTTTAAATTATATTCAATTACAAAAATATAACTGACTCAATTATTCTTTCTTAGGTATCAAACTCCTGAAGGGCAAGAATTTGAACTGTGTAGTAACAAGTTCTGCATATCCGGTAATTAGGGAACTCTTTTTAGATACACATATATATAGGTATAATAACAACATAGAATTATAACAAATCCTGAGACTACTTTCTAAAAACAGAAAAAAAGAACTCTGAGTTATTGATAATTTTTTGTCTAAAGCATTAAGCAGAGTAGCGAAGAAGGCTCTTACCTTGAAAACAAGGTCCAAATTGAAACCTTGGTTCTGCCACTTACTAGCTGCATGCCTCAGTTTTCTTGACAGGCCTATTAAAAACTCCATGGGCTTGTTAATTACATTGGTCACAGTCATTGCTGTATCTGAACAGTGTAATAAGTAATGGGAATAACAATAATAGAAAACAGTTTTGATTGCTTTCCATCTGCCAGAGACTGAACCCAGTAAACAAACAAGCACTCACTGCATTGTGAAAGTGCATTATTATGATGCTCATTTTATGAATGGGCAAATTCAAGCTTAAAGCTCAAGTAACTTACCTAAGGTCATACAGATAGGGAATGACACAACCAGGATTTGAACTCAAGCTATCAAACTTGCAAACGAAACTTTAAAAAATATTTGCTACAATTAAGAAAGGTAGGAAGGGAGGGGGCAAAGGAAGGAGACAGGGACAGAAAGAATAATGAATGATGGAATGAAAGGAAAGAAAGAAAAGGAAATGGAAAAGGAGAGAAGGCAAGGCAGTGAGGAACGAGTGGGAGGCAAGGAAGATGGATGGGAGGAAGGGAGAAAAAAAGTAGAGGAAAAGAAAGGGAAGGAAAGAAAGAAAAAACATCACAAGGTTGCTATGAGGGCTAAATGAGATATGGTTATGAAAGCCCTTTGTGGTACACAAAGCAAGTTAAACATGCAAGGTAATACTGCATGATAGTAAAGGTAAGTATCAATAAGCATTGGGAATTAAATGTCAATACCAGTGGAGAAAACTGCTGTAAATAAGGCATTACAAAGCAAATCAAATTTAAAAGACTGACTTGACTGGTTGTTTACTGAATTATAGGCAAAATGCATTTTCCTCGCCCAGTCAGCTATACAGCTATGAAATCCTCTTTCGTCTGTTGGGCATAGAGGATGAATGTGCTCTAATAGGGGAAATGTTTCTCCCCACAGCTTCATTTACAGCACAAAAATGACAGCACAGAGGACCTGGCTTGAGTCCGCTGGCATCAAATAGATCTAAGCATTCTGATGTCGCAAATAGCAAGGAAGCTAGTTATTCAGTCACATTTACCAGGCAGTTCATTCAACTTTGGACCACCCTAAAATAGCCCTCCTATTTCCTCTCTATCATTCACAACAAATAAAAGAAATAGTCAGATTTCAAAGAGTCACTTGGAGATATGGTAAGGTGTCTACAGGTGAATGAATATATTTCACACAAAATGATTTGCCACCCAGAGCAGATACTCAATACAGGGGAAATGAGCCATTTAAAAGCAGTAAAGAGAGCCAGCCCTGGAAGGCCCTGGGTGGCAGGCTTAGGATCCTATGTTCTAAGCAAGAGAGTGCAGAAGTAATTCTAAAACTATGGCCGGATTCACGAAGGTACCTTAAGTACCTTAGGAGAAAGGGTCTGAAAAATCCATTTCATCCTTTCAGCCACAGCTTAAAAGCCATTTCATCAGACAAGTCTTTTTCGATCTCCCACCTAGACTAGGTCCTCTAGCATGTACTTTCAGAGTAGTCTGTTCCTCTATTTCACAGACCTTGTAATACTTTTAACCTTTTAAATGTTTTGTTATAGCAAATTATAAAATAATCAATAACATTCTCCCATGTACTCAACACCCAGATTCAACAGTCGTCATAAATTTACATTTGTTTCATCTAGCTCTTTCTTCTCTTTCTTCTTTGATATTAGTGAAATACTTAAAGCAAAACCCAGGCATCATGCCATTTCATGTCTAATTACTTCAATATGCATGTCTTAAAAATAATCAGCTGACCAGTCGCGGTGGCTCACGCCTGTAATCCAAGCACTTTGAGAGGCCGAGGCAGGCAGATCACCTGAGGTTAGGAGTTCGAGACCAGCCTGACCAACATGGAGAAACCCTGTCTCTACTAAACATACAAAAATTAGCCAGGCATGGTGGCGCATATCTGTAATCCCAGCTACTCAGGAGGCTGAGGCAGGATAATCACTTGAACCCGGAAGGTGGAGGTTGTGGTGAGCCAACGTCGCACCATTGCACTCCAGCCTGGGCAACAAGAGTGAGACTCCATCTCAAAAAAAAAAAAAAATCAGCTATTTTTTAAAAATTATTATTATTATTATTATTTTTGAGAGTCTCACTCTGTCACTCAGGCTGGAACCAGGCCGCAGTGCAGTGGTGCAATCTTGGCTCACTGCAACCTCCGCCTCCTGGGTTCAAGTGATTCTCCTGTCTCAGTCTCCCGAACAGCTGGGACTACAGGCATGTACCACCACTCCCGGCTAATCTTTGTATTTTTAGATAAGTTTTCACCATGTTGGCCAGTCTTTTCTCTAACTCCTGACCTAAGGTGATCCACCCACCTCAGCCTCGCAAAGTACTGAGATTACAGGCATGAGCCACCACACCCAGCCTGAGAGTTTTTTTTTTAAAAAAAACACTATCTCAGCCTGGGTCCCCCTAAAAGTAGAGCTGGAAACAGGGGCTTGTATGTAAGTTGTTATTTTGGGAAGTGATCCCAAGGAGTGTGGGGCTGAGAAGACTGAAACAGGGAAGGAGGGAAAGCCTACCCAAGGATGATGCATTATGCATTCTCAGAGAACTAATTCCGTGGGCACATGGGGCTGGGTTCTGCTGAGGACTCTCAGAGGAGCTGTAGAATGCAATTTAGATCATTTATTGAGTGACCACAATGGGAAGTATTTATCCACTGATTCTCCTACCCACTGGTCAGGAATCACCCCACGGAGCATTAACTCTTACACTCCCAGATTGGCAATGGAATGCTTCAGAAAGAGACAGAATAGCTGGAACAGTTACCACAGGTGTCCCATAGGGGAACAGAGGCACCCAGAGGAGAAAGAAAGGCATGTGGTGAAGTTTAGGGGAGGTGCTATCAGGCTTTACCTGGGCAACACTAGGGGTAGCCGCAACAGCTGGGGTGAAAAGGTGGACTGAGAGGATGTGACACAGGACACAAGAAGTACTTGACACAACTACAATGTTATTGTCACTGCTAATCAAATTCATTCCAATTCCTAAGTACCAACTCACACCCAGTTCTAAATCAAATTACTCTATCATTTCAAAGATGTCTTTTTAGAGCTAGTTTGGTCTAATAAGTACTCATACAGGGTCCACAAGAAAACTTGGTTGCTGTGTCTTTAAATCTTGTAATCTAGAACAGCCCACTTTCACCTTGTTCCATGCCATTGATTAGCACAAAAAAAAAGTCAATTATCCTATGGAACATTCCATATTTTGTGTTTACCTGATTAGAAAGTCATTTCACTTTCTCTTGCTCTTTTTTAAATTTAAATTTAAATTTTTTAGAGATTGCGTCTTTCTAGTTTGCCCAGGCTGGCCTCAAGTGATCCTCCTGCTTTGGCCTCCTAGAGCCCTAGGATTACAGGAGCTAGCCACTAAGCCTGGATTATTTCATTTATTTCTCTATCTCCAATATTTTCTATAAATGATTATAAGCTCCAACGGTCTGGTTAAACACAGAAAAGCTTTTCTGTCAAGGAAAGATTGCAAATGAGGCTATGTACTTCACAGTGCATCCCACTGGAAGACACATGTGGTGGAGTGAATGGCGCCCCTCAGAAAGATATGTCCACATCCCAATCCTCAGATATGAATATTACCTTACATGGCAAAAGATGTGATTCACTTGAGCATCTTAAGAAGAGGAATTTACCCTAGATATCTTGGTGGATTGTATGTGCAATCATATGTATTCTCACAGGACAGAGGCAGAGAGAGTTTGAAAGAGAAACACAGAGGTCTTATGAAGATGAAGACAGAGACTGCGGTGATGTAGCCACAAGCCAAGAAACACTAGGGCAGCAACCAAGAATCTAGAAGAGGCAAGAAACGAATTTTCCCCTAAAATCCCTGGAGGGAGCACAGTGCTGCCAGATATTGGACTTCTGGCCTCCAGAATACTGAGACAATAAATGCTAGGTAACAGTAGGAATGTAATAGCCTAACTCCTTCATTGCCAATTTCCCCACAAACTTTCCTTTTAATGGCTCCATTCATTGATGAGTGTAGCCTGCATTCATTATTTATTTAAGGGAAATAAAATAGTGATTTGTGGATTCTATCACTCCTTTCTCCTTTCTTGGTAAGAATTTTTTCACACACAAAACTAAACTTTCCTTGATCACCTTGGGCTTTTTGGTTATTTTAAAATATAGTTCATATAAGAACCACTAAGAATAAATACTTAATTCCACCTTTTCAACTGCTATATTCCCAAATAAGGAATTGGTCTTGATGGTTATTTAAATCCCTATTTATGCCATTGTTTATCTAACATCCGTCTCCTCCACAAGACTGTAAGCTCTGTGGAGCAGAAAATCTGTCTACCTTCTTTGCTGCCTAATCGATAGTGCCTGCCACAAAAGAGAAGCATACCTAAGACATTTTAATAAACAAGAACTCCTACTATCTTGGAGAAATCCCAGAGTCCCAAGAGGAATATGAAGTTGCCCCCTTCTGCTTGCC
The DNA here is from genome assembly GCF_000001405.40 of Homo sapiens. NCBI lineage: Eukaryota > Metazoa > Chordata > Mammalia > Primates > Hominidae > Homo > Homo sapiens. The sequence goes on along the minus strand of NC_000003.12, from coordinate 67,694,001 downwards.
TTTTTTTTTTTTTTAATCCCAAAGCCCTGAAATTATTTCAGGGGATTTCTTTTCCCCATCCCTAAAGCAAGGAAGCAAAATCCTCTGAGGCAATATAGCAACTCCTTGTGAAGAGAGCCAAATTTTGAAAGGAAGGAATTTCAGGGCCACTTAGGTGAAGTCCGAGCTTATTTTTCTCACCAGAACCATCCTGTTAGGATGTCAGTGCAGGGAGAGACTTTGGCAATCATCTAGTCAAGTGCATTTAAACCTTGCAAATTCAAAACAGCCATCACTACAGTAATAACATCAATCATAATAGTAATAATCATAAACATACCATATGAATCTCCAGGCTCACTGAAACAACCCCTTCAGGAACATCTCAGGAAACTACATCTTAAGTTCCTTGGGTAATTCTGATGTAGCTTGTCTGTAGCACTGGGTTTGAACAATACTGCTATAGTGGAGAGGCTTTCAAAATAATATTTAATAACAGAACCATTGGTAAAACCTCTGTAAAGGTCTGATGTTTTAAAAATTAATTCACTCTAAAACTACTTAATGAAAGCTTCCTAAGAGCTAGAAACTATTCTAGAATCTGAGCATACAGAGGGAAACAAAATTGAAAAGGTCCCTGCCTGCTATGGTTTGAATGTGACTCCCCAAAATTCACATGTTGGGAACCTAATCTCCAATGCAACAATGTTAAGAGGTGGGGCTTAATAAGAGATTGGGCCCCACCTCTTAAAGTAAGTTCAGCCCCTGGTGCCTCTCTCTGTCTTGTGTGCTCACTCCACCTTCCACCATGGGATGACTCTTACCAGATGCCAGGACCATGCTTTTGGACTTCCTAGCCTCAAGAACCTCGAACCAAATTAAACCTCCATTGTTTATAATTTACCCAGTCTGTGGTATTCTGTTAAAGCAAAAGAAAACAGACTAAGACACTGCCCTTGTGGGACTCACATTGGGAGGCAGAAGGCATAGAACAAACTGAAAATAAATAAGTAAATAAGCATATACATATATACCACAATAGCCCCCTTGTACCTTTCTTAGAAAACATAGGTTTTCCTGAAACACAATTGGAAAGTGTGCTCTCCACAAGTACGTGAAGTTACAGGAAATTGTTACCCAACCTCCCAAAGCCAGACCCCGGCAGAGTGGGGATTCCTGCAAACATTCCTTCCTTTGACTCTTATCTACACATGGCCCTTAACATAGAGGTCCAGACAATTTGTTCACTTGGCTTCAGTTTTCACTAGTTAATGAACCCGGTTGGGAGGAGAATGACTACTAGAGGGAAGGAGAGAAATACAATCAGCCTCAGAATTGGAGCGCCTTTATCCAAATCAGCCAGAAGGCACAGCAAGCAGCTCATGGCAGGGATATGTCTGAAGCATCAAGTCCAGGATTTTCAGCCTGTATTTTGCAGGACCAGAACTGAATCAGCATTACCTAAAAAGCCTTTCAAAATACTAAATCCTAGAATGTTGTCCCCAAATATCTTATTCAATGGAATCAGAGTGATACCTGGAAATATGTATTTTTGTGAATCTCTGTATCAGACCTGTCTTTTTGTTGTTGTGAGAACAGTAAAAAACAACTCTCGCCTATTTAAGGGGAAAATAAATATTTTGGAAGTTTATAGTGTGGCTCTCAGAATGAAAGAAAATGCTTAAAATTCAGACCTTGGAAAGAATAAGAACTGAGAGTTATGGGAGTCTGGGAAACAAAACTTAAAAGATGGCTTCTCCACAAGTCATAGTAAAAAAGAATTGGCCCCTACTGTTATCCATGCATGTGTCACTCTAGTCAAGATTAAATTGATTAAATTCCAATAGAAAAAATGTGACTAACTTGACTTGGGTTATATCTCTGTTTCTTGGCCGTGGAAAGAGAGGTATTTCAATTATCAGTACCATCAACACTTCAAATCATGGAGAGATAATTAGCCAAAGACAAAAAAAAAAAAATGCTGTTAGAGCAAATGTGCACCTCTGCCTCCCCAGGTGATTATGAGGCACAGCCAGGTTTGCAAACCAGTGGCTTGGTTCAACCACCAAACAACCACCAACCAGATATTTGAATTCTCCCTACAACAGGCATACCAATGCACTTGAATGCAAACTTCCCAAGAGAGCTCGAAGTTCTTTCTTCTTAGAATAAATATATCAATTGCTTTTCTAAAGGAGTCTGCCCTCCCTCATGTCCCTGTTGAATAAACAGAGTATCTCACCTCACAGATAGTCCTAGCTAACTCCTCCCTGCTCAGTTTGCGAGGTCACACTGGCATCTTACCACTCCTTAAGCACACATCTCCTGAAATTATTTTGCGCTTGCTGATCCCTCTGCATAGGACACTCTTCCTCCAGAAACCACACATCTTATTCTCTCCCTTCCTTCATTCAGTTCCTTAATTTAAATTAGCTGGCTGGATGCAGTGGCTTATGACTATAATCCCAGTGTTTTGGGAGGCTGAGGTGAGAATATTGCTTGAGCCCAGGAGTTCAAGACCAGCCTGGGCAACATAGTGAGACCTCATTTCTACAAAAAATTAAAAACTAGCTCAGCATGGTGCTGTGTGCCTGTACTCTCAGTTCCTCAGGAGTCTGAGACAGGGGAATCCCTTGAGCCCAGGAGTTTGAAGCTACAATGAGCTATGATCATGCTGCTGTACTCCAGCCAGAGTGACAAAATAAGATTTTGTCTCAAAAAAAAAAAAAAAAAATTGGCTGGGTGTGGTGGCTCCCGTCTGTAATCCTGGCACTTTGGGAAGTTGAGACAGGCAGAGTGCTTGAGCTTAGGTTCAAGACCAGCCTGGGCAACAAAATGAGACCCCATCTCTATAAAAACTATAAAGATTAGCCAGACATCGTGGCGCATGCCTGTTCCCAGCTACTTGGGGGGCTGAGGTGGGAGGATCACTTGGGCCCAGGAGGTCAATGCTGCAATGATCTGAGATCACATCATGGCACTCCAGCCTGGATGACAAAGTGAGACTGTCTCAAAAAAAAAAATTACTTTAAGTTCACTTATTTAAAAATCAGCTTCACCCCTCTCCCCAGTACTTCCTAGCTCCTTTTCCTGCTTTTTTTTTTTCTTTTCACTTATCGCTGTCTGACATACTATACATTTTCTTAATGGATTTGTTCATTGTCTACCTTCCCCCTCTAGAATATAAGCCCCTTGAGGACAGGAAGCTAGTATGTTTTATTCAGTTGTATATCCTCACTCTTGTAACAGTGCCTGTCATATTGAAAATGCTCAATAAATATCTGATGAATATATATATATAACATCTTTGAAATACCTCTATCAGTATCAACTGTGGCACTTTGTTCAAAATTTGGCTTTATGTCCCACCCCCTTTCAGAACCTTCAGTAAGCGGAGACTAGGAATCTGCATTCAGAATCTTCCCAAGCGATGCAAATGAACAACTGAAGTTTGAAAATTGCTACTTTAGCTTTCTCCAAAACCAGCATAAACCCCCTTTTCATGTTATACTTCATTAGATGTTTAAAGACAGCTCTTCTATCCCCTTCCTCTAACCGACTTTGGGTTTTCTTTGTCTTAGACTGAACAGCTAAACCTTCTAGAGCCATCCCTCCTACAAGGCCCCTTAGTACCCCAGAAGGTCAGGCTGCATTCTCTGAATGCACTTCCATTCATTGTCTTTCCATTTAGAGTGATCTTGGTTGGGGAGTGGGTCTCTAACCGACAGCTCTCTAAAGACCCTTGCACAGTTTTTGAAATTAGTTCTTACACTTGAGAAACTCTGCCCTTTTTCCCTTTGCACTATCCCTTGGGAAGATGTTCAAAAAGATGACAATGTTCAGGCTTGTGATCTCAGAGTAGAAAATACACCCAGGCTGTGTGTTTCTGTCCTGTGTGTTTTTGCCCCATTAGAGACCAGACAGAGCATCTGTATATGAGTCTCCAACAAACGATCACATGAAAAATGATGTGTGATGACAAGGCAAAGAGTGCAAAAGAGATTGTCAAGTGAAAGGAGAGGACATAAAGGAGTTATTGTCAGAGAGTGTGTTGGTCAACAGATAGATAGCAATCTAAAGAATGTCTTCTGTTAGAGTTCTACATAGCATACAGCTTATGCTCTACCTGAGTAGGCTGGGTTTTGTTTCATTACACTGAAAGAGTAAATGGTACCTTAATATATATTTTCATTACCAGGGTATCTATTATTCAGATCATCTATGTTAGCTAACTGATTATGCTACTGCATATTTTTTTATTGTTCCAAAAATTTGAAAAAGCAAATTTGGCAAAAATCTTGGAACTCAGCTTTCCTACAAACTAGAGTAGTCTTCGTTGATTAATTCATATAACCAACATGCTAGGCAGACTAATATCCAACCCCGCCCATCAAATATTCACACCTTAGTCCTCAGAACCTGTAAATACATTATGAGACAAAAGGCAAGTGTGATTATATTAAGAATCTTGACGAGGGTAGAAAATCTTGGATTCTCCAATAGGTCCAATTCAATCTCATGAGTCCTTAAAATCAAAGAATTTTTCCTGTGGTTCAGAGAGATGTGACTATGGAAGCATGATCAGAGAGAAGCAAGGTTATTGGCTTTGAAGTTGGAAAAAAAGAGCCATAAGCCATGGAATGTTGGTGTCCTCTAGAAGCTGGAAAAGGCATGGAAACAGATTCTCCCTGACAGCCTCCAGAAAAGACCACAGCCCTGCCAACATCTTGGCTTTAACCCAGGTTTCAGACTTGCAAAACTGTAAGATAATAAATTTGTATTTATTGAAGCCACCAAGTACATGGTAATTTATTATAGAAGGAACAGAAAACTAATACAACCAATGTGCAGATATAGTAATAAAATAAAGTATATCAGGTACTATGCTCATAATAGCTTCATTAGTAAAAGTCCCAAATTAGAAACAATTCCGATCTACCAAAAGGCAATTACACCCTGGGTACTGTCACGGATATATCCAGTTGACAAAATTCATCAAACTGCAACAGACAATAAATACAATTCTCTATATGTATATTATAATGCAATAAAATTTATTAAAGGGCAATGATGGTACATGTGTCCATGTATGTACCATCTATACTATGCAATCATTTAAAATTCATGGTTTAACAGAGAAGTCAGCAAACAATCTGGCTCAATGCCTGCTTTGAGCACAACCATACCCATTCATTACATATCCTCTATGGTGGCTCTCTTGCTATGGTAGCAGAATTCAGTAGGTGCAACAGAGACCATGTATCCTGTAGAGCCACTAAAATATTTCCTCTATAGTCTGTATTTCAGAGCATACCACAAGGAGTTCCATGTAGATTTTCTTAAGTTTCTAGATATTTTTTCCCAGTCATTGGCACAACCAAAGGCAGAGCTTTCAAACCAAGTCTCTCACCTACCAGGTTGGCAGCCAAGCAGGCAGTGGCTTTTTATTCATCCACTTGACAGATATGTATTGAGTGCTGGGTAAACATGGGCCAGGCCCTGTGATAGAAGCTGGATATACTTAAATGCATAAATTACATATGTCTAGCCCCTTGTGGAGGTTACGATTCTATCAATCTGCGCAGTCCAGATGTGGAAGTCCCCAAAGGTGATTCATGAACCACCAGCATCAGCATCACTGGGAAATTGCTACAAATGCAAATTCTCAGGCCCTACACTGCCTCTATTGAATCATATATCTAGGGATGGACCCAACTATGTGTTTTTTCCAGACCAGCAGGAAATTCTGTTGTATGTTCAAGTTTGAGAATCACTGAACTAAACCCAAAAGGTCTGTGCTAGGATAAGTGTTTCGTGAACCAGATTTTAGGAATGGAAATAGCTCTTCACAACACCCATGCTGGAAGATACTTTGTCCACCTTAACTATCTGTCTTACCCATTGTTTTGTTGCTTATAACAGAATACCTAAACCTAGGTAATTTATAAAGAAAGGAATTTATTTCTTACAGATATGGAGGCTGAGAAGTCTGGAGTCAAGGGACGGCATCTGATGAGTGCCTTCTTGCTAGCTGGGACTCTCTGCAGAGTCCCAAGGCAATGTAGGGCATCACATGGTGAGGGAGCTGAGTGTGCTACCTCAGATCTCTCTTCCTCATCTTATAAAGCCACCACTCCCACTCACTTAATAATTCATTAATCCATTAACGCATGAATCTATGAATTCATGAATACATTAATCCATTCATGAGGGCAACACCTTCATGACCCAATCCCTTCTTAAAGTCCTTACTTCTCAATGATACCGCATTGGGGATTAAATTTCAACATGAATTTTGGAGGAGACAAATATTCAAACCATAGCACTATCCTATGTAATAATTTATTTTTATTAAAGTTATAGGAAATTGACAGCAAAGCACACCATAGAATGTGTAGATTGCTTAACATGTGCAGAATGCAGAGCAAGGCACTGCAGTCAATGCTAAGGAAATATAAAGGATGCTTGGTGCTGTGCTGCTTTCTCAGTGAGAGAGAAAAAGAACCCATAGTATCAGCATCATTATATACCAGAAATTGTCAAACATTTTCTGCAAAAGTCCAGATTGTAAGTACTTTAGACTTTGTGGGCCATATAATCTCTGTCACAACTATTCAACTCTAGTGTTGTAGCACAAAAGCAGCATATTTATAGACAATATGTAAATAAATGGGCATAGCAGTGTTCCAATAAAACTTTATTTACACAAACTGGTAGTGGGCCCTTAGGTTGTAGATTCCTGATCCCTGTCATATACCATTATTACCATATATCATTATACATGATGCCATGAACCATGCTATACGGCTTCACCACATATTTCATTTTGTTCAAATTTTAACGTAATTTTCCCTGTAATTTTGTCATATATGATCACCTAACTTTGACCTTCAAAAGCTCTGTTAATATCTTGTTAATGAAAACATTATTCAGAGCAGTAACCTTCAAGATATAATCTTACTTCAATGAATGAATACATTCTACTTGTTTATTATCACAATACTAGCTTCTGTAAAAAAAAATTCTGAGGTTGGCATTGCTATTTTAGAAATTAGAAACTAAAACTTAAAGAGGTTAAGCAATCGTTGAAGTTCATACAAAAAATAATTTTTTGAGCCAGGGTTCAAACTCTAGTATTTTTGGCACTGAAGCAGCCATTTCTGGGTACTATCTCCCCATGGAGTGAATATGCTTAAAATCTAACCAGAAATTGGGTTCAGGGTACAAATGGAATATTTATGCCTCTGTGGCTATTTCTCTTCTTGACTGTGTCCTATAATTATTATTTCAGTTTACAAGCATTTCATGTCTTTAAATTTCATGACAGTCACACATACATCATAGATAAGTCATAACCCAAAACCCTAAGCACATTACTAGTTAAGTAATGATAGAATAGGAAACATTCTGTAACAGCTCAATCAGTAATATAATATCCTTCACAATATAGTTCTATAGTCATCTGTATTAGTCTATTCTCATGCTGCATAGTAATAAAGACATAGCCCAGACTGGGTAATTTATAAAGGAAAGAGGTTTAATTGGCTCACAGTTCAGCATGATTGGGGAAGCCTCAGGAAACTTACTATATGTTACAATCAAGGGGAAGCAAACACGTCCTTCTTCACGTGGCAGCAGCAAGAAGAAGTGCCAAGCAAAAGGGGAAAAGCCCCTTATAAAACCATCAGATCTCGTGAGAACTAACTCGCTAACTAACTCACTATCACAAGAACAGGATGGGGAAAACAGCCCCCATGATGCAATTATCTCCATCTGGCCCCTCCTATGACATACGGGGATTATGGGTACTACAAATCAAGATGAGTTTGGGTAGGGACACAGCCAAATCACGTCATCATCTATCCCTGGTCTAATATCTACGTGACTGTTGGCAGGTCTTTTTCCTCCTTAGACAATTTTCCAGTCTAAAGCGGAAGGTCTTGGTCTATTGTTTATAAGTCTAACTTTAAATTCCAAATTCTAATTCTATAACAATATGACATTCTTCCTCAGTCTTCCTTTCTTATGGAACACAATCACATATGGTTACAGAATGCATTCTTTGGCTCTTGATACATATGTTGAACCAAATGTCCAACTTTGAAGGATTTACATCCTTAAAAATTAAGAAATGGATCATTTCAAGCCATAGAGGAGAAACAAATATCTGGGGCCACCATCATTTCTAAAGAAATAGTAAACAAAACCAAAGATTATAGAATCTTCAGGGAGTTCACTTGTGATATTCTGCAAATAGGAAGTGAAAATGAAAGTGATAAAATAAGGCTTGTTAAATCTGAGACTATGAGCAGATCTGTACAGATGGGAACATCAGTGAACAAGCACCCATGCATGTTTTCAGGTCAGATGAAGAGCCACTGAAAATAGATCAGAAAGCAACAGAGCCTGGCAGGGTGCGTCTGAAAGAAAATAATTTAAACTTAGCCTCCATGGGAAAAAGAAGCTCACCATCATCCCATTTCCCTTATAAGATATGGCTCTAATATGTTGGTCATTCAGAAAACAAGAGTCAATGGAGAGAAACACAGGATTTGGACAAACACATGAACAAAGAAATGGGTTCCAGCCTTTCCTGGGTATTCAGCAGCTCAACAATATGGATGATTTTTTTTCGTTCATGCTGAAATGAAAAATTTAAAACTTTTGTCATGAATCTACATTTATTTAATTTAAAGGGTTATATTATTTTCTCAGATTTTGTCCTTCCCTTTTTGTTGTTGTTGCTAAATTTCTTTCTTTTGCAAGAATGATGAGAATTTAGTTGGCTTTGCTTCTTTGTTGCCTTCACTTAAGAAAATAAAAGTAAATTTTGTCAACTTTATATCAGTTCCATTAAAAAAAAATTGAAATTGGGTACAATGTTCACTGCTTGGGTGATGGGTACACTAAGAGCCCAGACTTTGCCACTGAACAAATATACCCACATAACAAAACTGCTCGGGTACCCTCTGAATCCATACAAATATTAAAAACTAAATTTAATTTAAAAACAAAAATATTTGAAATTATTTTGGTTCATGAAACCCAAAAGGCTCAGGGGTCTGCTTATCGTGTGACATTTGGATGCTGTCACTCTGTGGATCTTGATAACAGCTTCATTGTTGAGCACCTATTCAAGTCAAGTACTTTACATTCATTATTTATAATTATTCCCCAAATTCTGCAAGGCATATATCGCCATTCAAAGTCTATGAATGATGATGATGAAGTTCACAGAAGTTAAAGGACAAGCCCAAGGTTACACAGCTATTAAAATGGACATCCTCAATGTCCTTTCTCAAAGGCAATGCAGCCACTTATATCTGACTACAAACCCACAGAAATCTCCATGGTGAATTATTGAAAATTGGCAAAACTCTTTTTTACTTCAAAGGGACACAAATGGCAATCAACAGACTCACATTCATCCTCACAGGCAACCCCCACAACTAAAATGTGAACATTTTCCCCTAACAGCAAAAAAGTTGTAAGTGATTTTAAATGTTTATATGTCTTAATGTGGCTCAATCCATCAGTAGCATTTTGGATATACTCCATTTTGGAAGAGTCGGAAAAACAGTTGGCAGCATTTTGTGCATTTTATTTTAATTTAGAGGGGGGACATTTGAGATCTGCAATTAAAAAGAGGTTTGCTTTGGCTGTGACGAACTGATGTAATTCACAATTTAAACTCATTTGAGAAAAATAACAACAGCTACAACTGTCACATTTGCCAGGGAGGGAAATAGGATGAACAACAACAGGGCCCGGGAGGAGAAAAACAGCTCATTGATAGGACTACAGATTATACAGATTAGTCATTGCAAGGGCAGAGTAAGCATCCATGGACAATCATTTGACATTTTATAAAATAGAATGGCGACTGCTTAACAATATTTTCAAAGGGATTCACCAAGAAGCTTTGATAATGATGGCCTATTTGAAGCTACAACCTAGTGATAGGTAGGGTATTAAAAGAAGGAAATTTTGCACACTGAATTGTTAAATTAGAATGTAAACTGGAGCCCAGAGTGGCATGAAATATATAGAACCAGTAGTCATAGAGGGAATCTTTCCATTCTGTCCTGTCACAAGTGAAAACTGAGAATTCTCACAGCTTGAGATTTTAAATCCTGGGGAAATTATAAATGGCTGGGTTTACTAAGGGACTACTCTGGGTCTGCAAAACTAACATTTACCCATTGAGTGGTTTACAAGAAAGCCTATGTTCTTGTGAGGCTTATTGCAGCATCCTCTTTGAAAACTCCTCTGGCCTTGAAAGTGAGTGAGACTTTGACAGAAACTAAGTTTTATTTCCCATGTGATGAACTCAAGCTATGGCTCAATGTTTTGAGTTTTTCACTCAAGCAATCAACATATATGAAGGAAATGACAGTTTGAAATATCAAACTGCATTTTGCTTCTTGGGAGGAAGTTGCTTTCCCCATTTACAGCTCTTCTGCCATGAAGATTGGGCTAAGAAGCTGAGACCAATTGCTGCAGAGATGGAGACAGAAGTGATACACAACCAGATATTTCCAGGAAGGAAAGTGGAAAGCCCTGCTAACAGGTATAGTCTTAAGGGAGACAAAAAAAAAAAAAAAAAAAAAAAGGCCAAGAATCTAGACCCTTTTGTCTTCCTATGTGCCTAGCAGATATGACCTTTGGACTCCAAAGTGCAACAAGCTAGCTACAGGCAAAGCCAGCATTAAGGACTGTCACCCCAAATACCAGAATGAGATAGGATCCCCCTTATAGCAACTGCTCGGGGAAGAAGAGCCAGAGAAGGGGAAGGACAAGCATCTAGAGCAGCTCTGTCCAATAGAAACATCATGAAAGCCATGCATACAATTAAAAACCTTCTGGTAACCACATTTGAGAATGCAAAATTAAACAGGTAAAAATTTTAATACTATAGTTTATTTAACCCAATATAATCAAAATTCTATAATTTTAATATATAATCAATACAAAAGTACTAATCAGATATTTTACGTCTTTAAAATCCAGTGCATATTCCATTGGATTTCATTTACAGCAAAGATCAATTCAGACTAATCACATTTCAGGTGATCAGTGGCCACGTGTATTGAGTAGCACAGATTAGAATAAATCAAGTTTAAATTTTAGGGCATTTTAAATCAGAAAAAAACAAGGGACCTTGAATAGACAAAACTATTTGCTTATTTTTCTGCTTAAATCCAGGGCAACAGTCAAAGAGAAAAGAGAGACCAGTATTAGAAAAATAAAAGTTGGCCAGGCATGGTGGCTCCTACCTATAATCCCAGTGCTTTTGGAGACTGAGGTGGGAGGATCACTTGAGCCTAGGAGTTTAAGACCAGCCTGGTAACATATGGTAACATAACCTCTTCTCTACAAAATTTTAAAAATTAGCCAGGTGTGGTGGCACACACCTGTGGTCCCAGCTACTTTGGAGGCCGAGGTGAGAGGATTGCTTGAGTCCAGGAGGTCAAGGCTGCAGTGAGCCAGGTTGATGCCACTGCACTGCAGCCTCAGTGACAGAGCAAGACCATGTCTCAAAAAAATGAAAAATAAATAAATTAGTTAAAGTGGAACCATAGAATTATGTAATTGACTTATTGTACTATTTCAGGTATCGCATAGAAAATCTAATCCTACTGCACAGAAGTCTACTGAGTGTCTACTATGTGACAGGTTTGGATGGGACTGAGAAAATGCAAAGATTAATAAGACACAGAATGGTTTATGATGCTCAGGGGTAGGCCCATGATAAAAAATAATAAAGATATGATAGAACATAAATAGAGACAAAAAGCAACAGTGTGGGAATCCAGGAAAGTCAGTAATTAATGTTTCTGGGTTGCTGTTGGCCATAAGCTCAAGGAGGGTTGCAACCATATCTGTTTTATTTGCCACTTTCTCAAGAGTACCTGACATAGGGCTCAATAAAAGTGTGTTGAACGAGTGAGTGAACGATTGCTGGTTAGAGAGAACCAGGTGAGGAAAGGCCTCATATTTGGTGTGGTATTTGAATTTGGCTTCGAAGAACTAACTGGTCTTCACCTAGGAGAGTAGAACACTTTAGACCAAAAGACCTGAACATCCAGGTAGGTGGATATTTAGGGCACATTCAGTCAATGATATTTGATCTTGTGAGACAGGAGTGTAGATGGAGACAGAAGATGAGATGGAAAAGTTAGGTTGGGGCCAGATGGTAAAAAATGTGGAGGGGTTTCTATGAACTATTTGCAGGATTAGTCTATTCTAGCCACGTACCGATAGCAGTATAGTGAGGTTAAAAATTCCTGCAATGCTAAAACAGACTTTTGCAGCATATTGATCTCCTGTTTTTAGAGCTTTCAGAAAGCAATCAACCATCAGACAGCCTAACAGTGGTAAACGACAATATACATTCTTTAGAGCTGACCGTACATTGCTGTTGAATTTTCCCCATCTCAGTTAACTTTCTTTTTCTTTCCTGAATAAATTTACGGAGAGAACAATATAAGCAGTGAATAAAATGAAAATGCACTGGGTTACATTTCACCCCAAAATAATAGAATGAGATTTTTTTTTTTAACGGGAAGAGGAGTGGTAATTTTTGCTCGCTGTTATCATCAAGGATTTCTTATCTACTAAAATAATATCAAATATACTATCCAACTGGTAATATTAACACATAAATCCCAGGACTACATCTAGAAATGTTTCTGCTATAAAAAAAGAATGTTCCTGACTAATGTGGTACATTTATAAACTCAATGTGCATATGGCAATAGCAAGTTTAGAGAGTGGCAATAAACAAACAAAAAAATAAAGAGGAGAGGATAGTTTATGAAGCTTATAAAGGCCTTATTAGAGCATTCGGGTAATTGGAAATTTGAATATGGCCAATACAATTTGGACCCAGGTTAAAACAGAGTTGGTTCAGTGTTGTGGTTAGCAAAATAAACATCAGAGTCAGATATGCAAGGGTTTCAGTACTGGCTCCTTTTGTTACTACAAGGTTGGTGCAAAAGTAATGGCAAAAACCGCAATTACTTTTGCATCAACCTAATAGTAAGTGACTTACCTCTCTGATCGTCAGATTTTTATTCATAAAATGAGGGGATCATAAACCTAACACTAAGGGTTGTTATGAACACTGCATGCAATTATAAAGAAGTTCCTGACACACGGTAACAGCTCAAAAAAGTGATGGCTATTGTTCTTCAGTCACTGAACAATTTTTCAGCATCTATTATGTACTAGGTTTTGGAAAATCAGAGACAAAAATATCTGACTTGAAAAAGTTCATTGTCTAATGCAACAAATATTTTCTGTAAGAGCATACATCATTACATAGACCTAGAATATATGCTCTATATAATAATAGTAATGTGTTTCTCATACAGGTTCACATAGCTTAGCGTTTCTCAATTTCAGCATGGTTGACGCTTAGGGATGGATAATTCTTGCTTGTGGGGGCTGTCCTGTGTGTTGTACAATGTTTATACACATCTCTGGCCTCTACCTATGAGATACCAGTAGCATTCACCAGTTGAGATAACCAACAACATCTAGTCATTGCCAAATATCTCTCCTTGGTTGAGAACTACTGGCATAGGCTGATGGAGATACTGCCTAAAAATCAGCCAGTATGGCTAAGGTTTTATTTAGTTACGAAAACCTGACTCCACATCCCCCAGTTTGGTGACATAACCACTTATCACTACAGCATCATCTGAATCTTGCCTCTACTCTATGTTCTGACACCCTCTTTCCTAATCCAGACCCCCTCTCTCTCTCATCAGAGCCACTGCCCAACTTGAACTGGTCTCAGGGCCTCTTTTCTCTTCCCACTCATTATACACATGGCAAGTAGATTGATCTCAAAACACAGCTCTGATCATAACACTCTCCTCTTCAAAAACCTACCCTTGTTCAGGGAAGGAATTTGCTAGTGCTTCATTGGCAGTGATAGAGAAATCAGTTTGTCTTGCTTTGCTTGGAACTTCCCCAGCTTTAGCATTTTAGGTTTGAAAGACTGAGAGAGCCGTGGCAAATAGGGGTAATTGGTCACTCACAGCAGTGAATTCAGTTTATTTCCAGATAATTTTTCTGTAGAACTCCAGAATGTACATAAGAGACACGAATCTTGGGCCTTAGACCCAGGTTGGTAAAATTTGTCATATATCTGTATTTGTATTTTTAAAATAACAGCTTAATTTCTGATTGTTCCTCTTTTTTTTTTTTTTTTTTTTTTTTAGGAGGGAAGAAAATCTCAGTCTAATTCGTGACCTCTCCCACATTCCCAGGGTTGAACCATGGTGCTGGGATCCTCAGCTGAGCCGAAAGTCTCAACAATAGACAGGCTTTCCTGGTTTCTCAGTGATGTGTGGGACCAAGGAATTAGCATCGATTACCCCCACACTCTTCCTGCCCACCTGGCCCTTCCAGTGCACAGGGTCTCTGCTGCTTCCATGCTGTGTCTGTTCATGGACAGCCATTGTCCTAAGGCTTTACTACCTCCCAGGCAGCCCCAGGATTCAGGCACTTCTAAACTTCCCTTTGGTCTCTCCAACCCCTCCACAATGTGGAGGGATACCTCTAATCTTGGGGGACGGGGAGAGGAAATCATATGCTCCCCTTTACTTCTTTAGCACATTTTGGTATGTATACCTGTAAGTTTTAGTCTTCTTACTTTTCTATTATCTTCTTCACCCAATTCCTCCAAAATTTCATCAAGGGGTCATAAATAGGTGGCCCTGGGGCTGACTACAGCGCACAGACAGGCATTGTGTGGCTTGCACAGTGTTTGGTTTTGTTGTTTAAGTTAGATTTGAATCCTTTAAAGAAGAAAAGTGGCTCTTCAGTTTACTACAGACCTCATCATCTCCTGGTTCTCTTGCACCCAGTCCACTTCACCTGTTTACGTTCCCTGTCTCATCCTTCTAGGTAATTTGAGTTTCCAACCTGTGGCCTTCACTATGGAAAAACAAAACAGGCCATGACTGTATACAGCATATTCTTATTTGAGCTGAAGGAAATACACAGAGGAAACATAATATAGATTCATATCTGTGACTCTATAGATAACAACTTCATGTCTCAAAATACTATGTTAGCCACACATGAAAAGATAGCAGCAAAGGTGCCACAGTGATGTGTGGGCAGGAGGTGCAGAGCACTAACACCTGGCCTCCTGAGTTTCAAAACCACAAGTCTGCTGGATGAATACAAATCTGTACAATAGCATTTCAGACTGCTTGTCATAAGGCAATTATCTCCTTTTTTAGTTCTCTCTTTCTCAGCCTCAACAATCAAACTATGTAACTTGCCCTTGCCTTCATCTGCCCTGCTCACTTTGCCCTGAATGATTTAGTTCATTATCTTCCCTCTATCCCTGAATGTCCTTCCTACTGATATCTATAGTCAGAAGCTTAATTATCCTTCAAGTAGGAACTCAAACTCTATCTTCTTATGCTTTTACAAAAGGTTCTTGTCTTCTTTTCAGGCTTATCCTCCTTTACCAGCCCATTAGCCATAGCAATTCCTCAGGAATCTTAGGGCCTCTCTTTTGATCCCCCTCCTTGGATAATCTCATTCATGATCATAGGTTCAATTATTATCTTTATGCAGATGGAGCGTGCACACACACACACACACACACACACACACACACATATATATGTATGTATGTATGTATGTATATATATATATATGCTCAGCCTGGGAGAGACCACATATTTAATACATATTTAATTTTAACAGTTTTTTTTTTTTGGTTGTTGTTGTTGTTCTGAGACAGGGTCTTGTTCTGTCACACAGGCTGAAGTGAAGTGGTGTGAACACAGCTTACTGCATCCTCAAACTGCTAGGCTCAATCAACCCTTCTGCCTCAGCCTCCAGTGTAGCTAGGATGACAGGTATGCATGCTCAGCTAACTTTTTTATTTTTTGTAGACACAGGGTCTCACTTTGTTGCCCAGGCAGATCTCAACAGCTCCTTTTTTTTTTGGATGTTTCAAAAGCATCTCAAGTTCAGCATGACTTAACTAATGATCTTTCTCCACTTAACTGAGATCCTTTCTCAGGAATGGCCACTGTGAATCAACCATTCTATTAACATGTCAGAAACCTAGATGTTGTTTAGGATGTGCCCTTCTTTCTTACCACCCATATCTAAAACATCACAAATGTGATGTTTTGTAAGGGGAAGATGGCCCAATAAGACCCACTCAAAGATGGTGTATCCAACTCTTGTGTTTATCATTGTAAATTGTGGGCACTTTGATTTCCTTCTTTTAGTGTTTTTGGAAGGAATCGTTCATCAATTCTGGGACATTGATAGCGTGAATTTCATAATCGGTAAGGATGAGAAGGGAAGTGCCTTGGCTGTGATAATTCCCCAGGATAAATATCACAATGTGAGGACCTATCTGAGTAGCCCACTCATGACTCCAGGTGCCTACCACTCTCTGTCACTGTGAACCCAGCTGTATTAGTCTAGGTTCTCCAGAGAAATAGAACCAATAAGAGATACAACTATAGATATAGATTTACTATAAGGAATTGGCTTGCATGATTACGGAGACTGAAAATTCAAAGATCTGCAATAGGCAAGTTGGAGACCCAAGACCAAAAGCAACAGGAGACTGATGTTCCAGTTTGAAAACAGACAGAGAAGGAGAATTTTTTCTGCTGCAGCCTTTTATTTTATTAGGCCTTCTCAACAGATTTGATGAAGCCTGCCCACACTAATGAGGGCAATCTGCTTTACTCAGTCCACCAATTCAAATGTCAGTATCATCTAGAAATACCCTCACAGATACACCAAGAAATAATATTTCACCAAATATCTGGGCACCTCGTAGCCCAGTCAAGTGGACACATAAAATTAACCATCACTCTCACTAAACATTGCTAACTCATCAACTAAACCTTCACTACCATCCCACTCAACCTCACCTCACCTCACTACCAACCATCAAGTCAACCTCACCTCACTAACTCATCAACTTCAACCTTCATCCCACATGGAAACCAGGTTCACCAAAGGGACATGCATCCCTTCTCTGAATCACGAGCTCCAACCATTCCTGGTAGCAGAGGCTGTGTCTAACCATCAGTCTTTCTCTGAAGGAGAAAAGAATGCCATAAAAACACAGCATTTCCCAAAGTTGATTCTATGGAACACCAGTCCCATAAGATACTCTGGGGAAAAAAAGAAAGATTTCTTGAAAACAAAATGTTATATCCCCATATGAGTTTTCTATGCTGCATAACATATCACCACAAACTTAGCAGCTTAAAGCAACCATTTTTTATCTAGGTCAGGAGTCCAAGCTTGGCTTGGCTGGGTCCTCTGCTCAGAGTCTAACAGGGGTGAAATCATGGTGTTAGCTATGTTCTTTCCTGGAATTCAGGGTCCTCCTTCAAGCTCATATGGTAGAATTCAGCTCCTGGTAGAGGCTGAACTGAGGCCCCCAGCAGAGAGAGATGTACTCTCTCCACAGGCAGTCGCACTTAGCTGTCTGTTCTTCAAGGTCAGTGCGAAGAGCCCAGTCCCTCTTATTTAGTCAGGCCCACACAGGAGATTCTCCTTTTTGACTAATGTAAAGTCAACTGATTTGTGATCCTTCACTTTTGCTACATCATATCGCCTACTCACAGGAGTGCTATCCCATCAGTTTCACAAATCCCACCCTCACTCAGTGGAAGATCAGATAGGACAGGTAGGCTAGGGGGTTAGAATCCTAGGAGCCTGCCATAACTCAGATTTAGTTTGTGAATTAGCATATTATGGGCTCTGAGAAATCCTATAGTAAAGAAATACGGTTAACTTTGTTCCACCTATTGTTAACCAAATTCATTTGGCCCATATAAAAACGTAATTTTCACATAGCACCAATTATCATCTTTGTAGTTACTGGTTTGTGTCATCCATGTTTTGGGATATGCTGAAACAGAAAAGGCCTGCACTGTGAAGTTAGACTGTCCATGATTAAAATTCCCACACCGGACCAGGTGCGGTAGCTCATAACTGTAATCCCAGCACTTTGGGAGGCTGAGGCAGATTGTTTGAGCTCAGAAGTTCAAGACCAGCCTGGGCAACATGGCAAAACCCTGTCTCTACTAAAAATACACATGCATAAAAAAATCATAAAGAAAAAAATTTTTTTAATTTTTTAAAGGAAAAAAAATCCCCACTGTGACACTTCCAAGTGACTTCAACTTGGGCAAATTTCTTGACCTCGCATAACCTTGATAAAATGGATGTGGACTATCAGCACTCCACTTCTCAAGCTGTTACCACAATGCAATGGAAGTAATTAACACCTTGGAATATGCTTGGCACAGGTTAGAGGTCCAAAAAGATTTTTTAAAACATTTTGGCTCCCTTCTTTCCCATTTTTCACATGAAATTTTATAAACAATTACAAAAATGATACTCTATTAATGTTAGAGTGTTATAAGCTTCCTAGATAACAGACTTGAAGCTTCATAACATCCTTAAGCTAAAAAAATTACTTAAATTTAAGAGGTAGGTTGGGCATGTTGGCTCATACCTATAATCCCATCACTTTGGGAGGCCGCGACAGGTGGATTACCTGAGATCAGGAGTTCGAGACCAGCCTGGCCAACATGGCAAAACCCTGTCTCTACTAAAAATACAAAAAAAAATTAGCTGGGTGTAGTGATGCACACCTGTAGTCCCAGCTACTCAGAAGGCTAAGGCAGAAAATCACTTGAATCTGGGAGGTGGAAGTTGCAGTAAGCCGAGATCATGCCATTGCACTCCAGCCTGGGCAACAGAGCAAGACTCAGTCTCAAAAAAATTATCATCATAATAAAATAAATAAATAAATTTAAGAGGTAGAATCTTTATTTATTCTGCCCATTGTAATTAATTTATGTTTAAAACAGCATGTTTCATCCATACTACCAGCACAATGAATCCAGAAATGAATCATTGGCATATGTATGTAAAGAGTTTCAGAACCCTTCTAAACCACCAAAGCAACAAAAACATGAAGAATTTGATGTTATTGTCTAAGTTGAATTGGTTAACATTGATTGAGATGTAACAACAATGTTAACTGCCGTTCCTTTTATAATAATTCAAGCAAAGTATTATGTAAAACCTTCAGCAACATAATGTAAATCACAAGCTATTTAATGCCTTCAGAACAAGTACCAACTATTACAGAGAAATTATTTGACATTTAGGCTAACCTGCAGGGGAATGTCTGTACAGTACTGATTAAAAAGGTATAAAATGACAAAACTTGTGATTAATATTTAAACACTGTAACAATTGTGTGACCTCCTGCAAAGCATCCTTTCTCAGCCTCAGTTTGCTTATCAATAAAATGAGTATAGCACCCACATCATAGGAATATTGTAAAGATAAAATACATAAAACTTAGCGTAGTGTGCATTACTTATTAAATGCAAAGTTAATTATTATACAAATTCAAGTTACAATTTGTGTTAGTCCATTCTCACAGTGTTATAAAGAACTACCTGAGACTGGGTAATTTATGAAGAAAAGAGATTTAATTGGCTCACAGTTTCGCAGGCTGTACAGGAGGCATGGCTGGGGAGGCCTAAGGAAATTTACAATCATTGCAGAGGTGAAGGGGAAGCAAGCACGTCTTCTTACGGATGGCAGGAGAGAGAGAGAGAGAGAGAGAGACAGAGATAGAGAAGGGGAAGATGCTACACACTTTCAAACAACCAGATCACGTGAGAACTCTATCACAAGATAGCACTTGGGGGATGGTGCGAAGCCATTATAACCACCTCCATGGTCCAGTCACCTCCCACCAGGCCCTGCCTCCAACACTCAAAATCCCAATTCAACATGAGATTTGGGTGAGAACACAGAGCCAAACCACATCACAATTTGACCTCAATTTTGGTTGTATGCTGTGCTTTGAAATCCTTGAATGAAAAGTTGTTGATGAATTCTGAACAAGTCAGAAACTTTAGACTGAAGTTCATGTTGTATCTATCACTTATTAAAAGAAAAAAGTGATTGTATTATTCAATGTCATTAGGCATTAACAAAGGGAAGAAAAGTATAGAGAATATATTACTCACAAGCAAAATTCTTTCTAAATGGAATCCTTTACAATGTATCCCATGAGGCATCTGTAGGTCTTTAGGGACACAAAACAATTTATTGAAACTTCTGTGCAAATTGAAACTCATATTTGGAGCAATGCATTAAGAATGTACAGATTATTTATTCACGCTCTTCTCTGAAGGAATTGCAGATATCACTTTTATTATACAAATGCTCCTTCAGTGATTACAATCCCTTCTCTCTGACACATGGATGAGAAAGGAATAAATGCAAGTGCATAAAAAATGAAACCTGCTCTGATAGATAAATTGCATATATTCAAGAATGAGGAAAATTGTGTGTGCATGTTATCATATTAAAAAAATAAAATATATTTGGAACTCCTTGAGTTTCCTTCCTCAATAATGAGAGGCACAGAATGAGAATGTTCACTTATAGTAATCTTATCAGCACACCATCAGTGAGGCCAGAATGAATGGTAGACATTACTCTTGCAGAAACATGAATAGGATATCATTTTGATATTACTTCTGCAAACACAGCTAGCAAAGCCAATGTTCATTCTAAATTGCTGGTCAAGGTTTCACAAGAGTCACAACAAATAAAGAAAAAATCCTTGCAATTTAACCAGCTTTTACTGGGAGCTGTAATGTACCCAGTCCTTTCCTGGGCACTATCATAAATATAAGAAAAAGATGTTGACATTTTCCAGTGCTAACAGGTGAGGTTGGGTTAATTCTGTACTCCACAATTCCAAGGGAGCTAGCCTGAGAGTTTTTATAGTGTGTAAAACATAGGGTTGAGGCTGGGCATGGTCGCTCACGCCTGTAATCCCAGCACTTTGGGAGGCCAAGGCGGACAGATCACCTGAGGTCAGGAGTTGGAGACCAGCCTGGCCAACATGGTGAAACCCTGTCTCTACTAAAAATACAAAAATTAGCTGGGTGTGGTGGTGGGTGCCGGTAATCCCAGCTACTTGGGAGGCTGAGGCATGAGAATCTCTTAAACCCAGGAGGCAGAGGTTGCAGTGAGCCAAGATCACACCACTGCACTCCAGCCTGGGTGATAGAGCAAGACTGTCTCAAAAAAACCAAAAAAACAAAAATACAAAACATAGGGTTGGGATTCACTCACTTGGGGGCGCAGGGCACCTGACTTTGCCACATAAAGTGTAAACATGGGTAAATTTCTTAACTTTTCAGACTTCATTTATTCATCAAATAAGAATAAAAATACCCACCTCTTATCTTCATTATGGGGATTGAATGGATTAATGTATATAAAATATTTAACCCAATACGCTATAGACGTGCCATGGTGGTTAACGTCTGTCTTTGGCTTTCCCCCATATTAGCCTCTGAGACAGGGATTTTGGTGCAAGAAGTTTATTTGAGAAGTGATCCCAAGACACAGAGGGAGAAAAACTGAGACATGAGACAGAGAAGGAAGATAATAAAGGGTGATTTATTGAGCAGCTGACTGCTGTGGGTAACAGAACCCAACTCACTGGGGGAACTCAAAACAAAGTAGAACAGCTTTAGAATTACCCCTTCCCAGAAGCAAAGGTGCTAAGGTACTTATCTACCAACTTTCTGTTATTGGTTTAGGATTGATTCCTGGAGCATTAACCTTTCTGCACTTCTAGCCTGCCCTGCATGCTGGCCAAGCTTGCTTCCAAAGACAGAGAAATGACCTTAGGTGGAGAGAATTAAAGGGTTTTCAGTAAGCTGACTACAGAGGCAAGCACTTAGGGGATACAGACAGAGCTTCAACAGGATCTTCATGACTAAGACTTTATTTAACTTCCCCATGACTCCTTAGCCTCTAGGCTCTCACTGCTTTATGAGGCTTCTATAATTCAGGTAAAATCTTTCTAATTGTATTCTTTCCATTTGAAAATGTTAGGCCAACAGGATTTGAATGTATACCATCTGGGTTGAGTGGAGTTAGAGCTTTGAACTCGGACATACAGATTTTATAGAGAGTTGGCTTGCTAGATGATCTCAAAGAGTTCACAACTGAATTGGGGAGACTGTACACACACAAGTGAAAACATGTAAGTCAAATGCAATTTAGAAGTTTAAGGCACTAAAGTCAGCGCAATGGCATTTTCTAAGAGGTAAGACAAAGTTTCATCACTGCAAAATCTGCTGAAATTCTTAACGTTTTTCATCTAGTATCATTTGCCATTTTACTTTGAAATTTCAAGGCATCTGAATAGAGCACACTTAGTGTTGATTTGTTAAAGTGTGAGCTGTTTGGCATGATAGTAAAATGGACTAATTGTTCAGTATAGTAGAGTAAAAACGACCAAATTTTGGATACTGAATTCTTCTGGTTTATTATTTTGAAGAGAAAACAGAGAAGAAAATAGGTTATTTCCCAACTGTGGTATAAATACAGCATCAAAGCTGAAAGTAAGCATATAAAATTGGAGAAGCTTTTCTGAATATGTAAGTTGTGCTAATTAGAGTAGATAAAAATCAACTAATGAGTATCTAACTTTGTGTGCAGATCTGTGCTTAGAAAGATGGTGAAGTAAGAAAAAAAACATAGGCTTTACTGAGTTAAAAAACAGAGATCTAAGCTCTGTTTCTTATTAGCTGAGCAATTAGGTAACTTAGTTTCTCTCTCTGAAGTCTAAATGCATCTTCCCTTAAATGGGCATAATAAGACTTACCTCACAGTAGTGTGAAAAGAATATGACAGATAAATGCAACATGACATGTAAAAGTGTTAGAGGCCATCAACAGGTGAACAGACAAACAAATTGTGGTATGTCTTTACAACAGAATGCTACTCAGCAATAAAAAGGAATGAACGACTGATGCAGAAACCAACATGAATTAATCTCAAAATAAATACAACAGACAAAGGAGAGTATATACTCTAGGATTCTATTTATATAACATTTTAGAAAATACATAATAATCTATAGTGATAGAAAGTATATGAGTGATTACCTGAGGATGGAGGAATACGGAGGAGTGACAGGGCACAGGAAACTTCTGGGGTAAGCGAGATGTTCATTATCTTGATTGTGGTGCCGGCTTCATGGATGTATACATATGTCAAAATTTATCACACTGTGCACATTAAATGTGTGCCATTATTGTATGCAAATTATACTACAATAAAGCTGTTGACAAAACAGTATTAGGTGCGCAGTAAATGCAACTGTCCTTTTCTAAGTGTGTGTTTATCGGACCTTAATGCAACTTGCTTGGGGTCAACTTTGGTAAGTCCAAATCAGCTGAAGCTATACAGATTTTGTCTGCCCATCACTTCTTTCTTCTTCAAAAGAGCAACAGGATAGTCCCTCTTTTGGTAAATCTCTCCTCCCTGGCTCAAAAGCATGGTGCTTATTGGGGTTGCCAATCATAGAGACCCAACATTTTGGACACTTAGGAATAGGTGTGTGCAGGGAACACCATGCAGCCCTTTCAGATCCCCTCTACCAAATGCTGTGTGCCCAGCCCCCAACTACTTCTTCCTTTTGCTGCAAAGTTTGTATCTGCAACCTTCTTCAGAGGATTACCTTGGAGCTAACAGGGCTGCCATGCATATAGAGAGCCAGGGTTTACATCCCACTGACCAAGGCAAGCTGTAACCAATGACTGGCACAATGTTGCTTTTGCCCAGCTCCCTTGCTGTGGAAGGGGACAAATTCTGACATGTAATTTATGCTCTAAGCTCTCTGTGGCCCAAGGCTGGCACTTCATCTGAAATTGCAGCTTTGACCAGGAATTTTCTCTTCTTTATCCTGCCTTCATATACCCTTACCATTTTCTACTAAGAAAATTTCCTTAATAAAACCTCTTGTACCTGAATCTGACTTGAAACGGCATGGCAGCCACCTCTTTGGCCACTGAGATTTCCAGGAATACACCTGGGACTCCGGCTGACCTCATGAGGGTCTTTTAGATATTTTGAGACTTGAGCTAGGGCTATCTTTCCTCTTTGGTCATAATGAAGTATGGATGTGACACTGGAGCTCCTAGGTTCCCCACCTTGAGAAAAAACCTACTTTGAAAGGAATGCTAAACAGAGAAACTCACCAGAGATGAAGTGAGAAACTCCTGGTGATGGTTGGGTCCATGATGCCAGATACCTTTAACAACAGCACTCTTTTTCCTTCTGGGGTTGTTCACGCTGACCAATAAATAAAGCATGTATTTTGAGTCATACTCAAATATTTAAAAAATATTTTTCACACTTTTCAATTGTTTTTAGTAGTTTGAATTGATTTTCTTTGGAATACCAAACTCTCCCCTTGCACAGACTGATGAGATGAAATCACAGTGGGGGAATTTGGAGCCTAATTTGGAGCCTAATGAAAGAATCTTAGGTTTCTTTCATTAAAAATTATACTTTTCCACAAGACACAGACAATAACATAAAAACTCATTGTATCAAGGAAAAGCTGATCTTAATGGCACAGGCTAATGCTGATAGTATAAAAATGACTTCCTGAGAAAGTTTAGCTCACAAATGCTCTGAACCCTTACTAAATCAGATGGATAGCAGGACCATTAATGGCTTGGAGAATTTTCAAATTGAAATTTGCTATTTTGTGCAGAATATTAGAATAGTGCTTCATTGGCTTGGCTAAAATCAAACTAATGACATGAGAATTACTATTTTAATTCATTTAATGATTGCTTCATGAGTTAAAACTTTTTGCCTCCCTCTTGTTATAATTTTAAAAAATTAATCCACTCTAAAAGATGAGATATATGAAAATAAAACATTTCATGCAATAATCTTTGTTGTTTTTAGTGGTTTTTTAGTGGAGGGAGGAGATATATCTAGGATTATTAAAGGTCAAAAAGGTGAGATTGGCAATATTAAGTGTTACGGTATTTCTGCTCTAAGAACAAATATTTATAATAGTGGTTCTCAACCAGGGGAGATTTTACTCTTCCTCCCCACCCCCATGTATTAGTCCCTTTTCATACTGCTATGAAGAAATACCCAAGACTGGGTAATTTATAAAGAAAAAGAGGTTGAATGGTCTCACAGTTCCACATGGCTGGGGAGGCCTCACAATCATGGCAGAAGGCAAAAGGCACATCTTACATGGCAGCAGGCAAGAGAGTATGTGCAGGGGAACTGCTCTTTATAAAGCCATCAGATCTTGTGAGACTTACTCACTATCATGAGAATGGCATGGGAAAAACCCACCCCTATAATTCAGTAACTACCCACAACAAGTGGGGATATGGGAGCTACAATTCAAGGTGAGATTTGGGTGGGGACACACCAAAACCATATCATGCTTCTAGGGGATATTTGGCATTACAACATTTAGAAAGATACAGTATCTAGAAAGATTTTTGATTGTCACAAGTGTAAAGGAGGGGGCATTTGCTACTGCATATAATAGTAGAGGCCAGGGATGCTGCTAAATATCCCATTATGCATACGACAGCCCCCCACAACAAAGAATGGTCCAGCCCAAAAGGACAATAGTGCAGAGGGAATGAAATCCTCATTTACACCCTTGCTACCAAATCTTCCCTTTCTTTTACCTCAGAGCTGCACCTCAGAGAAACAAAAGGAACTACTCTAGACTGGAGTCTAAGGTAAAATGTCAATCCTGAAACCTCCTAGCCATGCCATCTAAGGTAAACTACTTTGCTTCTCTGTACGTTTTCCT
Source organism: Homo sapiens (assembly GCF_000001405.40). Classification (NCBI taxonomy): domain Eukaryota; kingdom Metazoa; phylum Chordata; class Mammalia; order Primates; family Hominidae; genus Homo; species Homo sapiens. The sequence goes on along the minus strand of NC_000003.12, from coordinate 67,668,308 downwards.
TCTAATTTTGTAACAGTGCAATAGCACTTACCTCTTAGAGCTATTCAGAGAACGAAATGAGGTAGACACTTCCAGGAAAACTGCTTAGCACAGTGCCTGCACATAACACAGATCCAACACAGCTTAGCCATTTGTTGTTTTTGTTACAACAAGTAGAAGTTTGGGGCAGGTATAGAAGATAAAGCAAGAGGCTGGGCTTGGTGGCTCACACCTGTAATCCTAGCACTTTGGGAGGCCAAGGTGGGTGGATCACTTGTGGTCAGGCGTTCGAGACCAGCCTGGCCAACATGGTGAAACCCTGTATCTGCTAAAAGTATAAAAATTAGCTGAGCTTGGTGCTAAGTACCTGTAATTCCAGCTACTTGGGAGGCTTTGGCAGGAGAATCACTTGAACCTGGGAGGCGGAGGTCGCAGTGAGCAGAGTTCATGTCACTGCACTCCAGCCTAGGCAACAGAGTGAGACTCTGTCTCAAAATAAATAAATAAATAAATATGAAGTAATATTTTCATTGGGCTGTTTTTATTAACCCATATTAATACTAGAGATATTTTATTGTAGCTTAAAAAATAAAACACCAGAATTTCATTCTAAAAATTACTGTATATCTTCTACCACAGACATCCTTACTCCATTCTAAAGCCTTAGCCTCACCTTTCTTTTTAATCCCAAAACCTCTTGTTCTTTCCTCATTCTCAACCTATCCCCATCTTCATCTTTTTTTTTTTTTTTTAATAACTTGAACTTGTCTTAGATTCAGGGGGTGCATGTGCATTCAGGGGTGTCTGTTCCATGGTTATATTGTGTAATGCTGAGGTTTGGGGTATGAAGGATCCCATCAACTAGGTAGTGGGCATAGTACCCAATAGGCAGTTTTTCAGTCCTTGTCCCTTTTCCTCTCTCCCCCTTTAGTAGTCCCCAGTGTCTCTTGTTTCCATCTTTATGTACACGTGTACCCAATACTTAACTCCAACTTACAAGTGAGAACGTGTGCTATTTGGCTTTCCTGTGTTAATTTGCTTAGGATAATGGTCTCCAGCTGTATTCATGTTGCTGCAAAGGAAATGATACTTTTTTATGGCTGCATAGTATTCCATGGTGTACCTGTACCACATTTTCTTTATCCAATCCACCACTGATGGACACCTAGGTTAATTCCATGTCTTTGCTATTGTGAACAGTGCTGTGATGAACTTTAGTTAACTCTTACTTTCCCCTAGCTCTCTCTGCATTCCTGAATTCCACAGGCTTTAAAGCAAAGTTTCAAGTAGGTTATAAGATCAGGCAGTATAAGGTCATGGTCTACAGGGCAAATTTTATCAACATCCTTGCCTTTGTTTCATCTTCTTCTTAAAAAAAATGTTTTTATTTTATTTGACTGCCTTTAGATAGGGCACATACATGTTATCAAGGCTCCCAGGACTCCTTATTCCCTTGTTTGGCTTACTTTATTCATTTAGGTTTCCTTGCTTTGTCTCCTGAAGGCAACTGGGTTTAGATGCTGCAGGAGGTTAGAGACGGAGGATTTGACTGTGAGAAGGACTGAGGAAGGCTACTGGAAAGAGCTAAGCACTGCAGCAGTGAGCTCAGGAAGGTGGTGGAAAGGGCGGCATTCTGGACAGTTCAAAAGCTGTGAATACCTGTGCCAAACTAGAATGTATATGGCCTTTTCTGAGGACAAAGACTATCACAGTCTGGGTAAATAAACCATCAGTGCAGGAGAGCCATTGCAGAGACAGTCAGAAACATATATTTAAACCAGAGGCTCTATAGAATGAAGCATTAGGTGGAAGAATTTGGATTTTACTTGTAGCAACAGAAAGTATTACAGTTAAAAAAAAAAAAAAGGACATGGAAGTAACAAAAGGAAAAGGATCTTTTAATTTTTTTAGAAAAATAGATTTTATTTTTTTCCTATCAATTTGTGTTCATTGTAGAAAGTCTAGAAAATAAAGGAAATGGGTCGGGTGTGGTGGCTCATGCCTGTAATCCCAGCACTTTGGGAGGTCAAGGCAGGTGGATCACGATGTCAGGAGCTCGAGAACTGCCTGACCAACATGGTGAAACCTGGTCTCTACTAAAAACACAAAAATTAGCTGGGCATGGTGGCGTGCACTTGTAATCCCAGCTATTCAGGAGGCTGAGGCAAGAGAATGGCTTGAACCTGGGAGGCAGAGGTTGCAGTGAGCTGAGATCGCGCCACTGCACTCAAGCCTGGGCAACAGAGCGAGACTCCACTTCAAAAAAAAAAAAAAAAAACAAAACAAAAAACAAAAAGAAAAGAAAGGAAAGGAAATCAAAATCACCCCACCCACCTCCTAGCCTTCAAATTATTTATAGTTAACACAAACACGCACACACATGCACACACACTTTTAAAAACAAAATTTAGAGTCATCTATAAAATTTTAGTCTATTTTAAAAATTTGATATATCAACAGTATTTTTCCAGGTTGTTAAAGTTGTTAACTATTTTTTTTAAAATATTGTGTCTGATATAATTGCAAAAGTAAGCAAAGATCTGTGTTCACTGCAACATTATTTGTAAAACCAAAAACCCACTAAATGTAAAAACAATATGAATATACTTTAATAGGAGCAACTGATGACTTCACTAATATTTATTGAGCATCTACTGTGTGCCAGGCACTGTTCTAGCCACTGGGAATGCAATAGCAAACAAAGCAGACAAATTATTTGCACTCATTGAGCTTACATGTCAAAGAGTTTATATTCTGGTGCAGGGGTTAGCAAACTTTTTCTGCAAAGGGCTGCATATTACATGTTTTTAGTTGTATGGTCTCCAGGGCGACTACTGAATGCTACCATTGCAGGTGGAAAGCAGCCATAGACAATACCATGCACTAATGAGTATGGCTGAGTTCCAATAAAACTTTATTTACAAAGATAGGCAGTAGGCTAGATATATATGTAGATACAGATTATAGATATATATATAAATAGAAAATATATGAACAGACAATATATAGATATAATAAATTATTGGACTGGAGGCTTTAAACTATTCTAGGATCTGAATATATTAATAGATTGCCAAATTATTTTAGAAGGATGTAACAATTTAATTTCCACTTCTACCAACAAGTAGAAGAGTGCTCACTGCCTCCACAATTGTACCCACATTGGGCATTTTAATTAATTTATTTAAAAATGTACAACTTTAATAGGCAGTATTATATTTTATTTTGTGTTTCTTCAATGCAATAAGTGAAGTTGGCCATTTTTTTCTTTTTATGGATCAGTTCTATTTTTTTTTCTGAATTGTTTATTCTCATCCTTTTTGTCTATCATTGTGCTTTTTAATTTTTCTTTTTATAAGAGTTTCTAGATACTTAATATTTTCATGTAAAAATTTTACTCTTTCCAACCTCAGCTAGATGAATAAAAATTTTAAAATGAAATTTTACTTTAGTCATCCTCTAGTTTTTTTCCTTGTGGCATTATGAACTTCACTCTTCTGGAAACTCTTGCGTTAACTTTGATCTGAGGTTATTTCAAATTTTTAAGGTAGAATTTCGAAAGGAAACTTGCAGAGGTTTTTAGCTTAGAGATATCTCTACAGGCAGGTTCTTCTTTGTGGTGGCTAAACTCTCTTTAGCTCATGGCCAGCCATTATCTCTGATGGAACTCTGCTAACATTCATTTTGCCTACAATATCAAGAGTTCTCCACATTATTTCAGCCCATGGTTGTAGGAACTGGGGGCCTAACTAGCTCAAAAGCCTAGGATTCTTTGCCCTGCTTTCTTTGCTGAAGTGAGCAGACCTCCTTCAGAAGCTGATCTGCCTCTTTGACTTGGCTTTCAGTCAATTTACTCCTGCCATAATCACGTTTGCTTTTCCAGGAACTTAACAAAGCTTGATATCAGAAGAGGAGAAATCATCATTTGCACCACTTCTATCTACTTCTGCTGTAAAATCTTTTTTTTTTTTTTAACCAAGTATAGGTTCTCTCTGATTTTCTTCTCTTGCTGTCTCTAATCTTTTTATATACATCAATAAAAGCCAACCAAACAAACACTTTCTGGAATGCTTGAGTCTTCTTATGTCTCCACTGAGAAAGTCCCAGGGCAGCATTTTTACAGCTACCTTGCAGGGCCCAGACTGCAAGAATGTTAGAGAATCCATGCTGTGCTAGAAATAATATGGAACACGATACAAGTTAGTAATTGAGGTGGTCAGGAAAACAGGTAGGAATGTAGTTTAGAGCTACAGTTTCAAAACTTTTTTTTTAAATAGCAGAACCTTTTTTCTAACAGTCTCAAATGCTTCTCCTCCTATTCCAGATAAAACACTAATATGAGCTAATATGGTTGGTTGTAAATGAGAGGCAATATAATCTATCCTGACCCCACATTCCCTTGATCCACCCTGGAAGTTATTTGCAGCTCAGAAGGATAGACCCAGCCTCAAGCACCTGAATCTCTTGGCCCTAAGGCTTTATCTAGGTACAGTGGCATGAAATGGCCCATAAGGGAGGCAGGCTGGAGATGAAGAAGGAGTTCAGAGCAGGTGTGAATGCCCCTAGGAGCATCCTTCAACCAAAAAGGCATGAGAGTTGGTGAATAAACATGATCAGTTCCGTGCTCCTCAATGAAACAATTATACAGTGTTTTCCATAAGTCTCTCGAAGGTTTCCAAAAAAACAAACAAACAAACAAACAGAAACCTCAAGTGCCTACAGCATATCAATGTAGTCTTTTACTAGTATTCACCTTCTCCATCTCACCTCCTCAATCCCTCTCCTGCTGTCTAGGATCACCTCTTAAATAATCTCTTTGTATCCAAATCCTTGTTTTAACAACTGCTGTGGGAGAAACCCACTTTAGAAAATGGAATGATGATGCAGAGACTGTACATCAGAATTAGATAGCCCATGTTGACCAGTATGATAGCCACTAGCCATGTGTGGCTATTCAAACTTAAGTATAAATTAAATAAAATCAAATGAAATTAAAAATTGATTTCTTCAGTTGCACCAGCCATACTTCAAATGTTCAATAGCCACATAGCATGATAATGTACAGCACAGATATAGAACATTTTCCTCATTGCAGGAAGTTCTATTGGACAATTCTGGCCTAGAATCAATTCCAGATTGGTTGGAATTGGCCTTCTCCTATTCTTTACATCAGGCCACTTACTCTCTGCTTTAAGACTCAGTTTGTACGTCTGCAAAATAAGTCGGTAGTGAGGATTAAGATAATTTCTGTAAAGCATTTAGAAAGCACCTAAGTGTTCAATAAAAGCAGGGAGAAGGAGAGAGTGAGATGGAGTTCTATGGTGTCCAAGGACTCTGAGGAACTGTACATAAAAACCACTAGTGTAGTGCATCACACAGGGCAGGTTATTTCCCTTCATGGGCCTCCACTTCCTTTCTCACTGGGGACTACTGGCAGATTTCCAGACACTCATGAATCTTTGCATCTTCTTATTAGGGAGATTTTTGCACCAGCTTCATCTTTATTTATTTACCCATCCAGTCAATAGCAGTTGGGCACCTCCTGTCTTCCAGGCACTGTACTGTGGGCAGAATAATAACACTGCAAGAACACGGTCCCTGTCATTGCAGATTTTAAAATCCTGAAGGATGAAGCAGACAAGTAGCAAATGCAGTAACAAACCTCTAATAACCACTGAGATACCCCTAGCTCCCGCTTCAGGGAAGCTTCCTGAAGGGGGTGACTGAAACTCAAAGGATGAGAGAAACTCATGCTGGTGAACAACAGGGAAGGGTGTTTCAGATAGAGGGAAGAGCATAGAGGCATCTTTTGGAGCCTCAGTCCATACTTCTTGCTGGCATGTAGTAAATTAGGTTTTAGAGGGGCTGGGGAAAGTTTGAAGAGGATGGTAGAAGTAGGGGAAGAAAGGGAAGAGAAAATGTGAAAGGTGGGAATGGGATAGCTGCTGATATTCCCTCTAGCTATGCCAAAGTGCTACCTTTGATGCACTGCAACCTCTGCCTCCTGGATTCAAGTGATTCTCCTGCCCCTGCCTCCCAAGTAGCTGGGATTACAGGTGCCTGCCACCATGCCTGGCTAATTTTTGTATTTTCAGTAGAGACGGGATTTCACCATGTTGGCCAGGCAGGTCTTGAACTCCTGACCTCAAGTGATCTGCCAGTGACGGCCTCCCAAAGTGCTGGGATTACAGGCTTGAGCCACCGCGCCCGGCTGATGTTGGTGTTTCTCCAACCATGAAGCATGAACCACCTACAACAAAGACAGTGGAGTAGGGGCATTATTTATAAGAATGCAGATCCTCAAGCCCCAAGACAGACCTACTGAATCAGAACTTCTGGAGAGGATGGCCCAAAGGAATTCTGTTACACACCTAAGCTAAGAACCATGGCCTGTGGCTGGGCACAGTGGCTCTTGCCTGTAATCCCATAGCTTTGGGAGGCTGAGGAGGGAGAATAGCTTGAGTCCAGGAGTTTAAGACCAGCCTGGGCAACATAGTGAGCCCATCTGTATAAAAATATATATTTTTTAATTAGCCGGGTGTGGTGGCACATATATATAGTCCCAGCTACTCTGGAAGCTGAGGTGGGAGGATTGCATGAGCCCAAGAATTCAAAGCTGCAGTGAGCTATGATCATGCCACTGCACTCCAGCCTGGGTGACAGAGCAAGACTCAATCTCAAAAAATAAAAAAGAGAAGAAGAAAAAGAACCACTGCTGTGGCTGCTCACTTTATAATGAGGCAGGACATTTGTAAAAGAATGTTCCTTTAATTTTTACTTTACTGTTTAAAAGAAGCTATCTTAATAATATTGAAGGTGCTGAACTCCGCAGGTTCCAATTGCAATAAGAATTTAGGTTTTGTTTCTAACTTCTTTTCCACAGTCAATCTAATGCTACTTTTCTCTTTCGGTTCAAGAACCTCCACAGTCCTTTGTGTAAATGTTCTTTCCTCAGCTTTTACCATCTTCTTCATCCAGCTCCAAACTTCCTGCCAAAAGAATGTCATCACCCTTGTTTCCACCATTTCATCTTGTTCTCTGTTTTTAGTCTCTTCCACTGACCTTGTCTCCAGCTGGGCCTTCCCTAAGTTAATGATGTTCCTTACTCTTCCTCCTTTCTTATCTTAACTTTGAGCTGTCACCACTGCTCTAAACTTGCTTCCTGTGAATTCTCTCCAGGATGCAGTGAGAATTTCTCTTGAGCACACTTCAGTGTTGGCAAAGGAGACAGTTTTTGTCATAAATCCCTTTTCTTCTAGGCACCTTACATAGTCGTCCCTCACTGTCCATGGAGGACTGATTCCAGGAATTCCCATGGATAATAAAATTCATGGATGCTCAAATCTCTGATATAAAATGACATAATATTTCCATATAACCTATGCACATCTTCCTGTATACTTTAAGTCATTTTTAGATTACTTGTAATACCAAATACAATGTAAATGCTATGAAAATAGTTGCTACACTGTATTTTTTACTTGTATCATTTTTTATTATTGTTATTTTTTATTTTTTCCCCAGAATATTTTCAATCTGCAGTTGGTTGAATCATAGATGTGGAACCCACAGATACAGAGGACCGTCATTTAAATAAAGCTGCTGAGAAATACCATCAAAATTAATCATTTTAACGCATTATTGAAGAGGGAAAAATAACTTGAGCACAATGACCATTCTTTCTGTGCCACTGGCAAACAATACAACTGAATCACTGGTTAAAATGGCTATCACAAATAGCAACAGTGATATTACCTATGCATACAATGAAAGACCAAAAAGTTTAGTCTCCTGTAAATTCCAGAAATCTGTTATCCATTAAAAAATTAACCAGATGAAATCCACAGATGCCCTTTATTTCATCATTGTAATAGTGATTTTCATTCTTGACATGCAGCAGTATGAACTCAAATATGTAATTCATGAAAATTAGGGTTGTTTCTTAAAATATTCTATTCAGCTCTGCTGGTTACAATTAGTATTTGTCAAACAGTTTTTATGCTCAAGTGAAAAGGTAATGATAAAACACCACCAGAACTGCTAGATGCAGTATCCCTTTGCTGGGTTTCATGATATGTCTCTCTGGTAAATCTGCGCCCCTAGAGTAATCAGTGCGAATATGAAAATGAGCACATTATTTCACTGTTAACAGGCACTGCTAAGATGAAAGCGAAGGCATATAGGCCTGCTGATGTTTTTATTTTTCTTTTTGCAACAATTAACTGAATAAGAAACAGTATAGCCAAGGTGCTAGAAATACAAAGCTTAATCGTAGAGTTTTACAACTTCATATTTCAAATGCATGCAGTTTATGAGAAGTGTTACACTGTCAACTCACAGCTCAAATAAGATGTCATACTTGACCTTCATTTTACTAATAGGAAAACTGAGGTTCACAGATGTAAATACTAAAGAAATAAACACACGAAAAAGAGTTCTTAGTCAAATAATGAAGGTATGGTAGGTAACAGCCACTGGGATCTCAAGTGTTTGAGGATGCATCTCATTGGCAAAATAGGTACTATCATAATCCCCTTTCCACAGATCAAGGAATTGAGATTGTTAAGTAACTGGTCCAGGGTCATGGAGCTTTTAAATCACAGAGTCAACACTTGCAATGTCTACCTCTGTGCTTCAGTCTGATATCAGAGTGCAGAATGCTTTCAATAGTGCTATTGCCTATGGCCATAGTTACTGTTCAAGCAGTTCACAATTGCCATTTTGACACAGCAAAAGCGTAGAATAGCTGTTCATTCACCTTAAGCCAATGCTTCTACATGTCGCAGCCGATTTAGACCACGGGTAGAAAATGGGTCTGGTACCAGGTGTCAAGGCTCTCTGAAAGCACCAGTCATCATCTCCATCTATGATTTATCAACTTTTTGTCCTATATTTAGGAACCAAATGGGGGATAGCAGAGTAACTCGTCTTTGGATTCACCAGGAAACATCTTCAGAGTTCACCACTATGGTTTGCTTTGTTTGCTTTTTTAGTTCTCAAACTAAAGAACACTTTGGAAAGATTATTTAAAATGCAGGTCCCAGTCTCCATCCTAAGTGATTCTGATTTCATGAGTATGAGGTGGAGACCAGGAATCTGAATATTTGAAACTCTAAAACAAAATGTAATGGTTCCTTGACCACTACTCTCTATCCTCTTCTTGGAGGCAACCACTTTAGACTCTTAATACTTTTGTCTGGCATTTGTACATCTCTGTAATTCTCCAGTGCTATCAAGATAAATTACAAAGTGTCAGGGGTCTCCTAACCTACATCTCAGATTGGCCCTAGTGTTTCACATTTGATATCAAGCAAATATTTGTTATGGACCCACTAGAGGAAGAAAAAGAACATCTATGAAGTCTTTACTATGTGCAAGGTCTTTACATGCAACATCTGATCATTGACTACTTACTACTACCCTATGAACCAGGTATTTTCCTAGTCACAGGTGTTCAAGGGGGTGGAGGTCAGATTTGAATCCAATCCAGTTTGGCTGAAAACTTAATGCTTGTTCCAGGAAAGCACAGTGCAGAACTCTGGTAGAATCTAGATTCCCTGTTCTCAAAGAGATTCCTATTTGGGGGAGGTTGGAGGGTGGAAGCGGGGAGTATGAAATAGGGAGAAATCTTACGAGGAACTCTATAATGCAATTCATTCCACATATGTTTATTGATTACTTTTTCTAATCAAAGTCCAGTGCTAGACACTGGAGGTGCTACATAAATGGTTCTCTTTCTTCCTTCTGTCCCTTCTCCCCTACCACCTTCCTGCAGAGAAGGCAGAATGAGATAATACGAGTAAAGACACTGAGGAATTGCTGATGAAAGATTTGGACCCCAGAACCAAGGATGAGACAGTCTTCCAATTCAGACAGGAAAACTCTTAGGAGGCTGCTAACCCTGGAAAGACCCCAAGTTACGCACCAGTAGATAGTAAACAAATCAAAGAATACCAAATGTACTTGGATGACAATCAGAAAGCCTCTCCCGACTCCACTTTCAAAAATCCCCCCATAATAGAATAATCGCATCTTAAAAGAACACTCATCAATCAAAGACAGTCTTAAGAGTCTCTCCTTTATCTCTATAAAACTAACACTTCTTTCAAACGACTTCTAGTCTCATTTGGAAGGAAAGTGATAGTAGCCAACTCCCTTAGCATAGTAACGTCTGAATAAACAGCCTTTGATTAATTCTATAGGTGGTCTTCCTCCTTTTGGCAAAATGTTCACAAGCTCTCACCAAGTTTAAACGTTCACTCTCAAACATTAGCAAGTCTTTGCTCTATCCCGGCGGACCCAGTAGGGGTAATGATGAACAATATGGAAACTCAAATCCAGTTTTGTCAAGAGGAGGGTGCTAAGAGTGATTGGAGTCCAGCTTTGGGAAATTTGATCCCAAGCTGTGTCACCCTTGGCAAGTTACTTGACCTTAGAGTCATGTAAATGTCATGTGGAACTCTGTGGCCAAGTTTCTCTCTGGCAAAATGGGAATAATAGTAGGACCCCATTTGCAGGGCTCCTGTGAAGATTAAATGACTGAAAACAGAGGCAGCAGAGTGTATGTATCAGGAAAGAGCATCGGTTTGCCATTTAATAAAAAAGAATCCATGAGTCCACAGTGATACAAGTGAATAAAACAATTCACCGACGAATAGTGTTACAGTGAACTAAATATGGCCTAAGGAGGACTCGGTACTTCTATATTTGAGTCCTTGTGGACGAACTGCAACCTAGCTTAATAGGTAGACAAGATTGAAAACCTAACTTAGAAGTATGGACCTAAAACAACAGCTAAGTCTTGGCAATCCCAGTGGCCATATTTTAACCATTTATACATTGCTGAGTGTTCAAACTGTGTAAGGCAAATGCCAAGCTGTAACCAATCCAGCTGTTCTGTACCTCACTTCTGATTTCTGTAAGTCATTTCCCTTTTTTCCTCTATAAATCTTCTTCCACCACGTGGCTGCGCTGGAGTCTCTGTGAATCCACTGTGATTCTGGGAGCTGCCCGATTGGCGAACCGTTCATTGCTCAATTAAACTCCTTTACATTTAATTTAGCTGAAGTTTTTCTTTCATCAATGGAGATGATGGAAAGAGTGCAGTTTTTCTGAGTAGAATACAGACTAATAAATGTAGGATGGAGTTAGACCTTGCCACTTTGCCACCATCGTGACAATAATTGATTTAAACAATCATCATCATCCTTATCATCAAAAGATGCTACATCTAGTGGGTAAAACTATGTCTCGAAATGGGCTAGAAATTATATTAAAATAAAAATCCTCAGCTCCCCCACTTTCCAAAGAGAGAGATTAGGAAAGAAGCTAGTAGCAACAGCTGTCTACTTATGTCACATTGTACCTTTTTTCATGATCATATGCTCAAGAATGAGTAAGGTTAAAAAAAAAAATCTAAAATAGTGCTTAATTTGGGGGTGGGTGGAAGGGATGTGAATCTCATCTCTTATCAGACCTGCCACCTCTGGCAAGTTACTTAACCTCTGTGCACCTCAGTTTTCTCTTCTGCAAAATGGGGATTGTACACTTCTACTCATTTAAAACTTTGCTATGAAGACTAAACAAGTTTATATTTGTCTAATGCTTGGCACACATTCAGTAACTTTGCTGTTGTTTTTATTATATGCACATTGCTTAGACTCGCGTAAACTCTGTGAAAGGGAAATAATCTTGGGACTCCCAAATCACTAAGGTAAAGGGAAAAGTTAAGGTGGGAACTGCTTAGGGCAAACCTGCCTCCCATTCTATTCAAAGTCATCCCTCTGCTCACAGAGATAGACGCACAGCTGATTGCTTCCTTTGGAAAGGCCAATCAGAAACCCAAAAGAATGCAACCCTTTGTGTCTTATCTACCCATAACCTAGAAGCCCCTCCTTGCTTCCAGTTGTCTCGCTTTTCTGGACCAAACCAATGTACATTTTACATATATTGATGTCTCATATCTCCCTAAAATGTATAAAACCAAGCTGTGTCCTCCACCACACCTTGGGCACATGTCAGGACCTCCTGAGGCTGTGTCACAGGCACGTGTCCTTAACTGTGGCCAAATAAACTTCTTAAATTGATTGAGACCTGTGTCAGGTATTTGGGGTTCACAGCTCCAAATGAATGTTGCTTTTATCACTCTGATTACTGGGCTTAAAATCCTCCAATAGCTTTGTGTCCGGAATTGGTTCCTTCCCGTGGGTTCTTAATCGTCTCGCTGACTTCCAGAATGAAACTGCAGACCCTCGCGGTAAAGATGGCGTGACCAGAATTTGTTCCTGCAGATGTTCAAATGTATCTGGGGTTTCTTCCTTCCGGTGGGTTCGTGGTCTCGCTGACTTCAGGAGTGAAGCCGCAGACTTCACAGTGAGTGTTACAGCTCTTAAAGGTGGCCCGTCCGGAGTTGTTTGTTCCTGCCTGTGGGTTCGTGGTCTCGCTGACTTCACGAATGAAGCTGCAGACCTTTGCAGTGAGTGTTACAGCCCTCGAAGGTGGGGCATACGGAGTTGTTCATTCCTCCCAGTGGGTTCGCAGTCTCCCTGACCTCAGGAGTGAAACTGCAAACCTTTGTGGTGAGTGTTATAGCTCATAAGGATAGTGCGGACCCAAACAGTGAACAGCAGCAAGAGCTACTGCAAAAAGCAAAAGCACAAAGCAACCACAACCTGGAAGGAGACCCCAACTAGGGGCCACTACTGGCGCCGGTGTCCAGCTTTTATTCCCTTATTTGGCCCCACCCTCATCCTGCTGATTGGTCCATTTTACAGAGTGCCAATTGGTCCATTTTACAGAGTGCTGATTGGTCCCTTTTTAAAGAGTGCTGATTGGTGCATTTACAAACGTTTAGCTAGACACAGAGCGCTGATTGGTGCGTTTTTACAGAGTGCCGATTGGTGTGTTTACAAACCTTTAGCCAGACACAGAGCACTGATTGGTGCATTTACAATCCTTTAGCTAACAGAAAAGTTCTCCAAGTCCCCACCTGATTAGCTAGACACAGAGGGCTGGCTGGTGTATTTACAAACCTTTAGCTAGACACAGAGCGCTGATTGGTGCATTTACAATCATTTAGCTAGACAGAGAAGTTCTCCAAGTCCCCAACCGACCCACCCGGCTTCATCTCTCAGCTTTACATTGATTTTAGGTTAAGGATAGAACAAAACAAAACACCCACAACTCCTTAAGGGATGGAGAGCCTCCAATGGCCTCTCCTTGACTCACCTGAAGCCCTGGGCTGCAGGAACCTCACCTGTCTCTATTCGTTAAAGTCTCAGCTCAAACACCACTGTCCCAGATAGGCCTCGTGACCGCAGGACTAGACCACGGTTCTCTGCGGAGGGCGTCAGCTCCGTGAGCCACCCTTCCAGCACCCACTGCCATGGCGAATATTTGCTTGTTTGGCCATCCAGGGACTGTTTGAGCCCCAAGACCGCAGGGCTCGGGGTCTGTCTTTGCTCAGGACGATAACCTGGGGACTGGACAGTAGGCCCTCAGGCCTTGGGACCGCTCAAAGTGAACCGGGGCCGGGTGGGGGACCCAGGGCTCTGCAGCCTTAAGAACGCCTGTGCCCCCGGGACGCAGGGGTCAGGCCCGGCCCGGCCCAGACCGCCTCTGCCTCCTCCTCCTTTTCCTCCCCGCGCCCGCTTCTCCTCTGACCCCTCCTCCCGCTGCTCCTCCTCCGCCTCCTTCCCCTGCCCGCGCCCGCCCTACTGCCCCGTGCCGAGTTTCCTGTTTAAGATGGCGTCCCCCGTAGCAGCGCAGGCCGGGAAGCTTCTGCGAGCCCTAGCGCTGCGGCCCCGCTTCCTGGCGGCCGGGTCCCAGGTGAGCGTGGGGGCAGGAGCTGCGGGCGCCAGCAGCGGCGCCGGCCTGCCCGGGCTTCCCTCGCCCCCTGCTACTCTTGGTCTCCGCCTGACCCCCTGCGCGGCCCCTCGGGCGCCCCACTTCGGGAGGTGACGCGGCGCCGGGTCCAGGCGCAGCAGGGAACCCCGCTCCAGTGTGGGGCAGGGGCGGCGCGGCGGCAGCCCCGGGTGCCTCGGGGTATGAGCGACCCAACGCACTAGAGTCTCCGCTGTCTGCCCGCGCAGACTCATGGCGAAGGCGCTGAAGCAGGCGCTGGACGCAAGTTTAAGAAAAGTTTCTTGGACCGGGTTTTGGAGCCCTGAGGTTTTATTGTCAGCTCTACTAATTCTGCTTTTCAAACTTCTGGCACTAACCCTGAGCACGTTTAGACCACGTGATAAACATGCCTGGAAACCCGTTTCAGCCCAACTAGGAACTCACCCCCTAGGGTGAACTTCCTGCAGGCTACCTGCTTTTGCAGACTTTTAATGTGCCTGAGTTGGTCAAATCCGTGGGTCAAGGAGAAAAATGGGAAACGATCTTTCTCCTCTTTCCAATGAAAAATCAGGGCTGTCACTAAAACGCATTAGACCATTGACCCTGTCCATGTCCTCCTTGTTGATGGAGAATGAAATCAAAGAGGGTCAGTGGTGGGCTGGATAGCGATTGGAACTTGGCCTCTAGCAGATTTTTACCTTCTGCAGATGGCAAGCGTTAAAATAGTCAGAAGGACTTCAGGAAAGTTTTGAGTTGGTGATGACTCTTGTAGAAATCACTCAACCACTGAACTGGTTAGTCTCCGTAGACTATCTCTCTTCCCTTTTAAAGAAAGCACAGTCTGGGATTCAGCCACAGCAGAGTTAATGACCTTGCCTATTTCCCCATTTTTAATTGATGAGAGGCAAATTATCACTCATACAATTTTAACCAGGATGTGCATAGTATAGTTTTTTAGAAAATTTAAAAAATAGTGATTAATGATTTTTTGAGTTCCTCTAAACTTTGGTTATGACATCTGTGAGCTATTTTTACCCCTCTCCTTTCATTTCCTGCCTCCCCATTTCTCTGTTATTGTTAATGTAAATTTAAAAGGTGCTAATACTTACTACTGTAATATTCTTAATAGGTGCTTGACAGTATAGTGAGGTAGCAAAAGGAATGGCAGTTTTGTCTAATTAAAACTCACTAATAACTGTTGTAATAGAGTAAGGAGAATAGCTCTAGGAGATGAAGTCCTATTCATTATTTAAGTGTTAGAAAAAACAAGAACTAGGGTGCTTACCATGAGTGTAGACTTGAATTGATGAGAAACATGGGGCCCAGGGCAGTGAAAACTCATGAATTGTACAGAGAAACTGAAAATGCAGAGTGTTTAGCTGAAATATGTGAAGCCTACTTCCCTAACCAAGAAATAAGAGGCTGAACGCAACACAGGAGAAAATCTGGTTGGGGAGAGATACTCTTGGTTTGTCAAGAAAACTGGGTAAAAAGATCTGTTAGCACGCCCCATCTGGTTACTGTGATTTACATATTTGTGGATGATGTGTTTTTCTGTAAATTCTTAGAAGGTAAAAGTAGGTTTTTTTAAAGATAGAAAGGTACACAGTGTCCAAGAACTGGAAATGGACATTAGCAATCATTTAGTCCAGCCAGCTCATTTCATGGGTAGAGAAATTGAGGCCTAAAGAAGTTCAATGACATATTCAACGATACAGTGAGAGTTTGTGGCATTCCAGAGTAAAGGCTTACCTTTACGTTTCCGTTACACCATGCTGTTTCCTGGTGAGTATATACTTCCTCATGAAAATATATTATATCAACATGCAAATTAATCTGCATGCCAGTAGTAACTATATAACATCCAAGTCATTAGCACCACTGACACATTTTTATTTTTTTCTTTATGACCATCTTAGAATTGTCCATAAAAATGGTGAGTATTGCTATTTTCAAATTCTTGGGTGCTTCCTATGATCTGTTTCATGTACACTGATTTGATATTACGTTTCCATAGTCCCTTGCCCGTGGCAGACATTGCAGTTAAACATGGCCCACTTCTCTCATCATACTTAAGAATCCTCACCAAGTGTCTCAGAAATCTGTTGCCACTCTTGGCCCAGACCTATTTTATACCACCAGGCCTTGTGAAAAACTGTTGTCTGTACAGAAATAAAAGACCCAGTTTCTGCTTAGAGAAATAACTTTAACTGGTCTCTCAAAGATACCCATAGAATGACATTTTGTCTACCTCCTCCCTATGGTTAAATTTAACATTTGACACATATTCCTGATGCTTAGTGTCATTGAAGTTTTTTTTTTTTTTTCACCTTTGCTGTTAGCTTTACTGTTTTGACTTTTGATTGATAGTACGTCCTTAAAGGGTCCACTTTAGTCATTTCTTATTTTTCATATAGTTTTTATTCAGCCCATACCATTTGGCAGGACTGTTGTAGGCCCTGGGGTTTGGGGATGGTGAATGAGGCAGGCAGAGTCTTTGGCCACGTGATACTTTATTTTAATGGAGGTGGGAGAGAGTGAGCCAGTACACATATAACCAATAATGAAAATGATTTCAGCCAATGACAGATTCTGTGAAGAAAATCAGTCAGGGTCATGGGATGGAGAATGGATTGCTTCACAGCAGGGTAGTTTAGACTGGATGATCAGAGGAGACCTATTTGATATGGTGTGTTTTTGATTGGCATAATTTTTTAAACTGAAATATAAGACATACTGAAAAATGAACAATTACAAATGAACAACTTGATGAATTTTCATAAACTGAATGCAAACCCAGCTAACTAGGTACAGATGAAGAAAACGATCATTTAACAACAACCCAGAGGCCCCCTGGTGCTCCTGCCTGTCACTACCTCCACCCTACAAAGGGTCACCAGTCCCCTGACTTATAACGCTGGTTTTGTTCAGTTTTGTACTTTAGGTGAAATTATATGTAGGCATACACATACTTCACATTGCTCAGCATTATATGTAAGTGATCCTGGAGATGGCCTTTTTGACATATGAGCTGAGACCTGAGCGATGAAAGGTAGCCAGCTAGGTGAGACTAAGGGGAAGAGTGTGTTAGGCAGAGCAGACAGCAAGTGCAAAGACTGAGATGAGAATGAGCTGGGCATGTCTAGGTAATTAGAGGGGGAAAGTGGTAGTAGACTAGGTCTGAGAGGAAGACAAGGGCCAAATCATGTGGAGACCTGCAGGGTCTGCTAAGGAGGTTTCAGGGGTTTAAACCATACAGAGGCTGAATCCCAGTCCTGGCAGCCAAAGCACAGGCATGTAATTAATGTACTGTACACGCCCCCTGTTATAAATCTAAGTTAGGCTGGCTTTGAAACTTTTAGCAGAGTGGTGTTCAGTGAATTTAGCAGTAAGGGTCTAACCATGGTTAGAAGTCTTTCCAAAGACCTAAATCCTGGTAGACAGGGGCCATGTTGCTGTGTCCATATAGCCAAGTGAAAAGTGTGTGCAGTACTTGGTGGTGTAATATAGCCAGGCACTGCCATGGTGGGCAAGATATGAGTACATACTGCCAGTCAAGTCTTAGGGGAAATGTTGGCTGAGGGCACTGAGTTTGAAATGGTTCTTAAGTCTAAGCACAGTTTTGTTGTCTCTTAGGGTATTTCCCCTCTCTTTGGCTAGTGGAAGTTCATGGAGCTCTCTTGTAGGAGAAGCACTGCCTTTCAGGTCTCCAATTTTATTTTACTTTTTTTTTGAAAGAGAGTCTCACTCTCACCCAGGCTGGAGTGCGGTGGCCTGATCTTGGCTCACTACAACCTCCTCCTCCTGGGTACAAGCGATTCTCCTGCCTCGGCTTCCTGAGTAGCTGGTACCACAGATGCACGCCACCATGCCTGGCTGATTTTTGTATTTTTAGTAGAGATGGGGTTTCGCCATGTTGGTCAGGTTTGTCTCAAACTCCTGACCTCAAGTGATCTGCCCCCTTCAGCCTCCCAAAGTGTTGGGATTACAGATGTGGGCCACTGTGCCTGGCCAGGCCTCCTATTTTAGAATCCTTGTTGTATGTTTTCTGTGCAGCCCAGAGCTTCTGTCCAGGGACTTACAGAGGAATGTATGTTGTCAAAGAAACTGCTTAAACCCATGCCCCTGCTGTTGTATACTCAGAAAGAATGGCTCCAGCCTAATTTTCTGCCTTTACGGAAGTGGGAGGAGAAAGATGAATGCATGACTTTTGTAAGTGAAGGACTAAAGGTTATGGGCAAGTTCTTATCAGCTAAATGAGGCTGTGGCGGCTGCATTGGAAGTTGTGACTTACCTGTATCTCCCTCTTGCCTAGGAGAATAAATATTTGACTTTTTTCTTTTTTTAAAATGAAGTACAGCTGCAATTTCTGCTTTTAGAAAAGGGAATCCATCTCAAATAATTTAGATGCTAAACTATTGACCTTCCTTGTGGGGAAGACCGTTAAGTGATAGCTTTGTCCTAAATTGGTTTTGTTTGCTGTAAATAAGGCATTTCTTTTATGGGTGAGTGATTGAGTGCACAGACCCACAGTAGTGAGAACATTCCTGCCCTCGTACCCTGGTCTAGTTCTGCAGGCGCAAAGCCCAGAAAGTCACTGAAATATGGCATATTTGGGGGAGGAAAAGAAATTACATAAGTAACCTCAGATCATTTGTCCTTCAGCTGTCTTTACCACTCAATCTGCAATTGTCACTTGATGCATCACTTTCTGTTACTTGATGGAAAAGTTTTACTGAAGAACTTGAGAGATTTGGAAATATTTGAACAAATGATAATATCAGTACACTAATGAAATTTGGAGATTAATCTTGAGAGTTTGTGAGGAAGGTGGAGGTGATGAAGAAGGCAGTCCAGGTGAATTCATGCAGAGGCAGAGGTGAGAGAACAGGGGGAGAGTAGTTGTAGTGAGCAGTTTAGTATGGAGAAGGGAGAGGTGGATAGCAGAAGTTGAGGGACAATGGCACTTTTGGGTATACAAAGAAGTCTAAATGGGGCTTCAGAAAGCCCAGAATTCAGCAGGGAATAAAATTAACCCCCACAACTGAAAAATCAAACAAATATCATTTATGTAGCAAATATTTTCTGAATGCTTATTACAGCTCATTCTTTATAGAATGTTGGGCAGATAAATATGACTGAGTGAATGCAGACAGGAATAAGAAACACAGCTCCTACCTTCAGAGGGCACAGAGGTACAACTGGCCTATAAACCTGTAGTTATACTAAAACATAGTGGGTACTGCAATTGAGCTGTGTTCTTAGCCTTCTAAGATACTGTTGGCCTCTGTCAACCACTTACCCTGTGTCTGCAGAACTATTCCCTCTGATCATTCATTGCCTGATCTCTGTCTTCATCAGCTTTCTGATTCAACGTTGATTCTTCAGATAGGCTTTTTCCTAATTACCTTACCCAGCCCTGCCTTTCCAGGGATTATTCTCTGTACCCTTATCTGCTTTGTTCTTTATAACACTTGACTGTACCTGGTAGTGTTATTTGTTCATTGGCCGTCTTCCCCGCTCTCCTACAAGTTTAAGAATGTAAGCTCCACAAAGGCAAAGTGATACAGCTTAATGTAACAGCGTGAGTGATTCCCCAGCTGGCCGGAGTTGGTATTCAGTAAGCATTTGTGGTCTCAGTCAATGAGTAGGGTGCACAGAGAAGGGAGAGGGAGGTAAGGAACAGGAGAAGTTGAGGGATGATGTGGCTCATTTCAGCAAATGAGGAAGAAGGAAGGGGCTATAGAAATCCTAGTTGTGAAAGGGTCCTCATAATCATAGAACTGTTCCTTGGGCATGTAGTATATAACAAGGCTGCGTGAAGTAATCTCCACACATTATTTCTTTAACCCTTACAACATCACTGCAGGGGAGATTTCACAGTCTCCATGTTTTATAGAAGCAGTCAGAGGCATAGAGAGGCCCTATAGTCATTTGCTTAAAATCACAGTGCCAGGGAGTCACCCGCCTCATGCTGATAAAGGACTTATGCTGTTAAATTATTAAGCTCTGTCACTGAAAGATCCTAGTTGGGCTGAACTAGGCAGTTAAACTGATTGCTTACCTTTCCCCATCTTTTTGCCCTTGAGTGACACTCGCCTTTGGTCATTTGGACTTGTGCTGATGAAGGTGTGCTGATCAACTTGGCATGGTTGCCCTTTCTGGACTCTTATCCACCTTCCTCTCTCTCTGGCTTCAGGGTCTTGTCAACAGAGTAGTAGGGAGATTAAAGACACGAAGTCTGGGTTCAAATTCAACGGAGTTCAAATTCTTATGGGATCTCCCATGTTCTTTCTCTGCAACCTGGAGCAAATTATTGAACCTGACTGAGCCTCAATTTACTGTTACTTGAAAAGGGGATCATTTGCACAGATAGTTACAAAGATTAAATAAGATGATATTTAAGACATTTGGCATATGACCCGATGGTGGGCCCAGGATGATTATTTCTCTTGCACTGAATTTGAAGCTAAATTCGCTGGTCTTTTTAAAAGGCTTTATTGAGCTAGAATAATTTTGCTTTCCCAGATTCAGTAAGCATTTATCATGTGCTGCCATCTCAGGATTAGTCACTGGCTTGGTGCTTCCATACATTTTATTTCACTTCATCCTTGCAGTAGCCATGTGAAATAGGAGTTATTGTTCCCAGCTTACTTCTGGGGAATCTGAGGCTCAGAGGGGTGAAGATCTGCCTCCCGGGCTCTGATTATCTTCAGGATTCCACAGTTGGGATGAATGTCTGGTGAGGCCTGAGGTGGCAGTGGGGAGGAGCTCATGGGGAGCTTAATTGTACCATCCTGGTTATTACTCATTTCACAAACATTTACATGTCTCAGTGTTGACTTAGTAGTGACGACTGCTGGACCTCGTGCATCAAAGATTTGAGGTGAGGGAACACTTAAAGAATTGGCAGTAGCCACAGCATGAACCAACGGCCAACTGGACATGACTTTCACTGTGTGCTTAGCACAAACTACTGCCCTCAGCGTTTCAAGAATGCTGGAGAAATTGTGAAATGTCATTGCCTTTGCAGAGTGGGCTTTGGGGGATGGTGTTGGAGGATGGAGTTTCCTGGTATTCTGGGTTCAGACTTTGACCAGTGTACTGAGTATGGTCAGCTTTTACCCTTTCTAGAAATGATTCCAAAAGAATAGGACTTAGGCAGTAGCCATAAATGCATAGATTTCTAACATTTACCTTTGAATTTTATTTTTATTTTAAAATTCGAGGGATTTGACATAATATATGAATTGTTAATGGAGACATGGCAAAGCACAAGGCATGGTTTGTGTAAGTTTGGGTCCTGTGGGTTGGAGTGGGGGGACTAGCATCTTTTTTCTGCTCCCATCCATTTCTCCCTGTGCTTGCTGTATTTCCATTTGTGGGCTGTCTTAGTCCCAGAGTTGTGACTTGAGAGCCCTAAGGAGGTTCAGGAGGGCTGCCTTGTAGAGTTTACGGTGAGAAATGAGGCCAGAGACAAGAGCAAGGACAAGATCGCTGATCCTGGTAGGCCTGGTAATGAAGCTAAGCTTGTTCTTGAGGAGGGCAATAGGGAGCCATTGAAGGGTTTTAGACAGTGAAGTGGCAAGGGCAGTTTAATGCGTAGAGTACTCTTTCTGGATATAGTGTGGAGAGGGTTGGAGAAATGCAAGAATGGAGATCATTTGGGCGACTTTGGCATCGATTCAATGCTGTGAGTCATTATGCCAGGATACTAGACGTACACCGTGAGTGGAATCAGACTGCCCGGGTTTAACTCTTGCCTTCAGCACTCCATAGCTTTGTGATCTTGTGACAATTACTTATATTTCTTTGTAAGATACCTTTTTTTTTTCTTTTTCACATTTCAGTGTCTCTGAAAGCTGAATTTATTTATTTTTATTTATATTTTTTCAGACAGAGTCTCACTCTCTTGCCCAGGCTTGAGTGCAGTGGTGAGATCTTGGCTCACTGCACCCTCCATCTTCCAGGTTCAAGTGATTCTCCTGACTCAGCCTCCCAAGTAGCTGGAATTACAGGTGTACACCACCACACCTAGCTAATTTTTGTATTTTTAGTAGAGATGGAGTTTCACCATGTTGGCCAGGCTTGTCTTCAACTCCTGACCTCAGGTGGTCCACCCACCTGGCCTCACAAAGTGCTGGGATTAAGGCGTGAGCCACCGTGCCCGGCCAAACTTTATTGTTTCGATATTGTCTGGTTTTAAGTAAGGGATCCACCCCCATCTTATTGTCTGTGGCTGAAGTCGGGAGGCCTGTGGAGAGGAACAGCACCATGCTTTCCTCCCTGCCTGAAGCAGGGCTCAGGGCTCTGGGTACAGTGTCTGGGGAGTGGCCTGATCCATTTAGGGCACCATATTCTCCCCTCCCCTCCCCTCTCCTCCCCTCCCCTCCCCTGCCCTCCCCTCCATTCCCCTCCCTTCCCCGTGCCCACAGCATTGATTGGCTTGCCCACAGCATTGAATAGAAGTAGGGATCAGCATTATAGCTTTACCAGAAAATATTAAGGTTTTCTCCTTATCAATGGAGATCTCTTCACATTTTTATAAGGAACTATTTTTTATCCTTTGCTTTTTGTCCCCAGCTTCTGCTTGTACTCTCTTACCTGTTGTTGAGATGCTATGCTATACCATCTGGACTTGAAGGACTTATTTGAGTTAGTAAGTCCTTTCCTACCTTTGAAAGAAAGGGGGAAAACCAGTTCTCATAGGCATTCTCATTCCAGCCTGAGGGCTTACGTGGGCCTTTAATAAGTAATAGAAAGTGGAGAGTTATGAATTATTTTTGATTAAGGGAATAAACTATTAATGATGAGTGTTTCTTTGTTAAGATTCAGGGCTCTTTTAAAGTGATGTATCATTAAAATTGAAAGCCAACAATACAGGGAAAAAAGGAATTTTTCAGCTTTTAACTTTTTTATAATTACCATGGAAAAAAATATACGTGCTATTTGGCACATTAGAAAAACTAAGTAAATTTTGAGATGGTGAAGTTGTAAACAGATTATCCTCATGAATTTTAAAATGATGCAGAAGGACTGAATGGCTGAGTGTTGAATAGGATGGTTGGAAATGGAGGCAGAAGGCTTGTGACTTGTCCTAAGCGAGGGTGGGCCTGAGGACGCTTTTAGGATTGGAGTCCCACGTCCAAAACTCACAGCATAGCATGTTGTGAGTGTCTAATGGATCCTTTCTTTTTTGTTTGATATGAGTATATGATGAGGCTTTTATGACCAGTATAAAATAGCTTTTATGACTATATTTTGTATAAAATATAATTTTAATATGTGGGGAGACTTACAGAGTTAAACTTTATAGGAAGATGAGAGAAAAATACTAAATTTTCTTTATGTTAAAGGGCCCCAAGTGAGAATATTTAGTAGTGGTATTTCATTTTGCTTAATATTGGCAGTATATCAGTAATGTTACGCTTATGGTAAGCCAAGAGTCATAGTGTTCCTTTCTTGAAGATGTGTTGTCATGTGCTACAGGATGAATCTATTTCCTCCTGCATACTTCAGAGTCCTTCTTTTCAGGTCAGTGGAATATTTTTCCTGGAATTTTGATGTTAAGCAACATTGTCATAATTTAGGTAAAATTAATTATTGACACAAAGCAGTGTTTTCTGATTGACTTTTAGGGTGTTGAGGGAGGTGGCAAAAGAATTGCTTTTTTGATTAAAAATTTGGATCATTAAGTTCCTTTTTTGTCTCTGAAACCTTGTTTTTGATTTCCAAAGCTTCTAAAGATACTAAAAAATATGAATGTGTATATTCTTTAATTTAAAATTTTTATTATATATTTATTATTGTAGTAAAATATACATGACATAAAATTGACCATTTTAACCATTTTTGCCATTTTTATCATTTTGCCATTTTAACCATACTCGGACATTGTTATATATTCATATTGTTATGCAGCCATCACCATCATCCATTTCCTGAACTTATTCATCCTCCCCTACTAAAACTCTGTACCTATTCAATGCTAACTCCCCCATCTCCCCTTCCCCTAGTCCCTGCCAACCACTGTTCTACTTTTGATCTCTGTGAATTTGCCTACTCTAGGAACCTTATCTAAAAAGATTCATACTATAGCTATTCTTTTATGACTGGCTTATTTCATTTAGCATAATGTCTTCAAAGTTCATCTGTGTTGCAGCATGTGCAAAAATTTCCTTCCTTATTAGGCTGAATAATATTCCATGATATGTGTATATATCTTTTTTTTAATCCATTAATTTGTCGGTGGACACTTGGGTTGCTTTCCCTTTTTGGCTATGTGAATAATGCTGCTATGAACATGAGTGTTCCGTGGAGGTATACCTTATGTTAACATTCACCTGAGTAGAAATGTTGTATCATATGTAGCTTGGGCTACATTTTCAGTTTCCCATGTCCAACTAAAATGTCTATTAAGAAATATCTTTCCTGATAATGTTTCTGTTGTATATTCATATTCATTGATTCTTTCAGTGGGTCAAATGCAGCACAGGTCCACTATTAGGCCCACTATTAGGCGGTGGCTCACGCCTGTAATCCCAGCACTTTGTGAGGCCCAGGTGGGTGGATCACCTGAGGTCAGGAGTTGAAGACAAGCCTGGCCAACATGGTGAAACTCCATCTCTACTAAAAATACAAAAATTAGCCAGGTATGATGGTGTACACCTGTAATTCCAGCTACTTGGGAGGCTGAGTCAGGAGAATCAGTTGAACCTGGGAGGCGGAGGTTGCAGATGGTGGGTTTGTAGGAAGCTTGGGGATATGAGACAGTTGCTGCCTTTAAGGAACCTACAGTCTCATTTGTTGGAGACTGATGAGAAATGGGCAATTACAGTGAGATGTGTTTGGTGTTGTGAGAGCACCCCAGCCCTCTGGGGATACTGTAAGTCCTCACTAAAGACATTCCAATTTGTTCTCTGCTTCCATACCCATTCCAGCACTGAATGTAGGAAGAGGATAAGAAGTTAATTATACAGCCTTGGAGGACAGAAATGGTTTCACCATAAAGCAAACCAGTTTTCTATAGGCTAATTGATGTAAACAAGAGTTTTAAGTTCAGCATACTTCAGGTTACAGAAACATCATCAAACTTCCAAAGACCAAAAACACCGCTAATATTAAACAGTGAATTAAATGTAAGCTCTACTTACATTTCAAAAAGATTAATAAAAACAAGTAAGATAATGATTTACCCAGTTTCTGGTGATAAGTGAGTGATGGCGGTCGTAGTCGTTGTAGTTTAAGTCACAGAATAAATGTTTGCAAAGTGAAAATGGTAGGGAGCACCTCCTTTCACCACAAAGTTCAGAAACAAACACAAACACTGAGTACTTTTGGACCACGTTGTTTAGTGTGTTTTTATGATTATTGTAGACTTGATGAATGTTTATTTGACAATCATTTACATTCATTCATTTTATTCCAGTTCCGTGTCACAGGTGGCAGATGCCCATCCCAGTAGCTCAGGGAGCAAGGCAGGAACCTGTTTGCCAGGAACCAGGATGCCATTCCCTTGCAGGGTGCCATCTCTCTCACACACACACACACACACACACACACACACACAGAGTCCTTTTCTGTTGGACTTGCCTGTACAATGGCTATTAATGGTGTCTGGATAACACACACACACACAGAGTCCTTTTCTGCTGGACTTGCCTGTACAATGGCTATTAATGGTGTCTGGATAACCTGAAATGAAGCACATGTACAAATAGACACCTGATGTTTATCAAGCACATTCTGTGGGCCAGGTTTGGTGCTGTGCACTTGAGGAGGATTATCATGTTGAGTATTCATGGCAGCCCTAGGAGGAAGGCATTATTATAGCCATTGCTAAGCTCATTTTATTTTCTTTACTTATTTATGTAGAGATGGGGTCTTGTTGTGTCATCCAGGCTGGAGTGCAGTGGCAAGATCGTATAACAGCTCACTGCATCCTTGAACTTCTGGGCACAATGAATCCTCTGTTCTCAGCCTCCAGATTAGCTGGGACTACAGGTGCATGCCACTATGCCTGGCCAATTTTTTTTTTTTAAATTTTGTAGAGACAAGGTCTTGCTTTGTTGCCCAGGTTGGTCTCCAACTTGTGGCCTCAAGTGATCCTCCCACCTCAGCCTCCTAAAGTGCTGAGATTACGGGTGTGAGCCACCATGCCTAGCTACTAAGCCCATTTTAAAGAGTAACAAACTGCGGCTCAGAGATCTTAAACAACTTCCTTGTTGTCACAGCTGTTGCCCTGCACATCTCCTCAGGATGCCACTCACGTGGGTCCACTGAATTATGCCTGATAATGGGTGGAATTGTGTCCCCCACAAAATTCCTATGTTGAAATCTAACCTTCAGTATCTCAGAATGTGACCTAATGTAATTTGATTTTCTCTGTAAAGACTCTATCTTTAAAGGAGATAGAAGGTAAGAGATAGATAGAGGAAATCAAGTTAAAATGAGGTCGTTAGGGAGGGCCCTAATTCAATATGATTGGTGTCTTTATAAAAAGAGAAAATTTATACTCGGGCACACACGCCCAGGGAGAAAGCCATGTGAAGATGAAAGTAGTGATGCTTTTGCAAGCCAAGAACACCAAAGATTGCCTGTGAACCACTGGAAGCTAGGAGAGAGGCATGGACCAGATTCTCCCTCACAGCCCTCAGAAGAAACCAACCCTTCTGATACCTTGATCTCAGACTTTAAGCCTCCTAAACTGCAAGAGAATACCTTTCTGTAGTTTCAGCCACCCAGTATGTGGTACTTTGTATGCCAGTCCTAGGATACCCAGTATGTGGTACTTTGTACGCCAGTCCTAGGATACTAATACACACATCAATGAACTTTTTGTGGTCTGTACATTTGTGAAGAATGAGAGTGACAAAGTCATCCTAGTATTATTATGAAAATAGTTTTGACCTCACAGACCTCCAGAACCACCCTGCATTGAGACAACGTGGGTGTGGTTGATTTTTTTGATCAAACACATCTGAAATTGTAGGTTGGTGCAAAAGTAATTGCGGTTTTTGAAATTTGTAACTTTGCACCAACCTAATATGTGACCAGATGAGCCTTTGTTTTTTCACCTTGGCACTTCTGGAGTCTCTGAACTTTTGCTGGAGATGCATGCTTTTCTGGCTGCTTGGAGAGCTAGCCCATGGACCACTGCCATGAGTTCTTTTGCTTTATGCTTCCAGCACTTGTTTTCCAACTAAAACATTGTTTCCTACACCTTATTTGCTGGTGTTGGATTTGAGAAGCTCTGACCATTTCTATGAGTGAAATCAACTTAAAGACAGACGAGTTGCAATTGAGAAGAATATCCCAAGGAAAGGGGCACAGGTTTATTGTCATTTCCCAAATAGGAGCTCTAGAAATATTTTAAACAATAGCAAGAGATTGGAATAAATGCAGAGCCTTGTTCAGATGTATCAATTTTGGTATTTTTTTATTTTGATTTTAAGTAAATCCAGCAAACCTCATTATTATTTTTAATCTCACTTAGTTTTTAACCATTCTCTTTATCCAGACAGCTCACCCAAGGTTAAACAAAAACACTAACATTTTACTACCTATGTTCCAGGCCTTTTGAAAAACAGTTTTGTAACTTAATTCAGCTGATCTTTGGTAATCAGAAGCTAACACCAAGCACTGTTTTTCTTCAGCAGTCTAAAGTTGAAATTTAAGAACAATCAGCATGCAATCAAAAGCTGATTGTAAATGAACAATAATGAACATAAAAGTGAAATCACTTCTGAGGGTTCTAATGAAAGAAAAAAAGGAGTAATAGCAGTAGTTGAAAAAGGAGCATGATAAAAAGTGGGTGCGGTTATGCCAATAGGCAAATAGTGGTGAAAATTAGCCAGCAATAATATTCCATGGAATGCTCAACGAGTTTTGGGGAGAATGGGGAAAACAAATGTTATAAGAGAGTAAAAAATCTATATAAATGTGTAGATTTACTGCTGTAGATGAAGTCATCTAGGAAGAATCGTAGTGGATTTTTAGGAGTGAATCACATCTCTGTTCTAGATGCAGGCAGATGGTATGCAGAGAAAAGGTTCAGTTGTGCCTGTTTCTGGCCCACTGATCAACAGCATGGCTTTAGGGAAGAGACTCAGTTTCCTTACTAAACTCTGTTTAACATTCATTGTACATCTATCATGTATCAGGGATTATGCTGTGTGCCAGATACATGCTTAACTTTGCAAAATGGCTGTTGAAACAGTGCTGCCCAGAGCACGGGACACATCCATTGGCAGTACACGAGATGAGTTTAGGTAACGCAGGGATGCAGCATCCAATACCAGTGAGTCACATAGTGCTGAATTCATTGTTACTGTCTTTGGAACCTTAGGATTTTGTCACGGAGAAATTTTCAGTTTTGTGCTTGTGTGCTTTTAAGATCTTCAGCTTAGGACTTCATACCTCAAATAATCAGAATTGAATCCCTTTTATTTTTTAATTATGCTATCTCCTTCTACTTAAACAAACAGTATAGGTAGTGCTCTAAAGTTTTCTCTATCTTTAAGTTAAAATAAACATCATAAATAAACTGATACTGGTATTAGTGTTCTCTAGATGTAGCAAGAATTGTGTATGAGTGATTCTTGTTTGGGGAACCTTGGACCATAGTAACCCCAAGACTTTTCTTATTGTTCCCTGGTCACACATCCTGAGAAAAGGATTCATGTGAAAGTGGCTTTTCGGGGAGGCATTCTCAGGAAAAACTCAAAGGGGTTTAGAGAAGTTGAAGGGAAGGAGGCTGAGAAGGGTGTGTTATTAAACTGAATCCCAAAGAGGGTGACTTTGCTTAATTCCACAGGACAGCTATGGAAACTGTGTAGGTTACACCTCAGAGTTGTAGTTAGGGGCAAGAGAGTTGAAGTATTTATATACCCTCTTCAAGGTTCTTTAAGGGCATGTTGTCTTCAGCATCTTAAGACAAAGACCTGCCGGGGCTGCTCTTGGGAGTAAGAGTGCACAGTGAGTCTGTATAAAAATGGTGGCGCGATCTGAGGCCATGCGGATGGAGCACTGAGAGCATCTGCTGCAAGGCTCTTCCATGGCTAATGTGACATGTAAGCCACTTACTAGCTTTGTGCCTCGGACAACTGGTTTAACACTTCGGTGCCTCATCTAGGGTAATACCTCTTCAGGGCTTTTTGTGATGTTTAAGTATCAATATCATTGACTTCACATTTTTCTTCTAAATCTATTCACTATTAAAAATATTTAAATCCACATTTGAGCCCCTCCATAAGTAATAGTGTCCATGAAAGTATGGGCTTGGTAAATTACTGATACATATACATTTTTTTCGAATGTACATTACAATAAATTACACAGAAGAAAGCCTTGACAGAGCTTTCTTTAAAAACATGCCAGGAACTATTATCCGTTAACTGAAGCCAGCTCTTCTTTTCTCTGGACACATGGCTGTACTGGATCTCCCAGCTTGCCTTGCAGCTGGACAAGGCCACGGAATAGCTCTAGATAGTTAATCTAGATAATTTTTTTTTCTTATTTTCTTAAACTTCTATGAGGGAGGAAGTTCTTCCTATAACCTTCCCATTAGACTTCCTCTAGGTTATCACTGCTGGGGATTAGGTCATATGCTCATTGCTGAGCCAGTTATTGGCAAAAATTGGAAATCTCCATTATTGGCTAAGCTGCTGAATAGTTTAGAAAAAGATACTGGCGAGTCACTTACAACATCCGCTACAATTGGGTTACTGCTTAGTGACCAAGATAGGATTTGAACACCCACCTGTCAGACTCCCAAGTCTACGTGATTTCTTCTGTGCCTTACAGCCTTTCTAAATCTGTCTGCTTGCTATAAAGGCTTTCCATTGAATTGATTTATTTCTGGAATTAGACTTTGATGACCAGTAATTCCAAATTATGTTCGATTGTCCACTTGCTGGCTTTCTTTATCCACCAAACTTGCCTGTCTCTCAGCTGTAGGGCATCTCCTGATCCATGGAGCTCCTAGGTAAGGCAAAAGAACTGTGTTTGCATTCAGCTGTGTGCTGCCCTATAGCAGTATGAACAGCTTCACACTGTCAACTAGGAGGTGAAATGCCAAGTGTAGCTACAATCTGGAAATGTGTTGATGTATATCAGCTTGGAAACAATGCAGGGGGCAGGTTTTGGGCCTTTGCAGTGGAGAGACCAGTCCAGAGAGGGCCACTAAGTGCTAGGCATTCCAATGGCATTTTCTCTTTGACACTCAGCAGCAATCTGTAACATAGGTACTATCATTATCATTATCTATCATTTATCTTCATTTTACACAAGAGGAAACTGAAGCTTAGAGAGGTTGAGAAGTTTGTCTAAACTCATCCAACTTGTAAATAATAGAGTCTGAATTTGAATTCACAGCTGTGAGACTTAGAAGCTTACACTCTTCTTTAAAGCTTTTTAAAATTGTGCAATGTAGCATAAAATACTGAAAAAATACTTATCATATATGTAGTTTAACATGTAATTATAAAGTAAACAGCACTTCCTAGGACCTAAGTAGAAATTTACTAGTACTTAAGAAAATCTCCCTCTGTTCACTCTTTTTTTGTAACTTCATGTCTAATTTTAATGGTTGTCATTTAGTTGGGAAACTTGCCCTCTGTAATTATCCTGTTTAACTGTCCTCTTATAGCAAGTCATAATGTGGTATAGGAGAAAGCTACATGGATCAAAAGTTACTGGCATGGATGCTCCCTTTCTGAACTGGATTTACCTTGGGCAAGTCATCTCTCTCCAAAAAAGAAAGGCAGAGTACCAGATAACTTACGGAAACGTCAACCACCATTATCCTGATAAAGAACTGGTTCCCTGGAGCATGAAGATCAGGTTGGAGGGCAGCCTTTGCTTGCTTTTTTCTTTGTTAATTTAGTAGTGTATTTATATAAACCCTTAACAATTTCAGTGACAGACTTCACTCATTTTGAATAGCAAGTATTTTGTTGAATTATGTAAGTCAGTAAATTGCCCTCACACTTTATTGATTAAAATGTCCTAGCTTTTGAAGGACTCACAAGTACAATTTTCCTGAGACAGACTGTACTTTCGTTTTTTAAAATCCACCGTTGAGGACTGTGCATGATAAAGTGGAAGCAAGTGGTTATTAATTTTTTATTGAAATCTTCTGAATAAGTGTTTTCTCCTGGTTGGTTTCAAAAGGAGTCATATTCCTGAATCTAATTAGAGGCAGTTCATATACTGTGGGCTTATTAAGATTCAAGGCACTTTTTTATTTTAGCCTGTCTGATATCCCTTTTTAATTTCACTTAAATTTGAATTACTCTAAACATCATCTGGGCATATTGAAGAAACTCAGTAATCTTAATAATGATGATGTTGACAAATCTGTCCTTATTCTTCTCAAGTCCTATAACCTTATACTTGATTCTGGCTTGTGAATACCTGAGACTGAGCTGCCCCTCTCTCTTCCTGTCGTAGACATCAATAATCACTCATGATGCTGTTCTGAGTGATTATTGATGTCTACCATGACAAAGCCTTGAGGTCTTACTTTCTACAGCTCCCTGGGCAGCCATTTCCAGCTGGTCAGAGTTAAGAGGCTCTGCCATCCCTGGTCTGGATGTTGTCTGTTTTGGGTCTGAACGTTTATATCCTCCACCAGGATCTCTGAGTAAGTTACATTATCAGCTGATTCTAAAAAAAAAAAAAAGATACTGCCAGCCAGGCATGGTGGCTCACACCTGTAATCTCAGAACTTTGGGAGGCCGAGGTGGGCAGATCACGAGGTCAGGAGATTAAGACCATCTTGGCTAACACGGTGAAACCCCGTCTCTACTAAAAATAGAAAAAAAATTAGCCAGGTGGCTGGGTGCAGTGGCTCACGCCTGTAATCCCAGCACTTTGGGAGGCCGAGGCAGGTGGATCACGAGGTCAGGAGATCGAGACCATCCTGGCTAACACGGTGAAACCCCGTCTCTACTAAAAACACAAAAAATTAGCCGGGTGCAGTGGCGGGCGCCTGTAGTCCCAGCTACTCGGGAGGCTGAGGCAGGAGAATGGAATGAACCCGGGAGGCAGAGCTTGCAGTGAGCCGAGATCCTGCCACTGCACTCCAGTCTGGGTGACAGAGCAAGACTCTGTCTCAAAAAAAAAAAAAAAAAGGATTCTGCCTTGGTGTCCATTTTCCTACCTCTTTGAATGAGAATCTTCTCCTTTTCTAGACCCTTTCTATTACCATACTTTGTGTGTGTTTTCATAGCTCTCAGGCTGTCTGCATAGTTTGTTCATCCCAAACAAGCTCCTGGACTTATTCTTTGGCCAGTCTTTACCCATTTCTTTGGAGTTTCTGCTTGGAAGTGACTTCCTCTCCTAAGGTGAAGACTCTTTGTCATTTAATAGGATGAACTTTCAAAGTATTGTCCCTGTTCATGAGTTAGTGTTCCCTGGCTATGTGGAATAGAAAAGAACATCTCCGCTTGAGCTTGAATCCCTCTGGAATATGTGTCATTGACAGATCCTATTTCCTGTGTGACCATGTAAGCTCTTAACAGACTGGGCTTTGCATAGCTAGTAACTATCTGCTTTGGAGAAAATATAAAACAAGTACTTGAAGGTTTTGGAAAGTGCCAAAGGCTGGGAGACCCTGGAGGGGAGTCGAAACTGGAAGGAGGGGAGTTGAAATGGGAAACAAAAGGCCTGCTTTGAGTTTCCAGTTTTTACTTCCAGCTTTTACTTCCAGCTTTTTGGTCTTGATGACAGGGTGCAATGGTGGCTAAACTCCGGTAGAAAACCTGTAGTCTTTTTGCACTGGAGAACTGAAGGACAGAGTTCAGGATCCCTAAGCAGCGGGAAACTGGGGGTGGGAGGGTGTCTCAGAAAGGAGAGAGTCAGAGAGGAGGAGTCCTGGATTCTGTGTATAAACTGACCAAATCAGAAGGTATTTCATGAACAACACATGCATAAGGCTGACTGTAAGTGGCCCAGCTAAAGTAAAAAAGAACTAAAGTAAGACTTGAGCTGCTGCCCAAGAGACAGAGTTTGCAGTTTGAGTCTGAATATGTGTCACCCATGAATCACTCTTCACTGGGATCTCAGCTTTTTTCACTTATGTCTGATACACACAATGTAAATATTCTCTTTTCCCACTGTTCAGTTGCCTGTCTCAGTTTCATATGCTTAGTTCACAGTTGTTGGGCTTTGAAAGGCAGGCAAGAGGTCTGAAAAACTGATAACCAGTGCAAAGCCTCAGCCAAGGCAGGAATTTGATATGAATTTTTAAGGGTGATGGTTCTGCCACAGTTCCTACCTCTTTTGCACAATTACTGGTGTGTCATGAAGATTTTCGTCATGTATTTGAATGTCCTAGGTCACTTCATGTTGTTTTGCTGGCTCTTCATGATGATGTTGGAAGCAGTGTTGAATATCGCAAAAATCATAGTATAATAGATGAGAATAGCTGATATTTTCTGAGCTCTCCTTACGTGACAGATGCCCTAAGCACTTTACTCATCCTATTCTCCTAGCAATCCTGTTTATTATTCTTGTTTTACAGTTGAGGATTAAAGGCACAGAGTGGTTGAATGCACAGCTATTAAGTAGTAAAGCCAGGAACTAATAGGAAAAGGAAGATTGGTTAGTATGACATATACACACGTGCACATTCTCAAACATGTGGTTAGAATTGGAAGACAGGTATTGTCTGCACTGAGTTTCAGCAGATTCCTGAGGAAGATAAATATGAAAAATACCATTTTCATGATACTGTGCCCTGTCAAGTTTACTGGCATGAACTTGGCAGGGAAAAGACTAAGAAATACTAATGAGAGCCCAAAGATTGAATGAACCTTTAGTTAAAGAGATAAATAGTGACTGAGTAGTTTGCTTATCCAGATGAGTTAGATTCTGTAGGCAATGGTTTACTGACTCTTGTAGCTAGAATACTGCTGAAATTTTCATTCATATTGAGGAGCAAATTATTAAGTATAGTTAATTAGAATGAAATGATGAAAATAAACTTTATAAGATAACTAATAGTTGACTTTGTTTGCACCAGAATTCTTGAAATCTGCTCCAAAAGAAGCATATACTCTTAAAAAAATTTTTTTTAAATTTTAATATAATTTTACAAATTGAGAGTGGGTCTTGCTCAAGCAATCCTCCTGCCTCGGCCTCCCAAAGTGCTGGGATTATAGGTGTGAGCCACTGTGCCCAGCTGAAGAGTCCTACAGACTCTTGATAGTAACCTTGGTGATGGTAGTGGTCCTGGTGAAGAGTTAGCAAAGGAAAGAGAATTCCCTGCCTGTTGTGGCACCAAAGAGCTTTTTACAAGACACTGAGCACTGCAATATACTGGCTATGAAGAAGCTAGACGATGCAGGATCATGTGGATACGAAAGGAAGTTGTAGCATTAGGCTTAGATAATATATGGAGGGTGTCTACAGTGGGGACATGATGTTTCAGCTCTGTTCTGTATTCAACCACATCTGAAAATTTTAGTTTTCTGAACACCATGGTTATAAAATGAATACTTTATTCCAGGAATGGAGTAGTCTTATACTGGATTAACAGATAACAGATAAAACAGTGATAACTTGTGGACAAAATATATAAAATATAAGAAATATTTTAAAAATATTAAAATATTTTAAAGTCTTGGAGTGTAACTAAAAGTAGGCAGAAAGCGGAGAGGATTCCATCCTTGAAGGAAAGGAACCACACTGAGCGAGACCCACATTGACATGGCTTTTCCTCTGAGGGCCCTTCATAGCCCACAGCGTGCATTAAATAACTGTCCATTAAAATGTTTCTGCCTAACAAAGTTTTGTTTTATTATTGCCAGGTAAACTTATTGAACATAGACATTGACAGGAAGCATTGTTCTTTAACTGGCATTTACTACAACTAGGTATTTTCCTGGCATTTCATTATGGAATTTTTATTTAATTTCATCCAAACCTGGGGAGCAAATCACTGTAATTATGCCTGTTACATTATTTTATAGGCTATAGAACATGAAGAAATCAAATACAGAATGAAGGAGTCAGGGTATAATAACTCTGACTTTTGGTTTAGAACTTGGTGTTTGAAAACATGCAGACCTTGGTTTGCTTTTTCTGTATTTGAAAGGTTTGACCTCTGTGTAAATGACTTTACTACAGAAACTGATTGCAGTGTACTACATTGTTTATGAATATTGATATAATAAATATTTAATGGATACATTTTGCTAGTAAGTACTTCATCTAGCATAAAATTAGAGAAATTTTACTTGAGACAGTCTGCAAAACAGCCCAAAAAAATAATCATGTCCTTTTGAATAACCTTAAAAACATTTTACTTTTCGTTATTAATTTGTTCTTGATTTTGTTTTCTGGCTTAAGCACATTAATTAAAAAATGCACTACCTGTACCTTCATCCTCCTACACTTGTGGATTCTAGCGATGAGAATGGTGAAAAGCACCGTTGGACAAGCTCAGATTTATATCTCAATATGAAGGATTATAAAATATCTTTGTACATGTTAGCTAAATCTGTGAAAGATCAAATGAGTTCTTTGCTTGACAGTGTAGATGATTATGGTGATGTGATAGTTATAATGAAAGCATTTGTTGAGTGTGTACTTTGTGTTAGGTACTGTAATGTATCCTCAAAAGCAGGATCTCATTGATTACACATGATAACCTGGCAGCAAAGTGATTAAGGTCATAGACTCTAGAAGTTAGGTTTGTATCCTTGTGACCTTGGAAACATGTGTTAATCTTTCTGTGCCTCCGTTTTCCATCTGCAATTGGAGATCACCCTTTACCTACCTTATGATTTCAAAAGCAATACGCTGAAACAGTGCCCCATTCCCTGGTCAGCTTGTATTATTAATAAGTGGTTGTGGTCATTATCATAGTGGGGCCAGGGCTCAAACAAGTCCGTGATCCAGTGTCCATGATCTTAACCACATCACTGTATGCTTGAGCATCACTGGTGCTCAAGCATGCCACCTGACACATAGTAGATGCTCATTAAAAAATGAGCTTTGGGCCAGGCACTGTGGCTCACATCTTTAATCTCAGTACTTTGGGAGGGCAAGGCGGGCAGATCACTCGAGGTCACCCATTCAAGACCAGTCTGGCCAACATGATGAAACCCCGCTTCTACTAAAAATACAAAAATTAGCTGGGTGTGGTGGTGCGTGCCTGTAGTCCCAGCTACTTGGGAGACTGAGACACGAGAATTGCTTGAACCCAAGAAGGGGAGGCTACAGTGAGCAGAGATCGCACCAGTGCACTCCAGTCTAGGCGACAGAGTGAAACTGTGTCTAAAAAAAAATGAACTCTGGATTTTCCCTGTAGAATTTGTGCTTGAACTGGCTTATTTGTCTATTTATTTGTACATAATATATGGCTCAATGCAGAGAGAAACTTTTTAGCTTTGAAGTCTTAGAGATAAATGATGATGGGCATATGGGCTGAAATCTGTATTATTCTGGAAACACGATTACTGAACTGTTAGCCCTGGGAAGTGCCTGACCTTGTCTAATAATTTGTTGTCACAGGAACCATTATTATTTGTCTGCTATGAAGGCAAGTCAGTGGCCCCAGTTTTAGATCGAGGGTCATTGTGTCCTTGGGCTTTGTATCTAATTAATTAATTATCATTCAACAAATACTAAAGAAGCACCAGGTCTGTCCCAGGCATGGGAAATGCATTGGTGAATGCATGAGACATGGTTTGTGCCTTTGAGACCATCATAGTCTCATGGGACGTGGCAGACACTGACAAATCACCCACATGTATAATTACACATTGAGAGGTGTTATGAGGTAAAATGAGAGGTCAGTAAACTTTTTCTGTAGATGACCACGTAGTAAATACTTTATTTTTTTATTTTTTTTGAAACGGAGTCTCACTCTGTTGCCTAGGCTGGAGTGTAGTGGTGTGATCTCAGCTCACTGCAGCCTCTGCCTCCCAGGTTCAAACGATTCCTATGCCTCAGCCTCCCGAGTAGCTGGGATTACAGGCGTATCCACCACGCCCGGCTACTTTTTGTATTTTTGGTAGAGACGGGGTTTCACCATGTTGGCAAGGCTGGTCTCAAACTCCTGGCCTCAAGGAATCCACCCACCTCGGCCTCCTAAAGTGCTGAGAGTACAGGTATGAGCCCTCACACCCGGCCATAGTAAATACTTTATACTCCTGGGCCTTACATTCCCTGCTGCAACCATTCACCTCTATCACTGCAGGTAACAAGAGGGTCATCTTTTCCTGTGGTCTAGGCCAGTGAGGACGACTAGCAGGGAGATTCTGATGAGAGTCAGAGAGCCTTATCATTTGCTTAGTAAAGCAAATGTCTTCACATACCTGCACTGGGAGGCTGCTGAATGCTGTCAAGTAGCTAGTGAGGATCTCCTGTGGGACTCTCAGTGCTGTTGTAAGAGAGCATCAGCCTGCAATTTCCTCATCTGGACTCTCAAGAAGTTTATCTGCATCTTCTTATAGGACATTGGTCTTCTTCATAGGACATTGGTCTGCAAACTTTTTCTTAAAGGATCGGGGAGTAGATACTTTAGGTTTTGCATGAGACTACTCAAAAGCAAAAGCAGCAATAGACAGTACATAAAGGGGCAGGCATGGCTGCATTACAGTAAAACTTGCTGATGCAGGGCTTTGTATCGTATGTTAGTTCAGGACAGTTGATTAAAGTTTAGTATTCTAGGCAAGTAGGTTCACCTTGTATTTCAACTCCTGTTGATGGTATCCATGTGGAACACTGTGTAATGAGGATTGTGAGGCTGAGGTCATTCTTTTGGGAAAAGGAGACGATTGACTAGTGATGTCGGTCATAGGTTCAGCTTGTGGGAGCACTGGTTGGTACAAGTGCTGGGCATCTTTAATCCTTGCGACTAGGAGTGCCTTGCGAGCAAGGATTTTGCCATCTATCTTTATACATAAGGTGCTTGGCACAATTGTTAGTTTTAAAAGGGTTTATCAAATGAATGGACATTTATCTTGATGCCTTCCCACAAAACCATATTTAAATCATTTATCCTACACATAAGTACTTACTAAATGCTTATAGCGTTAATGGCAACATCTTTTTATTCCAGTTGTTTTCGAAAGAAAGGAAATTCATTGCATTCTATGTTTAATGTCCTTGACCATCAGTATTTAATCTTCTATATAATAGAACCACCAAAGTCTACAGTTTAAATGATTTTCTTTCCTTGTGTCCTTGTTTGTGCTTAAGGCCTTTACATTTCTTATAGGTAATATTAAACAACATAATGCAATTAGAATTTGTTTAACATTTATTTTGAAATATGTAAGATAGGTAATTAAGGAGTTTTTTTTTTCACATTTGCTTTATAAAGTAGGTTTCATTCCTTTATCGTAAATAGAGTGTACAGTACCTTGTATCCTCATAATACATTTCTCTGAAAAGTTTTTTTTTATTTTTAGAGACAGCATAAGAATCCTTTTATAAGCTCAATATGCATTTCCTGGCTGTACCACATAATTTATCTTTTGTGTTTTTAGGGTTGCAAGATGAGAAGGGGGCAGAGAGTAGGATTAGAGAATGCTGTAATGAAAGCTGATTTTCCTAGCATGTAATGTGTGGTATAATGAATATATATATATTTGGTCATGGTTCCTGGTTCCTGGCACATATCTAAAACCCTGAGTGGTAGGAGCTTCTTTTGTTACTTATAAAATGTTCTTTTGTTATTTTTAAGCTCCTTTCAGCCATACCTGGGTTTTTATGCTAATGAGGTGACTGCTGGTGGCCCTTTA
Organism: Homo sapiens; assembly: GCF_000001405.40. Classification (NCBI taxonomy): domain Eukaryota; kingdom Metazoa; phylum Chordata; class Mammalia; order Primates; family Hominidae; genus Homo; species Homo sapiens. Next base: position 67,629,729 of record NC_000003.12, on the reverse strand, counting down.
AATAGTTTTAAGGGAGGGGTTAGCCATGCCAAGAAGGGTGGATAGGACTTTTAGTTTTCAGTCCCCTACCCCAACACCTCTAAGTAGGGGAGAGAGGCTGGAGATTGAGTTCAGTCACGAATGGCCAATTTCTTAATCATGGCTAAGTAATGAAACCTTGATTAAACTCTGAAACACTGACATTAGGGGAGCTTCCAGGTTGGTGAACACATATGGGCGCCCCCCCCTCCCCCATATCATGTTCTATTGCATCTCTTCCATTTGGCCATTTCTGAGGTTTATCCTTTATAATAAACCAGTAATCATAAATATTCTCTAGAGTTCTGTGAGTTGTTCTAGTGACTTATTGAACCTGAGCAGTGGGAACCCCTGTGTGTGCAGGTGGCCTGCCACCCTGTTTGCAGCTGGCATCTGGAGTGGGAGCAGTCTGGGGGACTGAGCCCTTAACCTGTGGTGTTTGTGCTAACTCTGGGAGTTAGTGTGAGAATTGAATGGAATTTTTGGACAACCAGTTGGTGTTGGATAATTGGAGAATTCTGAGGAAATAACACATATTTGGTGTCAGAAAACACCACACATGACATCTGTCTTTGCCAGTGCTTAACTCAATATGGTGCTCAGCCTCTCTTCATATTCAGCAGAAAACGTTCTTACACCAAAGCGTACCGAACAGATTATGCTGCAGGTTTCAGAGAAGAAATGTGAAGGCATGCTGAATCCACAACATCTTTTCTCACGCATTCTCATCACATGTGTCTGTTCTTCCTTGTTCTCTTCCCCTGTCTGCCTTTTCCCGCTGCTCACTGATAACGTTCTCCTGTGTTAACATGGAGCAGTTCTTGCTATATATAATTCCCAACTTGCTGTATTAGTTCATTTTCACACTGCAAATAAAGAGATATCCGAGACTGGGTAATTTATAAAGGAAAGAGGTTTAGTGGACTCACAGTTCCACATGGCTGGGGAGGCCTCACAATCATGGTGGAAGGCAAAGGAGAAGCAAAGCACATTTTACAGGGTGGCAGGCAAGACAGCATGTGCAGGGAACTCTCCTTTATAAAACCATCAGATCTCATGAGACTTACTATCATGAAAACAGCATGGGAAAAACCCACCCCCATGATTCAGTTACCTCCCATTGGTAATTATGGAGGCTACAGTTCTAGGTGAGATTTGAGTGGGGACAGAGCCAAACCATATCAGTTCCATGTCCACTCACCAAAAAGTCCTGTGGTCAGCTAGACACCCTTCTCTTCGATGGAAGTTTGCTTTCTATCTGTGGTTACTTAAACATACCCTCTGGGTGTCTCATCCACTCATCCCAAATAGTGTATCAAAATATTCCTTACAATTGCATATAGGGGTAAATCTACCTTTGACCATCTTATACATTCATACTCGCCTTCATTCAATAAAAAACTAAATCGAATGCCTACAATGTCTCATGCAGTGTTCTGGGCACGGGGCACTCATCAGTGAACAAAACAAGTGATTGCCCTGTGGAGCTGCTCTAGCCATATACATATATAAAATTAGTACACATAAGAAAGTATGAAACAGGGAAGTATTTACTAAATTTCTATGTATTTATATATGTCTTCCTATTCCTGCTTTTATCATTTGGGGTCCAGTTAGAAAGATAGAGACTATGCCCATTATTTTAACAGATAAAATTTAACATAGAGAATTGAGTAAAGAAGTATTGGAGGACTAGAAGGGCAAAAAACTCCAAAAAAAACCACCACTAACTAAAACAGAGATTATAACTTGCAGGAGGCAGTGTCCCCCACCCCCAACCCAAGATAAAAGGAAGAGGTTGAAGCTCTCTAAGAACTTGGGAACTTGGAACATAGGTCCTGCAGAGCTGGGATCTAGAGTTTTCGGAAAGGCTGCTGCTTGGCTGGTTTCAGTGGCTCCAAGGCTGGTCAGGGAGTGCTGGTAGCACCTGTAAACTGGAACCAGCTAGTCTTGAAACCAGCTCCTTTTGCCAGGATGAGGAGCTGTGGGGCCAGGGGCTATGGTGACAAAACATTAGAAAGGAGCAGATATCATCTCTATCTGCCAGCCCTTTAGTCTCCCTATAGTGTGCCCCATATGGGCAGACCCTAATAGGAAGCCAGATGGCGAAAGAGAAAGTAATTTGCAGGATTATCAGCCCCGCAGAGCAATGAACACCTAGAAAGGAGATTTTGGAGCTGAGACAAAATAACTTCATAACTGGCACGTCACTGATAATGGCCCAAGTCTAGGTCCTCTTCATCTTTCTTTTGATTTACTACATTGAATCCCAAAGATGCTGTTCAGATCTAATGAGAAAATAATTGTGAAATATCCAAGTAAAAGTATTTTCACACAGATGTGCAACAGCTCCAATTTGCTTCTATATGGTGTATGGTTAGTTGTGTACTTTGTCCTGTTTTGCAGTCTATGGCATTTCCCAAAGGAGTAACTAATTCCATGGGATTTAAAGCAGATGCCAAGTAAAAATTGGTTGGGGGATAACTAAATATAGTTAAGTAGATTTTTTTTTTTAATGGTCAAGCTCCTCAGAACCTCAAATAAAGCATATATCGAGAACCTCTAAGTGAAGAAAATAAAACTGTATTTCCCAGATATTTGACCATGAAATCCCCCCATCTTCAATTTCAAGCTCACTGATTTGTCTTCTGGTTATAGTCTCTCTACTTTCAACCCATCTCTAGTCCTTTTTTAAAAACAAAAACATTTCAAACTTCTAGTTGAAAATTTTTTGATACATATACTGTCCTCTCACGTCTGTCTGATGTATTATGCTTTTTTTTTTTTTTTTTTTTTTTGAGACGGAGTCTCACTCTGTCGCCCAGGCTGGAGTGCAGTGGTGCGATCTCGGCTCACTGCAAGCTCCGCCTCCGGGGTTCACGCCATTCTTCTGCCTCAGCCTCCCATGTAGCTGGGACTACAGGTGCCCGCCACCACGCCCAGCTAATTTTTTGTATTTTTAGTAGAGATGGGGTTTCACCGTGTTAGCCAGGATGGCCTCGATGTCCTGACCTCGTGATTCACCCGCTTTGGCCTCCCAAAGTGCTGGGATTACAGGCGTGAGCAACTGCACCCGGCATGTACTTTTAAAAAGCAGTTTTGTGCTATGTCCTCCTTCAACTTTTTCTCCTTCAGCGTTAGTTCTTCTATTTGTTTCTCTTTCATGATGTTGGTCTGTGTTGTTTCATCATTCTTGCTCTTGTGCCCTAGACCATCCTGTCACCAGTGACTGCCAGTAACTGGTCTTTTCCTGTTAGTAGTCCCCTGAGGCACTATTTCATCTCTTGGGCCCGTGTACCCTACAATTGCTGTTTTTGTCCAGCATACCCCTTGCTGCTTGGTGCTGATCATTTTGATGGTTGCCCGAGCCCCCGCTCTGCTCCATGGGTGCCCAGCCTTCAGACAAAAGATAACCCTAGTGGCCGGGTGCAGTGGCTCACGCCTGTAATCCCAGCACTTTGAGAGGCTGAAGTGGGCAGATCACGAGGTCAGGAGATCAAGACCATCCTGGCTAACACGGTGAAACCCCGTCTCTAGTAAAAATACAAAAATTACTCCCAGCTACTCGGGAGGCTGAGGCAGGAGAATGGCGTGAACCCGGGAGGCGGAGCTTGCAGTGAGCTGAGATGGCGCCACTGCACTCCAGCCTGGGCGACAGAGCGAGACTCATCTCAAAAAAAAAAAAAATGTAAATATATATATATGTAGCTACTCCTACTTTGGGTACAACCCTGTCCTATGCTCTTTTGACTGTGGGATCCTACTTCAATCTAGTTCTTATCTGCTTACCATTCTCCTCTACCAGGGGCACTCCATTAATTTTTTTCCCCTAGTGCTGCTATGAATATAGCAGCTTGGTTTAGACAGCTTGGTCCAGTCTTACATTCATCCTTTCTGTGTCCCCACTGTGCTTAGCACTAGATCTTACCGTGTAGTGTAGGTGATACTTGGTGTTCAGCAGATTGCTTTTGGGAGGGGGCTTGTTCTCAAGGCCTCAGTTCATTTTCCCGGCCATCGGTATACTTCCTTGGGGTGTTTCTTCTGCCCTGAGAAGGTGAGTAGCTTTCATGTCTAGTGTTTTCAGAGGCAGCAGGAGCTTCAGAGATCAATTTTAATTTTGAGCTGACTGTCCTCCTTTAGAGGCAAAGGTCCTCAAGAGAAGAGAGTAATGGCCAATAAGGGAGAGTTGTTTAGATCTTTCTCCTGCATTGGGTAGCTAATTAGATGCTGGCTGGATCTACCTGGTGGAAGGTCATAGAACCAAATCCCCACTGTGGTGCATTTCTCACCTCCCTGGTGTTGCTTCTTGATCCTGGACGAGGTGGAAAAGAGATTTCACAGAAATCTTTCATTTTACTTTGCCAGCAAACTTGTAAGGTCATGGTGGTTGATATTTGCAGTTAGCATAAACAAACAGAGGTCACCTGTGAATAAATGGCAGGGTGAAGATGACCCACCGAGCCTTCGATGCCACTCACTTAAGCTTATTTCTCAATTATCAACTCCCAGAACTGTCATCTTGACATTACAGCATACTTTGATCCTTTCTGCCTCATTCTCTCTTCACTTCTAGTTTGGGCCAGTTGTTAGCTTGTAGCAATATCATCTAGCATTTCACTATGGGTTCCTAAAAGAAGAGTCATTAGTATAAAACTTTCTTGATGTTTCTTAGGTTCTTCGGCTCCTCTGATTTTAAGAGGGTATAGTATGTTTAGGATATTGTTTCCTTTGCTGCTTAGATACTGTGTCAGATTGTCTATTTGTAAGAGTCTTTTTGTGTGTACTTTTCTGAGGTCTTTGTCATCACAGTGGACTTTTCAAATGAATGACAGTATGTATTTCACACATTTCCTGGACAGTGTGACAGGCTCATTTGACTACCGTGCATTCTGCACTTGGGTATAAATTTTTTTTTCAGGGATTATTTTAAAGTTTCCTTTTCATGATATCTAGTTTTCTGAAAGCTCACCTTGAATTTAACTTCTATGGATTATTCTTATAGATAAAAGTAATATTTGGATGATTTACCCTCTCCCCCTCCCTGGCTAAAGAAATTCAAATTACTATAAGAGAAGAGATGACTAACATAGATGGAAAAATTTGGCATGTGTTTTTCTTTTTTATAACTAGGGCATTTTATGTGGAATATTGGGGAGGGCCATGGAATTTAATCATCAAAATTATTATTTCTCCTTAAATGGAGATTTTGACAATGAAATTGTGAAAGAAAGGGTGCTCTCTGCAATGTTATATTTTTCTTTAAAAGCATCTAAGATCAAGTTTTCCATAGCAGTAGTATTTTATTCATCAACAAGAATGAAATGTCTTTCTAAACACAAATAGTGGACTTCAGACCTCACAGACACCAATTATCATTCTGCACAGAGAACATTCAAAATGTCAGATGATCTCAGGAATTTCCCCAGCGAAGGTCGCTCATTTCCTACTCTACAAGTCATTTCTTTGGCAAGCCAGTGTGACAGGCAAACTTGTGAGATTGAGTTAGCTAGGTCACTCAAAACTGCCGCTATAAAGAAGTGATGAGAAGTCTCTTGCTATCAGGTAAATCCCATTAAACTCAAATGTATCCTAAACTATTAAGCACTATTAGATCCTTAGAAGGAGCAGGAGTGGGTTGATTGAATAAAGTCTGTCCCTTGCAAGCTTTCATCTGGATTTATTGGAAAGGACTGTGGGGAGTAATTTAAGGAGGGCTAACAAATTGCTAACTGCAGGGTGTGGAGATGGTAGCAGGGCCCTGTGAGACAGTCAAATCTGATGCATTGAGATGACATGTTTGACCCCTGGTAATGGTGATGGTGAATGTGCACGTAGGTTCTTTAGGGTTTACAAAGCACCTTCACGTACATTATCCCAGCCACCCTGGAAGCTGGTGTTTTGCTAATATCTCTGCTTTACCCGCTTAGTGTGCAAGCTCATTTGAGGTAGAGATCTTGAAAAACACTGCTGTTGTTCCTCTCACACTGGTGATGTGTTTGGGCCACATGGTTGAATAAAAATATCTAGTACTTTCCCTTCTCTGAGTATTGTAAAGGATCTGCTCTGATGGTGTAGTTGGGCGGGTTTTAATGAATAATGAATAGCCCCAGAACAAGATTTTTTCCCCTTTTTGAAAATTTAAAGAATGATCCCATGGCCTAGTATTGTACTCTTTTTAATGTTTTCTTTTCTTTCTTATTTTTTGTTTCTTAAGATGGAGTCTCACTCTGTCATCCAGGCTGGAGTGCAGTGGCTCGATCTCCACTCACTGCAAGCACCGCCTCTCGGGTTCGCGCCATTCTCCTGCCTCAGCCTCCTGAGTAGCTGGGACTACAGGCACCCGCCATCACGCCCAGCTAATTTTTTTGTATTTTTAGTAGAGATGGGGTTTCACTGTATTAGCCAGTATGGTCTCGATGTCCTGACCTCGTGATTCACCCGCTTTGGCCTCCCAAAGTGCTGGGATTACAGGCGTGAGCCACCACGCCCAGCCGCAATTTGTTTTCAAATGAACACTTTGCATGGAGATGATTCTTGGAACACAGACCCTCTTTTGCCACCACAGAGACTCACCTGAGTGGGTGGGGGGAATGACATATATATACACATACATACACATAGGTATATATATATATATTTAAATGAGATGGAGCAGTGACTTAATTTTCAGGAAACAACTTCTAGAGTTATTTGTGCCACAAGTGAGCAGAGACTCAATTTTTATGAACATGAACCTGACATAAGACCAAGCTACTTGGCACAAATATCCTCGCCTTCTTCCATGAGCTCACCTGTTCTGCAGAGATGTTGTCTTGGCAGGCTGCAAGGGCAGTGCCTAAGCACAGGGATGGGTGCTTAATGCTGGCCTGTTGAGGGAGTGTCCGTTACTCTTGTAACTTCAGGCCTCAGTTACTCATGTGTCACATGGACTTTTGGCCTGTCATAATCTCAGGTTTCCTTCAGATCTTATTAATCTTTTCAAAGTAGTTAGAAAATTATTAATTTTATTAAATGTAATTAGATTTTTTTTCTTTTTCTAGCTTGCCTTCTTTCATTTTATTAATAAACCCATCTTTGGGGAATTAAATGTAGTTATTAAATTAACTACATGAAATAGATAACTTTTATTCAGGATAAAACAGCGTATAGAGATTAATATCACAGTCATCTGTGGGTCCAATGTGAAGAAGTTCCAACTACTATTTTCTCAGATTTGCTCAGATCACTTTAAAATAAAAGACGTAAAGTATAAGTGATGAAATCGAAGTCTGTTGTTGTCTCATCGGAAAATCCATGATCCCTTCTGACCCTTTAACATAGTCAGTGTCCTAAACTTGGCATGTCACCTTCCAAATGGTTTTGATATATCTATGTATGTATCTTCCTAAGATTGTTTACTATTATTATTTTCTATTTAAGTGTGCATACTCTTATGTGTTCCTCTTGTTCTACCACTTGCTAGTTTTTCCCCTGTGTTTTGCTTTGTAAATATATTTGCATTGACATATTTCAAGAGCTGGTTCATTCATTGGAACCATTTTACAGTATTCCATTGGATAGGCCAATCTTATTAATCCTTAGCTTTAATGTCTTTGGTTTTTGTTATTTCTATGTAGCATCTCTGTAATCAAGGGAGGCCTTGTGTTCTCTCCTAGGAGAGAATCTCAGATGGGCCACTGTAGCAGATAGAGGTACTGTAGCCTGTTGCCCGCTGAGATTGATATTAAATAATGGAAGAAAGTTATAAGATCAAAGGCCCAGCAGCTCTGATGTGGTGGAATGATGTGCAGAAATGTCAATAATTAAATGTAATACATAGGCCATGTCTTAGTTCATTTTCTGTTGCTTATAAGAGACAGCCTGAAACTAGGTCATTTATAAAGAAAAGGAATTTATTTCTTATAGTTATGGAGCCTGAGGAGTCCAAGGTCAAAGGGCTGTATCTGGTGAGGGCCTTCTTGCTGATGAGACCTCTTCTGCATAGTCCCCAAGGGATGCATGGTGAAGGGGCTGAGAGTACTAGCTCTCATCTCTCTTCTTTTTCTTAGAAAGCCACCGATTTCACTCCCATGATAATCCATTAACCCATTAATCCATTCATCCTTGAATGGATTGGTCCATTCATGAGGGCAAAGCTCTCAGAACCCAATTACCTGTTATAGATCCCACCTCTCAATACTGCCACATTGGAGATTAAGTGCCATATGACTTTTGGAGGGAAGAAACATTCAAACTATAAGGCCAGTTTGGGCAAAAGATTTGAGGTTAAGATTGTTTTTAAAGAAGTGCCTTTTTTATGACTAGCAGGTACATCAGATTTACCACATGCATATCAACTAACATTGTAAAGTGTGTGTGTGTCTAATACTAGATTTCTTTTTTTTTTCCTTAAACCCACATCTAATCCACAAGTAAGCTTTACCTCATCACCAAACTTTATCCAGAATCCCCTCATTTCTTTCTGTCCCCACCTCTACTGCCCTTCTCTATAGTCTAGTTGAGAGATCAGCACACTGGCCTGCTAGCCAAATAAAGCTTTATTGGAACACAGCCATGCCTATTAATTTATTTATGATTGATGGCTAGTTTGCACTACAAAGGCAGAGTTGAGTAGTTGCAACAGAGTCCACCTGGCCTCAAAGCCTATAATATTTACTATCTGGCTCTTTATAGAAAAAGTTTGCTAACCTTAATCTGGTTTAATGCAGCTCTCTCCCAATTGGTTTTATTCTCCAAACAGAAAACAGTGGCTTTTCTAAAACGTGAATTTGATCTTCTCACTTCCCTGTTTAAAACTGAGTGAATGAAGTCTAAACTCTGTATTTGCCTTACCAGCACCTGCATTATCTGGTCCCTGCTGGCATTTTCATGCTCCTCTGTCACCATACTCCCTTGTTCGTGCACGTGCCAACCCCTTTCCTACCCCAGAGCCTTGGAACATGCTGGCCTCTCAGCCTGCTGTGCTTTGCCTCAGTTCCTTCACAGGTATACCTCTTTTCTGTCTCCAGATTTCTGCACAGATGTCATTTCTTTAAAGGTGACCACTCAGTCTAAAATTGGCCTGCACAGCTCATCATGTGTCTTTCTTTTCTTTTTCTTTTTTCTTTCTTTTTTTTTTTTTTTTTTTGAGATGGAGTCTCACTGTGTCACCCAGGCTGGAGTCCAATGGTGCATTCTCGTTTCACTGCAACCTCTGCCTCCTGCGTTCAAGCTGTTCTCCTGTCTCAGCCTCCTGAGTACCTGGGATTAAAGGTGCGTGCCACCACGCCCAGCTAATTTTTGTATTTTTAGTAGAGACAAGGTTTCACCATGTGGGCCATGCTGGTCTTGAACTCCTGACCTCAGGTGATCCATCTGCCTTGGCTTCCGAAAGTGCTGGGGTTAACGGGTGTGAGCCACTGCACCCGGCCTCATCATGTGTGTCTTTCTTTTCCCTCATAGCATTTGCTGCTCTGTAATTACACTCTTCATTAATGTGTTCATGTCTTTCTTCCCTGCCTCTCCTCCTAGGGCAAAAGCTTGCTGACCACAAAGAACTTGTCTGTGCTGATTACTGCTAGATCTTGGATGTCAAACACAGTGACCACATTATGGATGCAGTGGAAAATTGTTAAATGAATGAACAAAGTATAGGTCTGCCAGTTTCCTTGGTAGGAGTTAAATGCCAGTATATGTTTATATTACCTTAATTTGTTTTCTTTATCTATAAATAAATCTTGCCTACTTCTGTTTGCAGGGTAAAATTAAGGTGATTTTCTTCTACAACATGATTGAGCTAGCATACTCTCCAGGAGGGAACAGACAGGCATTCTGAAAGGATGTTTGGTATTTTTAGAGCCTTTTATACATTTGTTTCTGCTGTTGTGCTAATATGCTAATGTTTATCAAGGTTGTATTTTTTTCCCTCCCTTTTCTTTCTTGCTGCTGGCAGAGCAGCATTATAGAGTTATGCAGCAAACTCTCCTTTGGGCATTTGTCATTACTACAAAGTGTTTTACATTTCTTTGCTCCTTAAAATATATGCTGCTTTTCTGCTGAACCTAGGATAAAAAGAACAAGGCAGTATCTTTGCGAATCTTAATTCTTTCGAGTTAGGGAAACCGATCCAGCAACCTCTCTTTCACACCTTCCCATTTTCCCAGTGAACCTCATATTCGGTACAGCTCTGTACCTTCCTGCAGTGAAATCTATAAACCAGAGCCTCCTGCTTCTTTTGCCCCAGTTGACTTCAAGGCTCAGGGCCCATGGTTGTGCACTGGGAGATAATACACCAGCACTGCCTAGTTAAAGGGCACAGGCTCCTCAGTCAGACATACCTGTATTTGAAATATGGCTTTGCCTCCAACCAGCTGTGTCACCCTGAGCAGGCACTTAGTTACTCTGAACCTTCTTTTGCTTATCTGTAAAATGAGCTTCTGCTGGTATCTTCCTTTAATTGGAGAATCTCACGAGGTAATGCTTTCCAAGTGGAATAACACAGTTTCTGGAATTTCATGGGACTCAGAAATGTTCACTAGTATTTGATTTGGATCAGCAACGTAAGACTTTGCCAAGGCACCCCAAGAAGAATGAATTCTAAAATAGCAACCTGCTGTGATCCAGTTTCTGGATAATCTGAAAGCTCAACTGTCAATTCTTTTTTGGAAGTACAGATGATTTTATTATTATTATTTTAAACTGATGCTGCTTGCTTTACTGCTAGAGGCCTTAGATAAGACATGTGGCACTATCAGAGATGCGTTGTCAATGGAACAAAAATGGTCTCGGACGCTGGTCTGATCCTAGTCTGATGTCCTGTGAAGAATAACTCAAGTGTTGTTTCTCTTGATGCGGGAACTTTAAAGTACTTTTCTTCTCTAGCTATCCACTCTAATTAAGTTTTACATCCCTTCAACGCTGGCTTTTCAGGTACCATATCGTCATTATTATTATTACCAATTTGTCAGCTGCTTTATTTGTTCATACTTTAAAATGGAAAACAGTAATTTTAGGTCAGGAATGGCAGTATAGTTTTTGTCTGTGGTGGTTCCAAGTAGTTTTTAATTGACACAGGATTTACAGACTGACTAAAAAGAGAAAAAGTCAGATGTGATAATAGAAAGCTCATGGGTTTTTTTTAGGCAGGGGGACCTGGATTCAAATCGTGACTCTCTCTTAATCAGCTGAGTGGCCTTAGACAAGCTACTTAACCAACCTGTCTCACCTTCAGACTTCTTCTGTGAGATGGGGATAACCTAGTTCAAATGAGATGAAAAGTAAATTTACTTATAGTAAGTAGCACATTTTTTCTTTTTGAGACAGAGTTTTGTTCTGTTGCCAGGCTGGAGTGCAATGGCGAGATCTCGGCTCACTGCAACCTCCGCCTCTGGGGTTCAAGCAATTTTCCTGTCCCCGCCTCCCTGTAGCTGGGACTACAGGCACGCACCACCACACCCAGCTAATTTTTGTATTCTTAGTAGAGACGGGCTTTCACCATGTTGGCCAGGATGGTCTCAATCTCTTGACCTTGTGATCTACCCACCTTGGCCTCCCAAAATGCTTGTATTACAGGTGTGAGCCACTGCGCCTGGCCCTAAGTAGCACATTTTAAGATGCTTTCTGAATGTGAGATTTTTCTAGTTCTTCCTTTTGCAAATTACTGTTCTTTTTCTGTGATTGTTGAGTGATTCAAGTATAGAAATTCCATGATTAGAGTTTAAAAATATCTCTACAAATGTATTTAAAACAATGAGCAGGGCTCAGTGGGCACTATTAAAACAAAATTATTTATATGATCACCTACTATTTTTATCTTAATGATTGCCAGGTATCTACTTGTTACACCTTTCCTCCTCTTTTATATTTCTGGATTAAATAATAATAGCTAACTTTTTTTGAGTACTTGTCATGGGCACTGTTCCAGTTTATTTGCATATATTAACTCATTTAATCTTTACAACAGCCTTTGAAGATGGGCCTGTTAGTATCCTCTATTTTATAAATGAGGAAGTGAAACTCATGTCAGCTGCCATTTCTGCCATCCATAGGGTAGGTAGGATCTCTCTGTACCCCTTCTAGAGTTTAAGAACTCAGCCACAGGGGGCTAATTAATTGGTTAATTCATTTTCTTACAGTGTGCAAAACAGGGAGAACCCAAGTGGAGAGTGGTGAAGAGTATTGCAGTGCTAAACAAAAGTGACGTTCTGTTTTCAAAGGTGACTTCCAATGAAGACTACTCTTTAGCCTGAACATGGAGGGAAAAAGAACAGTGTCAGTACCCACAGTCCTATTCTTCCTTCTACATCTGACATTATTATTTTTTTCCTTTCCATAGGCTTAGGCTTCTAATCCCGATGATTACTTTTCTTACCTATTTCTGTAGCATGTTTTCATGCTGAAAGAGAAGTTGACGTGCTGTTGTCATCGTATTAAGGCCTAAGCAGAACAGCATTATTGGTATTATTATTTTTCCTCTCACAAACAGGATTCCACTTAATCTCTTTTACCGGATGGCACAGTTAAAGTGCCTTCTTCATCAGAGCCTGTTTTAAACAAGCAGGCCTTTTATTTTATGACACTTATATTGAGACACATTGAGTTATATCTGTCTTTTCATTTGCACCAACACATTTATTTGAGGCCTCATATTTCCTAGGTAACGTGACTAAGGTAGATTTATCGGTGCTAATTTGCATACAGAACAACATTGGCAAAACTAAAATATAACAAACACATACTAACTTTTGACTTGCCACAGCCCACCAAGCATCTGCCTTCATTGCCATGCCTGTAATGAGAGGGAAATATATTTTCCTCTGAGTTTAAATCTAATTCCTTGTTTGTATTCCACTGTCGTCACTGCTGTTGAGAGCTCGAAGTGAGGTTTAAGAGCCTCTTCATATCTAACAGCAGGAGTTTATATTAGAGGTGGTAGTTCTGTATAACAGAAAATGCGGCTTTTGCTCACCCACCTCGATTTCATACCACATTTGAAGAACCCTGCTACATTTAAGTAAGGGGCAAGCCCTTTGTTTTGCACAAAAGTTAATAGAGACTTAAGGCTACACCATTGTGTTAAAGCCTGGCTTTTATTTCTTTTTCTCAATGTTGCTTTTAAGTAGATTGATATTTATGGCACAAATAATAAATGAATTTATTTAAAAATTCATTATTAAAAAAATTTTTTTAAATTATAGATTAGGTTGAAATTTCTTGGTCTGCCCTTCCCAAGTTTACTGGCAATAGCTTGGTGAACATCATCTGGACCTTTTCCTATACATTTACTTATGCATGTATCTGTCCTTAGAAGATACACATTATTGCTTCATGTGTGAACATGTGTGTCTAATATATGTTCTTCTGCTGTATGTATTGTTCTGCAGCTTGCTGGTTTCTTTTAGTCTTGTGCCTTGTAGAATAATTAGTGCTACCATGTTCAGACTTAATAGGCTAGATTAGTCAATGCTGTTATCATGAGTTATTCCTAAGATCTCAGTGGTTAACACGTCAAACGTTTATTTCTCAGTCATGCACATGTGGGTCAGGTGACATCCCCCATGTTGTAACTCTTATAATCCAGCCTAATCTCACCTGTGATTCCACCATCTCCACATGTGGCTTCCAGGTCCTTGTAGCCAACAAATAGGGCTCTGGAGGGTTGCACATGGTCTCTTAAAAGTTTTGGCATACTAGCTACAAGAGAACTGAGAAATGTAGGGGTACACATGGTTACTTGGTGATACTGTGTTGCCATAGATAATGTTAAATAGTTCACACAGTCAGAATATATTATAGTTTGTTTTGCCAGTCTTCTATTTGATGGGCATTTGGATCATTTCCAATCGTATCCTTTTGTTATGTACAATTCTCCAGAGAAGATCCTTGCATGTATCTCTGGTACATGTTTTGCTAGGATAGATACCCAGGAAGTAGACTTTCCAGGTCAGAGAATGGGGGTGCTTTAGTTTTCATAAACACTGTCAAATTGTTTTGGAAGGTGGTTGCACTAGTGTTCTGTTGTAAGGATAGTATCTGAGAAAGTGCATTTCACCTGACCTTCAACAACAATAGCATCAGATCTCGTGTGTGTGTGTGTGTGTGTGTGTGTGTGTTTGTGTTTGTGTTTGTGTTCAGTGGCATCTTCATTCCTTTTGGCAAAATGGCTTCTTCCGTTTTGTTTGAGTTTCTATTTTCTTGATTACTAGTAAGTCCTGGGCTCTTTCTAATACTGCTTTATGCTGCCTTCCCAAGTGAGCAGTACTAGTGTGCAAAGTCGAGCTGAAGAAGGCTGGAGCAAGTGCAGAGCCAGTGGGTAGACGATTTTCCCTTTCAGGGGTGTCGAGCTCAGGGACATTTCTTTTGATATTCTCTGTTGATTCCCCCACCTCCCCACCCCAGGTGCTATTTCAGTTGTTTCTACACCTCTAATTTTAAAACCATGGGGCGAAGGATGATTTCTTGGGCATGTCATTTTTTTTTTTCTGTGTAGCTGTCTGGTTTTGTGCTTGGAGTTTTTATGTCAGTTTTTGCCCACTTAGCCATTGTCTTGTTATCTTCTGGTTCTCTTTGTCCCCTGCCTCATTTTTCATTCTTTTTCTTCTGCTTCTGCTCCCTTGTTCCCATAGGCCCTTAAATCTTTATGTGTTGCTTTTCTTTTAAGTTGTATTTTTCCCCTTCCCCTCCAAGCTTAGAAATGTTTGCTCTATCAAAGAAACGCAGGAAGGAAGGGAATGATGGCAAGGATATTGTACAAGTCCAAAGGGAACAAAACCTAGGTGCCCACCTACCCCAGCTAGTTTAAGAATGTGATGCTGTTCCTATCACGGTCACTTTGCCAAAATCCATGTGAAGGAAGGAAAAAAGCTGGGAATTAGTCCAGCTTTCATCAGGCCTCTGGCTTACTATATGATCCCTAGGCAAGACACTTTCCCTCATCAGGCCTCCAGGTTCCTGACTGTAAACTGAGGTGATTGGACCCCAGTGGTCCCTTTATATCTTGAAACCCCAGTATTTGAAACATGTGACTAACTGGGAAACTTCTCCAGTATAGGGTCCCAAAGACCTTTTTAAAAGTGGATCACTGCCATTCCCCTTCACCTTCAGCCTGTGAAGCACTGTGTCAGTAAGGGCCAGTCAGGAAGACAGGGATTTTGTGAGGTCATTTAATAGAATTTAACAAAGGGCCGGAAAGATTGTAAGGCACACAGGCTTGGGAGGCAACACAGAGATGGATGGACAACAGCAGGAATCTTCCGTGAGCCATAGGAGAGGAAGGAAATGGTGTTGGCCGAGTCTAGGGCTAGCTGTTACAAGCAGAAGTCACAGCAGGGGAGATAGCAGGAGCTGGAATGTGGAAGAGAGGGCTGTCTGGAGAGACCTGGAGCTTCAGAGGAGATGCTGTTACACCCACAAAGAGGACAACAAAGCCTGGTGTCTTCCCCCTACTGTTCAGTCTCTGAACAGAGTCTCAAATTTAGGCAGAAGAGCCTGTGGAATGGTCCTGAGGGCAGGCTGGCAAATGACTGGCAGAAACAATCAAAAGGCACTGGGGCAGATGATCTTTATACTCCATTCCATTCCTTGCATTCTAGAATTCATGGATTATCTGAGAGATTCTTCATGTCTCCTGCAGCAAAGATGTTATTTTTAGGGTCATAACAGGTAGCTCTTCCTAGGAGTTGAAATAAACTTCTACCATTCTAGCATCTTAGGACAACACCTATTCACATCTCCACCTCCCTCCCTCCCAAAGCCTGGAGTAGTTACATTTTACCTTACACGAGCTCTGTCAGCATTTCGTGAAAGTCCTATTCCTGGTAGACTTTTGACGAAAGGGACACTATTTTACTTGTCTCTTATCTCAGTCTCTATCACCACAGAGCCTCTGGGACCAGAATACAAACACAGGGAACCAATAGTGTTACCCAGTTGATCCAGAAGTTTTACTGTTTCAGAGTAACTTGTGATCTTGGGCAAGTTCAGCCCGTTTCCTAATTTGTAACATGGCTTTATTGGTCAGTAAAGCCAATTGGGCAAAAAGGTTGTGCAATAGTAACAAATAACCCCCAGAATTTCAGTGGCTAAGAATCCACAAAGGTGTATTTTTTACTACACATTTACGTAAAGTCACTTGGTATATGTCCATCCTTATTCTGGTCCCTGGCTGATAGATCAGCTACCATCTTGAATGTTGCCATTCCCCATATCTAGAGAGGGCAAACTTCGATGGGGTAGGAGGGATGGCAATTAAACGTTGGCCTGAATGTGTCACACAACATATGTACTCACAACTTACTGGCTGGAACTAGTTAATTGATATGATACTGTGATATAATAAAAAAAATACATATTTGGTCTTTACCCCTGGTTCCTGGCACACAGTTCCTAAGACCCTTGGGATATCTGAAGTGATGAGTGTCTTTTCTACCCTAATGAGATGACTAGTGGTTGGAGTCCACTAGGTAGCTTCAGGATTGTGACTGGTTACTAGAAAGCCCATAGCATAATTAGAGGGTTGGGACTTTCGGTTCCATCCTCCCAGTCTCTGGGGAAGAGAGCGGGACTAAAAGTTGAGTTAATCGCCAATGGCTAATGAGGTAACAATCATGCCTATGTAATAAAATAATAAAATCTTAAGAGGACAAGGTTTGGAGAGTGTCCAGATTGCCAAATATGTGGCGGTATCTGCAAGGTGGTACCCCCAGAGAGGGCATGGAAGCTCCATGGGCATACCTTGTTATGTACACCTCTTCCATCTGGCTGTTCACCAGTGTCTTTTGTCATATCCTTTATAAATAACTGGTAAATGTCAGCAGTGGTTTTTGTGAGCTCTGTTAGCCATCTTATAAAATTAGTTAAACCCGAGGAGGAGGTCTTGGGAACTCCCAATTGATAACTGGTTGGTCAGAAGCACAGGTAAAATAACCTGGGGCTTGTGCCTGGCATCTCAAGTGGGTATAGTCCTGTGGGACTGAGCCTCTAACCTGGGGGATCTGGTGCTAACTCTAGGTAGTAGATACGGCATCGCCTAACTTCAGCTGAAGTAAGGAAGTGCCTAGAAGGAAGAAGACCGAGGATATTTCTTGATTTGCACTAATGACAGCTACAGAGAGAGATAATAATTCTTGACATTTCCTGATTGTTTTAACCATGAAACATGAATATTTAATATAATGCCTAGCTCATAAGTGCTCAATTAATAGTAGATGGAACTATTATTGTTATTATTATTCAGCAGTTTATATTACATTTCCAGCGTACTTTCTACCATCCATTTGCATAGCAGATTTCTTCTCACCCTTTTTTTACAACTGAGAATGCAGAAGTAAACATAAATTATACTTCTGTAGATGTATCACATTTTTTTTTGTTTTTTGAGACTGAGTCTCACTCTGGCACCCAAGCTGGAGTGCAGTGGCACAATCATAGCTCACTGCAGCCTCAGCCTTCCAGGCTCAAGTTGTCCTCCAGCCTCAGCCACCCAATTAGCTGGTACTGTGGGCATGCACTACCACATCCAGCTAATGTTTTCACTTTCTGTAGAGGCAGGGTCTCACTATGTTGCCCAGGCTAGTCTTGAACTACTGGGCTCAAGCAATCCTCCTGCCTCCGCCTCTCAAGATGTTGGGATTACAGGTGTGAACCACTGCGCCTGCCCACACCCAGCTACAAATTCTTAATAAGTGGAGTTGTCTTGAAGTTTTAGAGCCAGTCAGGGCCCTAGTTTTCCAAGTTTTGGATTGACAAAAATAGGTGATTATTCTGTAAAAGAATTCCTTTGTGGAGTGATAGCCGGGTGTCATCAGTGGATTTGGAACTGTGCTCATTGTCCTGGTTTTCAATTTAAGAGCAACAGACTTCAAGCTGGCTTTCATTTGAGTCAGTGTGGAAACAGTCAATATATGTTACATGTCTGTGAAGCTGGCCTCTGGATCAATTGCAATTAGTTTCCAGCAGATTGCATTAACATATCTAAAATTAATATGGCGAGTGTTCTGATGAAAAGGAATTGACCACAACCACATTGTGGCTGTTTTTAGTCTCCCTCAAATGCTCTTTTCAAACTATATTTTTTCTTTCTTTGGTTAATGGCTTTAAATTGTTATGTCAACGTAGACATAATCTATTGATTGTTCCTATTTGCCTTTTAAGAGTGGTCCTAGATAATAGCACACAGCTAATGTTTAATGTTTTCTTTCACTAAGGGGCTTTTTCGCTAAATGCCTTAAACTCGTATTTTTCTTTGTATGTTATATAACACGCTATTAAGACTATAAAGCCTTTGAGTATGTTCATTTACAGAATTTTGTGTTTTTCAAATTACTAATGTTTCATCAAGACTTAAAAAGTAAGATTAAGAAATAATGTGTAGTTAAAAAATAATATACGGTAAATGATGTGAGCATTGCTTGTCTGACAATTTATTTTTATCCCAGTATTATTTATTTCTAAAGAAGAAGTATAGGCAACTTCAATATTAAAAGCAAAACCAAACCATCATTACCAGCAGCTACAAGGACGGAACAGAGAGCTATCTTTAGGCTTGATCATGTTGAAATTTGAATTTTTTACCAGCATGTATACATTATATTATGTTTATTTCACATCTTAAGGACTAACTTGTACTTTTTTATTTTTAGAGGTGGCCAGTTTCTGGGAATGAAAAATTGTCCATATCAGGAGACAAAAGGCAGAGTTGATTCATTTGGCCATCCAAGTGGCATTTTTTGGGTGTCTTTCATATGTCAAGCACTGTCACCTTCTTCACAGAGATACAGAGAAGTTTAAGGCACACTTTCTACCCTTTAGTGGAACACAGTCTAGTAGTGGGGGTATAGAGCTTTGAATCACCCTATTTCAAAAGAGCTCCATGAATACATCATAGCTTGGGGATACCAGAAGAAAATGACATTTTAAGGACACAGTAGATGTCCCAAAAGGTAATGGCTCCATGTGATGAAGCCCTGTGGGCCTCACTTTTATGATCTGTGTGACACTGCCTTGGACATCCACCAAAGCCGTGGACAGAAGCCAGTAGGGATTGTATCAGATGATGTCCATGTACTACCAGTCTTGTGATCCAGTTGTGTGATTGATTTTTTTGGTTTGTGCATTAACTGTATTGTCATCCTTCCTCTTGTGAGTAATGTTTCCTTTGCATATGACTCATGGATGGAAAGGAGTTTACATTAAGTGTATTCATTTTTCCTGGTTTTTTTTTTTTTTCCTTCTTTTAAAAATGGGGCTTACAGATTTGGTAGGGAATACTGTTGATATTATTGGATAAAATGTAAGGAATTTATTTGTTCATGTTATTGTGTCCTTTGACTGTGTCCTTTTAACACAGATAAACACGTAGTGCATATTGGAAAACCACTTCTACTTGAAACTTAAGCAAATTTCCTTTAATACACAAGTTGCAGTTTAGGAACTAGTTTAATTAATAGTCAGTCTTTCAGGTTATTGCACTCAACCTTGGTGGATGAAAGAGATAATCTCGTTAAACACACAATGGCCCTACCCAGACTCTGTTAAAAACTGTGGTAAAGAAATGAATTAGTCTGTGGCCCAGTGACTTCAGAGTGTTTAAACAAATTTCCTGAAAAACCTTACAATGATTAACAGTCTATATACAGTTATTAAAATAATGCTATGCTCTTTATTTATTTGGGGTGAGAAGGGGGGAGCCATATCCATGTAATAGAGTCCTTAACAGTTTTTAAAATAACTTATGTTGAAATACTTGTAGACTCAAAGGAAGTTGCAAAAATAGTATAGCAGCCCCATGTACTCTTCATCCAGCTTCCCCTAATGCTGACACCTCATGTAGTTGTGGTACAATATCAAAAGCAAGACATTGATATTTGTGTATTACTGTTAACTAGATCACAGAGCTCACTCAGCTTTCAGCATTTTTAAAAAACCTGCATTCATTTGTGTGTGTGTAGTTGTCCTTAACAGTTTTTGTTAAAAAATAATTAGGCATGAATTTAAGTGGGTTTTTTTTTTCTTTTGCTTCTCTCAACTCTGGGTTGCAGATTGCCAGTCAACAGTACCTCTAAGACTGGCCATGTAGGTTGACTTTTATTTTTCTTGCTATTAATGAATGTTCTTACCTCTCTCCTTCAATTTCTGTAGGCAGTTCAATTAACCTCCAGAAGATGGCTGAACCTGCAGGAATACCAGAGCAAGAAACTGATGTCTGACAACGGAGTGAGAGTTCAAAGATTCTTTGTAGCAGACACTGCAAATGAAGCTCTCGAGGCTGCTAAGAGACTAAGTAAGCTGATTCATAATGGGTGAAATACACTTGCCCAAATCAGTGAATTCACAGGTAGTGGCTTCCCACTAGTTAATTTTTTTTGTTGTGGATTAAACTGACAGGGACAGATACAGGGGAGAGCTTAGAACTGCAAAAGCAAAAAAGTCCAGATTGCCTCATGTACATGTGTGTAAGTGTGCAGGAATCACATGGTGACTGCAGCGTGAAGGGAGGGGTCTGCTTTCAGAGCTTTGTCCCTGTGAGTCTTCAGTCCTGCTGACCTGGGAGGAGATGTGGAATCACAGGACAGCCTTCAGTGTGATGGCCTGGGTGTAGGAGAATAGAGCCTTTCTTCCCTGGCACACCTAGAGGTTTCCTCTAGACTGGGCCCTGCCTGACCCATGCTGCATGAGATTCACAGGCACCTCTGTGTCCTCAGTTCCGCCAGGATCACTCACTGGAGGCACTTGGCCTAAGTGTCAAAAACCTTAGAACAGGCTCAGTGGGGTGGCTCATGCCTATAATCTCAGTACTTTGAGAGGCTGAGGAGGGAGGATCACTTGAGTCCAGGAGTTTGAGACCAGCCTGGGCAACATAGCAGAACCCGTTTCTACAAAAACTAAAAAAATTAGCCTAGTATGGTGGTGTATGCCTGTAGTCCTAGCTACTCTGGAGGCTTTGGCAGGAGGATCACTTGAGCCCACGAGTTTGAGATTGCAGTGGGCTATGATCACTCTAACATACTCTAGCCTGGGCGCCAGAGTGAGACCTTCTCTCTCTTAAAAAAAAAAAAAAAATTAGAACAACAAACAACTTCCCTTTCTTTTCAGTATCCCTTAGGGAGGGTGTATCCTCAGAAATTCTTACAGTATGAGCATTAGGGTGTTTTCATCCCAGCTCTTTTTGAAATGAAGAATAGTACAACAGTGGAGCATCGTTCAATAATGTGTGCAGGGAGTGGATGGAAGCCTTCAACAATATTTGATAACACAAAAAGGAAATTGTGATCCATGTTAACTAATAAAGGAAATGATAACTGCAATTTAAAAAAGCAAAAAACATCAATTTAGGAAAACTTTATTCTTTTACCTGAGATAGCAGCACATGGGATGTTGCTTCATGGTAATTTTTCAGAGATTTTAGTCACTATTTCACCCACTTCTGTCAGCTGTGGGTTAGTGGCTGGGAGAAACATGGCTGAAGGGCTTGAGAAGCCTTTGCAGGGTGAGTCAGTTGTCGACATCCTTCTTTAAGTCCCTTAGAACATGGGGAGAGCACCCTCTGAGTGACTGGAGGAGACCAAAGACAAGGGCATGACTTTAAAGTCAAGCTAACTTTGCTTCAGTGTTTTGCCTTCCCTTTACCAGCTTTGTAATTCTGCAGAAGTACCTTCTCCGTCCTTGCCTCAGTTTCTTTAGGTCAAAGCTAATAGTACTTATTTCCCAATGCTATTGCGAGTCTTTAGGAGTGTATTAGTCTATTCTCATGCTACTAATAAAGACATACCTGAGACTGGGTGATTTATAAAGGAAAGAGATTTAGTGGACTCACAGTTCCGCATGGCTGGGGAGACCTCACAATCATAGTGGAAGACAAAGGAAGAGCAAAGGGATGTCTTACATGGTGGCAGACGAGAACTTGTGCAGGGGAACTCCCATTTATAAAACCATTAGATCTCGTGAGGCTTACTCACTACCATTAGAACAGTATGGGGAAAACTGCCCCAATGATTCAGTTATCTCCCCCTGGCCCCACCCTTGACATGTGGAGATTATTACAATTCAAGGTGAGATTTGGGTGGGGACAGCCAAACCATATCAAAGGGCGATTGTTGTGTGGTAGAACATCTAGCTCATTTTCCTCCTTACAGATCCAGATATTAGGGATCAGGTCCTGCTGTCTGCCTTTCAGTGAGCATCCCCACCTGTGGCATACAGACTTTGTAGGTGTCGGTCTGGATTGCCACTGTCTAGTAGGAGTATAATGTGAGCCACGTCAGTATTTTAAAGTTTTCTAACAGTCACATTAAAAAAATGAAAAAAAGGGTGAAATTAATGTTAATAATATATTCTGTTTACTCCAATATATCTAAAACAACATCATTTCAACATGTAATTAATATAAAAAGTTATCAACAGGATATTTTGTGTTCATTTTTTTGTCCCAATCTTCAGAAACCTGGTTGGAATGCTACACTTCCAGCACATCTCATTTCAGACTAGTCACATTTCAGGTGCTCAAGAGACTGATGTGGCTAGTGGCTACCATCTAGGACAGTGCACATTTGGACACTAGAAGGATTTGCATGTGCATCCTTCAGCCTTGGGAATGCAGTTATTTCCCACTAAAAATAAAGAGTTGTGCGTCTGCTACTCAGTCTTGTCCAGGTATCAGTAGCACAGGTTGAGAGTTTAGGATAGAAGCACTCTCCATATTTCAATATTCTAATTTTCTATGCTCTTTTAAGAGTAAGTCGCAGGTACTTTAGCTAGTAATTGTTGTTCTTTGAACTTTTTAAAGTTCTACCAGATGCTAATACACCAGACCCTTTCTATGTTATGTCAGTTGAAATGTATATGCATTCTCTTCTGGAACAAATATTTATCGAGGGTCAACCATGTACTAGGCACTGTGGACACAGCTGTGCAAGACAGGCAAGCCCTTTTTCTTCATAGAATTTATGTTCTAGAAAGAAATTAATTTGTGACTTTCAGATGTTAAATGTAGAAATTGAAGTGACTTATATTTTAATAAATGAAAATTGGTTTCATTTTTAAAAGCTATCAAGATTGGTTTTTACTGTGAAAAAATCCCAGTAAAATAAGATCTAAACCTGGATGAGAGCTCCTCAGTGAACTTTGATAATAGACTCAGTAAAGGTTAGTACTGTATTCCAGCCTTTTCATAAGAAAGGATCATTTTTGTTTTATACTCTTGTGGTTTGGGGATTGGGAAGTGAGAGCAAAGAAATGTAAAGTTCAAGTTGGTCTTTGATCTTCATTTCCCCATTATTTTCTTAAATACAGTGAAGCACTAGCATTGCAGGTATAACTAAGTTTTTTAAAGAGAATTCTGGAGGCCAGCTGATTACTCCCCTCACCCCTCTTAGGCATAACACCTAATCTCTTTGAGATATTCCTGGAGATATGCACTTAGTGAGCTAATTGACTTCTTAGTTATGGTTTTATGAACATTTATTTAGCCATTGTATTGTGGTTGGGGATTGTGTACCATGCTTTTTACTTGTATTTATTTTTTACTTCTTTTAGAGACAGGGTCTCACTCTGTCACCCAGTCTGGAGTGCAGTGGTGTAATCATAGTTCAGTGCAATCTCGAACTCCTGGGCTCGAGTGATCCTCCCACCTCAGCCTTCAGAGTAGGTAGGACTACAGGCACACACCACCACACCTGGCTAATTTTTGTGTCTTTATTTTTTGTAGAGATGGGGTCTCTCTGTGTTGCCCAGTTTGGCCTCAAGTGATCTTCCTGCCTCAGCCTCTCAAAGTGCTGAGATTACAACCGAGAGCCATTGCACCTGGCTGTATCATGCTTTTAATAGAATTTCTGCTCTGGAGGAATGAGCAATGTTGCATTGACGTGTTGGGCTGGGACAAGGGAGGGAAAAAAAGAGACAATAAAGCAATTTGAAGTAAAAGAAAATTAGTTCTTCAGGTATGCTCTCAAGAAATACAAACTGGATAAAGGGTTGAGAATGATAAAAGGATTGACAAAATCAAGCTGGATAAAGGAATGGAGAATGATGCATGGTTGTGTGTGTGTGCTTATAGGAGTGTGTGAGTGTGTGTGCATGCAGGTTTCACCAGTGCATATCTATGATGCTCCTTAAGGTGGTATGGCCAACAGAGGGCCTCCCTGTGATTCTGTCTAGAGCTAAACAGGAATTTGGAAAATTCAAGCTCCTTATTTGGTGAATGAATGAGTAATCCTTCCCGAACTCAGTGAGTAGTTTTGGTAGAAGGAAGGTCTCCTCTGATTTCTGTTGTTGAATAGTTTTGATCTAAGGGGAAATTTATAGCATTAGAAGAGGATATGGAACCAATTCTAGTTGGTTAAAAGTGAAATTAGTTGATCATAAATATAAAAATTGTGTGCACATCACTGAGATTACCTGGAGAGAGCAAAGCAAGAAGAATCTGGCAAAACTTCAGAGTATTTACATTCTTGTCACCACAAGATTGACAGAACCAAGAGCACGATTGAAGTTTTAGCAAATAGATTTGAGGTTAAGATTAAAACTGGATTATGCACACATCTTCCTGATTGTCCTGAAAAAATGGGATCTTCACCTTGTAATTATGATACCATCATGGGAGAAAATTGCCTAGAATGATTATGTGTCTAACACTGAGAAAGTTCTATATAAGATTTTATTGCTATCAGCATCATCATTGTTGTCAGTGGCAGCAAATTCCAGGAGGTTCACTACTGTTGTGATTCTAACTCACAGAGAGACCAGAGACATCGTAATAACTATCCTGTTAATCATGTGTTAGGAGAGTTCATATTTTAATTAGAAAGATTTGTAAATAATTGAAAGATATTTGCTTACCTTCCTACTTTATTCATATTTTGATGTGTTTTGAAATGACATTTTATAAAATATTTTGAAAATAAATGTGACATTAATCATATCTGTGATTTCCAGGGTGACTTCTCTGCGGATTGTCTCGCAGATCTCTTTCTTTGTGCCTGAAGCTGCATTCCTAGTTGTCTGTTGACCACTTGTTCATGAGTGTCTTTGGCACACCTGACCTAAATGGAACTTGTCATCTCTTGGTTGCTTCAAACCTTCTCTTCTTCTCGCCACCCTACTTACCCAGCTGAAATAGCTCTGCATCATTAATGTCTCTCATGTCTACTATATTCAGTTGGTCGCCAAATTCAGTCATTGTTTATGTCATTTTACAAGCAAGGAAACAGGCAAGATAAAGTTAAAAAACATGCCGAGATTGTAGAGCTAAATGACAAAGATGATGGGATTTTAATCCAGTCAGATTAGATTAAATCTCCCCTAGCATTTTCCTTTTGCTAACTTGATGATGATATTTTTGGGAGATTTTTATGTGTGGGTCAGCATTTTAAACATGGAAAATGCATATTAATAAAATTAGAAGATTGGATTAAAACTAGATGTGGCAGGTTTTAAGGTGCAATATATAGAAACTGCAATCTGCAGATATTTTCTTAATGATTCATTTGCTTTTATCTCTGAGCAAATAGAACCTTTTGCTGTGTAGTTATGGAAAGCTTGTTAATTTGAACATTTGTTTAAAATGGGTAATGCATACATTTTGTTTCTGAAACACTGTTCATAATGGTAAGATATTGAGTGAGATCCTCATTTTCTTGCATAGAAAATGGATTTATGTCTGAGAGAGCAAATTTGTTTGAATTAAGTTTTTAATGTGTGGATAATATTCATTGCTGCTGCCATTTATCGGAGCCACCTTTTATAATCACGCTTTAAAGGAGGAGTTGTTTACGTTGCATACAATTTTCTTAGGAGGCTTATAAGTACATACTTTTTTTCTCTTATGGATTAAATTAATGAATACAGTCAACAGATCATTACAGAATACCTACTGTGTGAATGACTGATCTTCATGTTACCTTTTCAGTTCTCTTTGAAAGTGAGTGAAGGATTGTGTCTCTCATATAACTGGAAATACCTGTCTTAAAAAAGTATTTGTATATAAACTTAGATGAAACATATCTAGGATCACTATCTTTCAGTTTTTAGAATCTCTACAATTTATTAATTATTCCACACATGTTGACATGAGACTCTTACCATTTGATTAAGCAAGAAAATTGCGTTTCAAAAGCTCAGTTTTATTTTTTGTTGGGAAAGAAAATTGAACTATGAATGGAGAAATTAATCTTCTCTGGCCTAATGACATGCATCCTAAAATGGAGATAAGGAGCTTTTATTGAACTTGGCTAGCTTTTGATTGCTTTCAGCTATAACATGTTTCCATTCGTCAATATGATAACTTGTTCTTTTGGTATTATGTAATCACATCCTAAAGCCTGGTGAATTACTTAACACCATTAAGGAATTGTATTTGATGTAAAAAAAGAACTGTTGTGCATTGACTACTGATTGATATGTACTATTAATCCCATAGTCAATTAAATACATTGCAAGCCTCCTTGATTGTTGTGGCTTTGTCCTATGACATGTGGTTAGGATCTTGCAAAAAGATCTTAATATCCTTTTTATTGAGATGACGGTCATTTTTGTCTTATAATGACAGACAAGGATAACATTGATTTTTGTGAAGTAAGTTTTCCTTTTACCAACATATCAGCTGCCCATTATTTTGACTTTGGAGTCAATAATATAAAGCTGCTCCTAGGGTAATGGCATATGTGGTCCATGAGAGGTTGAAGCGGTATCTGCTTTCTAGGAATAACAGTGGTGTCCTCACCAGACAGATGGTTCCTGTGGTGTGATTTGATTGTGTGCCTGCCTGCTGTTGGCCTCTTTGGTTCCTTCCCATTTTTTAAGTCTGATTGTCCTGCCTTCTTGGTGATTATGTGAGCCTCCCAATTTCTTTTTCGTAATTTAGTTCATGCTTATTTGAGCTAGAGTTAATTTCTGTTGCTTGCTGCTAAGAACCTGGTCTCATGCAGATAGAGTGCTTCTCATAGGTCCTCAGAGGCAGTAGGTGCTCACGAATAAATATTGTTATTCAGAAAATGTTCACTTGCTCATGCTCGCTTGCAAATGCTCCTTAAAGGAGCACCTGAATTTAAATTAATGGTTTTCCCTAACTGTATTTATAAAGAGGATATCCCATTCAACAAGTTGTAGCTTTTAATGACATTTTCTATTGTATGTATTTTTGCAAAGAGATCCCCCTTTTATAAAATGTTCTTTTTTCTTCTTCCTAAGTCTGCAAATATAAATGGTCTTCTCTGGTCATCTCCTTAGAATTTCTCTGTGCTAGAATATCTTTTCCCTAAGTGTCTTGTGGTATTCACTGAATACCACTCTGCAGGAGACCTGCAGAGTGAAGGGCGAGATCAAGGCGGGTTGTGGGCAGGCAGGCTTTATGGGAGTGTACATGTAGCTTCCTTTCAGTTTTCTCAGAAACAAATGAGAACAGTACTTTGAAACTCAATGCCTTAACTTCAATTTTAACAGCCTACTAAAGCAAGGATTAATTCTTCTTACACTTTTACCAATAAAAATAATAGTGGTGGTGTTTAAGCTTTGGGCCTTTACCATGTGCCTGGTATTGTGCTGAGCATTTCATAAATATTATCTCCTGGAATCTTCATCTAAACCAAAGGGAAAGACTTTCCTTTAAGGACTGGTACTGAGTGTCACCAGATCTCTTCATGCCCATGATTGTGTATCCATGGTAACTAACATAATTTTACTTTCTGTCTTTTTGGTGTGTCATTAATGCAGTTATGTATTATCTTGTTTTTATTTTTTTAATTTTTAATTTTTTAATTTTTTGAGACACTTTTGCTCTGTCGCCCCGGCTGGAGTTGGGGGGTGCGATCTTAGCTCACTGCAATCTCTGCCTCCCAGGTTCAGGCGGTTCTCATGACTTAGCCTCCTGAGTATCTGGGATTACAGGCGTGCACCACCATGCCCAGCTAATTTTTATATTTTTAATAGACACGGGGTTTCGCCATGTTGGCCAGGATGGTCTCGAACTCCTGGCCTCGAGTGATCTTCCCACTTTGACCTCCCAAATTGCTGGCCTTTGGGAGGCCAAGTTGGGAAGATTATAGGCCTGGCCGACTTGTTTTTTTAAAGCTACCTCATTGAGAATGGGCAAAGAAGTTATGTTGGCATGTGGTCTCATTTTCCAGGACTTTCCCGTGAAATATTTTACCCTGGGGGCCTTTGACTCACCCCATTGTAAAGTTTGGCAGTTTTGAAAGTTCAGAGGGTACTTTATGGGCTATAAATGCAGAAAAACAGAAAAACTTTACCTAGGGTAAATGACATAGGACCTCACTGCTGTGATCGCTCTGTCTGGGTGGATTGCCCCTTTTAAAGAAATCTTAAACATAATTAGACAAATCTTTTCTGATTATCAAAGGAACATGCTCATTATTTTGATATTGGAAAATACAG
The DNA here is from genome assembly GCF_000001405.40 of Homo sapiens. NCBI lineage: Eukaryota > Metazoa > Chordata > Mammalia > Primates > Hominidae > Homo > Homo sapiens. Next base: position 67,601,349 of record NC_000003.12, on the reverse strand, counting down.
AAAATTACAAAAAAGTAAAAAATAAGTAAAAAATATCTTCTAATCTCATTACTTAGAGGAAGCCTGTGCTAATATTAACATATTTTCTTTCATTTTTGTTTTGCACACATGCATTCAGCAATATTAATTTCTGTGTACATATGTATATGACATCATTGAGAGAGAATGAGCTTGTTTATAAATTTGGTGAGGTACTAAGTACAGTTTTGTTTATAATTTTTGTTTTAAAATTCTATATTATAAAATGAACATTGTCTAAATATTAAATTTTTTTCCAAAATATTATTTTAAGGTTTTATGATAATCTCTAGATTGACTGTGTTATTTCCTCTTGTGGTTATTTTTGGATTGTTTTTCTCTGTATTGGCATATTAGGTAGTGCTAGCTTCTGAAGCACATGAGCTGCCCCATTCTCAGTAGCCTGGTGCAAGAAGAAGTTATTTCCTATTCACATACAAATCTAGCATGATGTTCTTGGTCTGCCACAGGAACCCAGGCTCCTTTTGTTTTTCACTCTGCTGTCTTCCACACATGGCTCCCAAAGATGACCTGGAAAGTATGCCCATTCCAGCCACTCAAAAGGCAAAAAAACCATGGAGGATTGCATGTAGAAATTTGCATGGACTGTGTCATTTCAGCTAAAAGTAATTGCAAGATCTCAACCAACTTCAAGGGTGGCTGGGAAATACAGTTTCAATCCATGCTTAGGAAAAAGAAGAAATGGGTTTGGTGATCATGTAGTGGTCTCTTCTGAAAGTAGTGTTTAGAATCTTGAAAATCTTTGTCTCTTTGCTTCAAGGCTTAGAAGAAACACAGGCTATACAGTCAGAACAGAGCTCCCATCCCAGCCCTACTTTGACTGATTACCCTAAACCACAATTTACTTGACTATAAAATAGGGGATAATAATACATACTTCAAGGAATGATTGAGATGGCAACAAAGATAAACGAAACACATTTCACACAAATGAGGCACTCACCAAGTTCTCTTTCTTTTTTTCTTCTTTTTTTGGATTGAACTGAGCCAGTGTTTTGAGCCGTCATGAAAGAAATACAAAACAACTATTAAAACATCAACAGCAGATAAAAATAAAAATTTTCAATACTTTTGCAATAACACCCAAGTGTGAAGCTATGTTTTTTTATACAACTTGTCAGATAACTTGATAATGAATATATAATGACTTGTGTACTGTTGGTTGATATTTTCTAAGTAGATGAAGATGTAAGTCAAAAGTTGCATAATTTTTAAAGAAAATGAGCGTCATACTTTCTTTACATTGCAACAGAATAAATATTACATATGGAATTATGCTTTTAAGATGCTACACTATTCCCCAAGGTGGTTGTAACAGGCATTGGCAATGTTTAACAGATGTTCATAAATAGTACTAAGGCTGTACTTGAGTTTTCTAGGTTACGGACAAAAAAGTCAGGAAATGAATTGAGAAGGTTTAAAAGAGTTGTGTTACTTGATCTACCTTAGGATGAAAATTGGGTAAGTAAACAAGCTATCTCAGCTGTGTAATTTTTTTTCTTTCATTCAACATCGAACAAGCTAAGAGATTTGGGAGTCTATTTCTCTCAAATTAAATGTGAGCCAAGTATTAGAGTTTTTTTTTTTTTTTGTCTTCAGGCTTTTATTTGAGCAAATATACCAGTCACTTCAGCATGGGGCAGAGGAAACAGATGGGACGTGGATAACAGGGGGAAAATAACAGTGCTAAAGGTATTTGATGTGCAAAAATCAAATTGTTCCCAGAATCTTCAGGTGCTAGATGCAGCACTGAAAAACAACTTTACATAAATATATATTTTCTTTATAAATGATCTGTCCATTAGCATCATAAACATGAGAAAACCTGGATCCCGTTGAGACACTCTTGCTCAGAATTTCTTACTACTGTTCCTTGTTTAGTGGATTCAGTTTTAACTCACTGTGGCATACACAGTCAGCTGTGCATGACGCAGTCACAATTTACCTTTCGCTCATTGTCCTCTCTTTATGCCTGTTACCCAGTGTGTGGCCACATCAGTTTCCTTCCTGCCTTCGTCCAAATTCTTTCTTTCATAGTGCACCTTCTAATATGGTGAGGATGACTCTGGAGTTCGCCTTGAATTCAAATCTTGCATTTGCTCCACGATAGCTTCACAACCCTAGGCAAGTTACTTAGCCTCTAGAATCCTCAGTTTCCTCATCTGTAAAATGGGCTTAGTAATAATGATTCCTAGGAGAGCCAGGAGAGTGAAATGAGATCATGCTGTGTATAAGGTTTAGCAGAGTTGTATACCCTAAAGTTTCCAATAATGGGTAGTTAGGATCATTATCATTGTCACGATCTCCCAGTTTTTGTGGCTCATCTTATCACCTCTTCAGTGATGTCTTTGAGAAGGCACTGTGGTAGTATTTAAGAAGGTGGGCTCTGGAAGAGACTGCCTTAGTTTGAAGCATAGTCCCATCCTTTTTAGCTGTGCTGTAACTTCTCGAAGGCTCCATTTCCTCATCTGTAAAATGTGGGATGTCAGTAGTGTCTACTCATGGGTTTGGTGGGAGGAATGATCTAGGCCTTAACAGTCTCTGGCTCATAGGAAACATCAGTAGATGATGTGCTTTTTGCTGTTACGGTAAATAGTGTGTTCCACATCACAGCATACACTGGGTGATGCAGGGGTTGTAATTTAACCTGTTGCCTCTGTACCCAGAAAGAGGAAACATATTCCTTACAACATAGTTGTGAGGTGACCTTTCACACGATACTTTTCATATACAAAATAAAGTATAGGTGTTTCTGTAAATCTGGACAGGTTTCAAGATTCATCTGGCATTTAAGCTTAGAATTTCTGTCTCTTCGGTGTAGGTGATCATCCCTATTGGTTTGCCTGGGACAGACTTGGATACATCTGTTATTCCAGAACTATTATTAACTGCAAATCCCTTTTACTCTCAAAGTTGTCTCCATTTAAAGAATAAAGTTTTTGGTTACCTGAATAAGATTAAGGATGACTCTTTGATAGCAGCTGTCTTTAACAGGAAGCCTGTTTTGTAGGAAAGACAGTGAGAGTTTTGGCCGGGCGTGGTGGCTCACACCTGTAATCCTAGCACTTTGGGAGGCCGAGGTGGGCGTGTTGCCTGAGTTCAGGAGTTCGAGAACAGCCTGGGCAACACAGTGAAACCCCGTCTCTACTAAAATACAAAAAAATTAGCTGGGCATGGCGGCATGCGCCTGTAGTCCCAGCTACTCAGGAGGCTGAGGCAGGAAAATTGCTGGAACCCAGGAGGCAGAGGTTGCAGTGAGCTGAGATTGTGCCACTGCACTCCACCCTGGGCAACAGAACAAGACTCCGTCTCCAAAAAAAAAGGAAAAGGAAATGAGAGTTTTTTGTTGTTGTTGTTTGTTTGTTTGTTTTTTGAGATGGAGTCTCACTCTGTTGCCCAGGCTGGAATGCAGGGGCACGATCTTGGCTGACTGCAACCTCTGCCTCCCAGGTTCAAGCGATTCTCCTCCCTCAGCCTCCGGGGTAGCTGGGACTACAGGCACCCGCCACCGTGCCTGGCTAATTTTTGTATTTTTCGTAGAGATGGAGTTTTACCATATTGGCCAGGCTGGTCTCGAACTCCTGACCTTGTGATCCACCCGCCTTGGCCTCCCAAAGTGCTGGGACCACAGACGTGAGCCACTGCACCCGGCCAAAGATGAGAGCTTTAAATATTATTCCATCAATTCTTGCAGCTTTTAAATGAAGGATGAACAAGAGAAGAAAGGGCCTTCCAGACAGTTTGGGATGACTACTGGGAGTGGGGTACAGAAATAGATAGGGAGGACGAGGCTGGATTTGTTCCAGGGCTAAAACTTTCCCATTCATCTTTGCATTCCTGGTACCTGGACTGTAGTGTGAATTCCATAAGTGATTACTGAATGGAAGAGTTAATAAGAGAACAAAGACATCCAGGAACCCTCCATCTAGGCTAAAAGTTGCCAAGCAGGACTTCTGGTGTATACATACCCAGTGACTTTCTCTAATGTCATTGGGTCATGATTGTAAGCTTTGTTTAAGGGAGAAGGTAAAACTAAGGAAGCAGCAGCCCTGTGGGCAATGGTGGGAAGTTGGGAAATTAAGAAGGGACACATCAACTCGGTGTCTTTGCCTGTTGCCAGCCTTATGTCCAGGGTTCTCTTCAGGCTGATCCTCCTGTCTGATGCCACAGAACAGCCTTAGTTGAAATGTGGGGATGGTTAGGTCTGGTATTACCAGGAATGAATCTCCTTAGACAAAGACAGCTTCACCTTCTGTGGGTTCTCTCTGATCCCTGGCAGGTCATGTTAACAAAAGTCCCTGGTCCATAGTGGCTTTTTGTTCTGTTTACATTGATGAGCTCTACTTTCAGTTATAGGATCTTTGGATATGTGCTCATTTCAGTTTAAAGGTGTCCCAAATATGCTTATCTCAGTGCCATTTTTGTCACTGCCTCCCCTACTTCTGGAAAAAACATCAGTATTGCTCAGTATTAGACAGTAGCTCTCCATCCTTGCCAGTGTTGTGTGTGTTATAAGTGAGGGGACTATAAGGAAACCATGAGAGGGCTCAAAACCCCCTGTGATTTAAGTAACCTCTTTTCAATGGGACGTTAATTCATTTAACAGTTATTGAGTACCTGAAATAATCAGGTACTGAGGTTGGTTGGGCACAAGGATGACTACAAATAGTTGGTGCTTCCAAGACGTTCACTGCTTGGTAGAGAGACAGATGTGTAAACTCATAGGGATACAGGAGTAGTGAAGGTGTGCCCAGATGTCATGGCACGCAGGGAAAAGGGATGCCTATTCCACTGTAAATGCTGGGTGGTCAGGGAAGCCTTCTTGGAAGAGGCAAAAACTACTTTCCCTTTCTGACTCATTATTAAATATAATACATTTAACAAACAGAGTTTTTTTCTGACCCAGAATAGAAACCTTGTCCTTAACTTTCTTTCTTTCTCCTGGCTCTCATGAAAATTATCTTTCAAAATGATTGGCAGGAAGTTGGCAATTCTAGCTTTAAACAGAGAAGTAATAACTGTGATCATCTTACTGTTTGTATGTAAAGCTAGTTACTTGTGTTGAGGGGAAGAGAGAGGTGTTTTCCGATGGAAGTGTAGAAGGCTGCTTTCTGAGATAGATCCTATAGACAACCCGTCAAGGGATACTACTTTAAATAAACCAAACCACTCCTTGCCTTTTAGGTCAGGAAACTTGTGGGTACCCACCCAGAGTTCATCAAACTAAGGAGGTTGGATGTTCATCAACCAAGCCTGTGAGAATGATGTATACACCAGAATGCCAATGGCACATTTACAAAATGGAATGATTTTCTCATGACTAGAATGTTCAGATCTGCCATCCTGATGTCTTAGGAGACACATTCATCTTGTTTTACCTTTATGCAATTCTTTTCCTTTTCAAGACAAAGAGCACATTTCAACAAAACCTTAGACTTTCATTTACTTATGCTCTCATCAAATATTGATCTGGTGTGTGTGCTAGGTGGTAGAAAATACAATGGCTGAAATGTTTTGAAAACTCAGTGTATCTGTAATAAACACTGTTAAGTGTTTATCCTGCTTTATCTCACTGAATCCTCATGTGCCCTTCCTGAGATATGCCATTGTCCTAATCCATAGTTTATAAAATAATCATCTAAGAGGCCCAGGCACAATGGAGCTTCTCAGAGTGATAGAGAAACAGTCAGTGGCCTTTGCTTCCAAGCCCAAAGTCCAGGGACCAGGGCCTCCAGCGTCCAGAGCCATGTTCATGAGGTTGCTTACCTTCGCTTAGGACGCAGAGCCATCTCTTCACACCCTCTTTCTCCCAAAGGTCAATTCAAAACTCCCTATACTGGGCAGACTCCCACCCTGGCACTCCTTTCCTGCTTGAGGCCTGGCTGACGTTCTGTGTCTTCCCTTCTTGGGGTGATTTTATTAGTCAAAACTCTCAGAAGCCCTGGTGCCTCCTCACCTCTGTCTTTAATACTGCAAGCAGCCCCCTTTAGCTGAACAAGGAACTGGTCTGTTGTGTTTCACATTACACAGGTATTCTCAATATAGAAACACACCTACTTTCACGATTCACTGCCTTTTAACTTCACAGTGTTTGGAGTTTAAAGGGGTCTTTTGTGAACATCGAAGTCCCTGCCAAGAAGTGAATAGCTAAAATTTTCCACATGACCAGTAGTATGGAAGTATAACTAATGATAGAGAATGATACTTTCATTGCTTCCGTTTTTACTCCTGTCACTAAAGGCTTGTAATTTCATACCACACCAAACAAATTTTTATTTGTTCAGCTTCCTTTGACTTAAGCAAAGTAGTTTTTTTGGTGGGGAGGGGGTATCGTTATTGGAGTCTGATCTTGAGGTATTATTTCATTTGGAAAGACTGATACAACTAAAAATCTGGTGTAATTCTTTCTGGTTTTAAAAAAGTTATGTCCAGCTAACTCTTAAAAAATCAAACCCCTTTTGAACTTTTAATTTAAAACAATATCAATGATTGCTAAAAGTCATCTATAGCTTTACTATCTTACTGATTTTCACTTTCTGTTTTCAATAATAAAAATCTTTTACCCATCACACCAGAAGGTACCAGGCTAAGGGATTTTCTGAGCTTTTGGGTACCATTCAATTGGTATCCACTAACATATGCAGAAAATAGTTTGAATATTTGAGCTTGGTGAGGATGCAGAGTATAAGCAAACAAATTAGCAAATAATTGACAGATTGTGAGAAATACTGTGACAGAAATACACAGATTTCATGTTATAGGATAGTCAAGGAAGGCTTCTCTGAGGAGGTGATTTTTAAGCTGACCTGTGAGGATGAACACGAGCCAGTCATGAGAACTGGGATGAAAGTGTTTCAAGCACAGGTGACAGGAGAGGCCGAGATCCTGAACTAGAAACAGCTTTATCAATTTGATAAACAGAAAGGGGATCGGTGAGAATGAAGTTTAGAAAAGGATAGTATGGTGAGGTCTGGCAAATGGGTTGGAGCCCAGATCATATAAGGCTTTGTGCTCAGCTAAGTATATTTGATTTTATTCTAAGTGAAATGGGAAGCTACCAAAAGATTTGGATGAAATCCATGTCAGTTAGGTATTGCCTCAACAACGCTAGGTAACAAACCATCCCCAAACTCAGGGAGTCATTTGTTCTTGCTCAAGTGTCTGCATATTAGTGGGTTGAGGTGGCCCTCTCTGGGCTTGGCTGCAAACTGCAGGTTGGGTCCAGGCCTGTACCACGTGCCTCTCATCCTCCTCGGACTTGTGGGCTAGGTGTGGGTATAGTTTTCACAAGGAAGTGGCTGGAATGCAAGAGAGCAAGCCCAACTGCAAGTATGTTTCAAGCTCCTTGTTGCATCACATCTGCTAATATCCCATTGTTGGAATCCAAAGACAAGGGGTCAGGGCCTCTAGTGGGAAGAACTGCATAGTCACTTGGAAAATGGCATGGATCCAGGGAGAGATGAGGAATTGGGGCTAGTGATTTCTGCAATGACCTGATCTTATCTATCTTATAAAAAGTTCACCATAGTCGGGGGTGACCAACTGCTCTTGATTGCTCAAAAATGAGGAGTTCCCTGAACATGGGACTTTCAGTGCTAAAGCTGAGAAAGCCTAAGGCAAACCAGGATGAGTCGGTCACCCTGTGGACTGTCCTGTGGTAAATAGATTAATGGGGCTGCAGGAGAAGTGAGAAAGAGATCAGCTGTCATTATGGTCTTCCAAGTGAGAGAAGATGGTGGTGTGAATGAGAGGTTTACACGGGAGATGTGGTGGAGCTGATGTCTTTGAGATGTGTTTTGGATGGACAGCTCGGGACTTGTTGATGTTTGGGATGGGGTAGTTGAAGAAAGGCATTGGGGATGTGTTAGACCGATTGAATATGCTATTTGCTGGATATACAATTGAATGTGTTATATGTGTTAGACCAATTGAATATGCAAATATTCTATAGGGTAGGATAACAACTTTTAGTTGTTAGGCATTGGGGATGTGTTAGACCAATTAAATATGCTATTTGCTGGATACACAATTGAATGTGCTATATGTGTTAGACCAATTGAATATGCAAATATCCTATAGGGTAGAATAACAACTTTTAGTTATTATTGCGAGAATATAATAACAAGCCACTATTTGCAAATACATTATATATTATAGACATGTAATGTGGTATCTATCTTTAAAACCATGTTAAAGAAATCGATGGAATAAATGTGGAGGTTGACGTATATCCACCTGGACCTATAGTAATGTACACAAATTGTATCAGAAGAATGGTTGTCACTAACAAAGGTCATTTTCCTAATAGCCTTCATTGGCTACCTAGGCTCACCATAGTGGTTTGCTTCTATAGTAAGCAAGGAAGCCATGGACATTGGGAAATGAGTGTATTTTCTTCATTTTGATTTGTCAAGGCCTAACCCATCAGGATTTACAGTTTATAATTACATTGTGGGTTTTTCTATACAGTATCGTGAGGTGACAGTGTACCTGGTGTGGTAGAAACAATATTTGAATAGGATTTAGAAGGTCTGGATTTGAGCTGTGGCTTTGATATTCAGTTTTTTTTTGTTGTTTTTTTTTTTTTTTTTTGGAGGATGTGAGAGTTACATATGCTTACGATTAGATATTACCAATGTCTTTTCCCACTTGTTGAGTTGATGTCTTGAATAACAAGGAGGACCTATTCCCCAGACTATTTGGGGATGCTGGTTGAATTAATATTGAATTAACACCTGTTCATATGTGGGGAATGCCACTGAATACTTTTGTAATCTTGAATAACTTGCTCGGCATATTTGGTCTCTGTTTCTTTCTCTATGAACTGGGAATAGCAATTCAGGGACATTGTGAAGAGATATCATATGAGAGATTGTATTTGAAGTTGCTCCATAAGGTCTTATCAATAAGATCTTCTTCCTTCTCTGCTAGGATAGTGAGTTTCCAGGCCTGGATTCACATTAGCTTTATTTGTGTTGTTTGTTTTTCCTTGCACCCTTGAATGTGATAATGATGAACACAGATTTGTTGAAGGGCTGGCTGATCAAGTGTCAAGTTCCTGGCAGTTCTTCACTCTGTGCCTTACACTCTGAACCATTTGGCTGCCTCTATAAAGCCAGACCTTCTGGGTTCTAAATACTTTTCTTCTAATTTTCCCACATGAGATCTTGGGCAAGCTTCTTAACTTTCCTGTGTCTTAAGTTTCCCCATCTATGAAAGGAACTAATCATATTTCTTGAATCAGATTGTTGCTGAGTCCTCATTAAATTAATAGCGATAACTCAGATCAGTGTATGGAAATCAATCAATACAAAAGACAATAAATGTTAACTCCTTTATTATTATTGCTGTTATTATTTACAGGTAGGTTTCCTGCTGCATTTATTTGATTTGTAGACTTGAGAGACAAGGTAGAACTATTTAATTACATAGAAAATTGGAAAGTTCTGATATGATGAACTCTAAAGGGGAATGTGATATAGATTTCTATTATTTAGTTTTAGGCAGTTTATGATTTTTCCACAGTGACTAGTGTACTCCATGTGATAGATCTAACGTATTGTTGTATTAGTCCGTTTTTATGCTGCTGATGAAGACATACCCGAGACTGGGAAGAAAAAAAGATTTAATTGGACTTACAGTTCCACATGGCTGGGGAGGTCTCAGAAACATGGCTGGAGGTGAAAGGCACTTCTTACATGGTGGCAGCAAGAGAAAAATGAGGAAGAAGCAAAAGCAGAACCCCCTGATAAACCCATCAGATCTTGTGAGACTTATTCACTATAATGAGAATAGCAGGGGAAAGACTGGCCCCCATGATTCAATTACCTCTCCTGGGTCCCTCCCACAACACGTGAAAATTCTGGGAAATACAATTCAAGGTGAGATTTGGATGGGGGCACAGCAAAACCATATCAGTTGTGAAAAGGGGTTTTGACTTTTTCAATCTCAGTCCATTGAAAACTCATTCTGTTTTCCCTTGCCCTGCAGAGTCTGTTTCATCTACTGCTATACCCTAACCCACCTGCCAGCTCATTTTGCATTTCTCTTTGTTTGTCCTAGCTTCCTTGTATGCGCTGTTTGTGCTCTTGATTTATTAAATCTCTGAGACCATCCTTTCTCTGGAATGGTAGGAAAGGCTTCTAGACAGACAGCCAGAGAGATCTAAAACAGCCCCAGGGGTATATTTCTTGTTCAGTTCATTCCAGCAACCGATTAGAGATCAATAAATGCACAGCATTAGTGTATATTATGTACTTTTCCTGGAAAACATGTCAGTATTCAATAGACTAAATAGGAGATGAGATATTTTTTAGTTGGCACCTCTCTACAACTGTAAATAATTAGAAAAGGTTTTTTTTTAATTTTTACTTTAGAAATTTTTGTTAAAGAACTCTCTCTCTCTTAATGTCCAAAGTCTTAGACAGTTGGACATCTTTTCCTTCTGGAAAGATGTGAAACTTTGTAGAATGGAGAAGAAATGTAAAGAGTACTTAACACTAAAAGAAAAGGCGGTGAAAAGCCAAACCCTGTTGTGTTAGTCTGTTCTTATGTTGTTTTAAAGAAATAGCTGAGGCTGGGTAATTTATACAGAAAAGAGGTTTAATTGGCTCATGGTTCTGCAGGCTGTACAAGAGGCATGGTATCAGCATCTGCTCGGCTTCTGGGAAGGCCTCGAGGAACTTAATATCATGGCAGAAGGCAAAGCAGGAGTAGGCATGTCACATGGTGAGAGAGGGAGCACGAGTGGGAGGTGGGAGGTGCCATAGTCTTTTAAACACCAGATCTCACATGAACTCAGAGTGAGAACTCACTCACGTCTGCAAGGAGGGCATCAAGCCATTCATGAGGGATCTTCCCCCATGACCCAAACACCTCCCACCAGCTCCCACCTCCAACATTGGGAATTACAGTTCAACATGAGATTTGGAGGGGACAGACACCAAAACCATATCACCTGTCTAGTTCAAAAGTTTCTCAAAAGCCACAGTTGCCTTGGAATTGGTGATGGAAATTATCATCATTCTCACTTGCTGGAATACACAGGGAGGTATGTGGGAAAGAACATAATAGAAATATTTTAAAATTATGTTTTTTATTTGTATGTATTGTTCTTCACATAATATAAGGTGTTGACAGGACAGGAATTATTTCTCTTTCTGAAATGAGGAAACAGACTCAGTGAACTGAGGTACTTGATCAAGTTCTCAGAGTAGCAGTTAGGCCCCATCCCTAACATTTATAGGACCAGAGGCAGAAGGACAAATAGAGGCCCATACACCATATGTTCAAAATATAAAATTTCATAAATGCATATATAAATCAAGGTAATGCTGTATCAAGTAGACTAAAGTATATCCCAAATTGAATAAAATGTCTTGCCCTGACAAACATACCTTCAGAGTGACCTGTAAGGCCTGGCTTCCATTTTGCATTCCCGGACTTTGTGGAGTTTAGTGCAGGAACATGTAGCACAGGGATTAGGGATTACCTCCCCCTAGCCTGTGGTTCCTCTTTCCGCCCCCAGCTTCACTGTGCGTTGTGAGGTGCCTCATGAGTATGTGTGTTCAGGTCCATCCACCTCTCCTGCACACAGCCACCCCTTGAGCATAGGAGTATAATTAGAGGACAGCAGATGCTTCCCTTGGAAGGCCCCATCTTGAAAAGAGGCCCACAATGGGCCATTTCGGTAGACTTCTGGGGAATGTGCATGGCAGGGGATATATAGGCTCTGGACAATCCCTTAGGCCTTGAGGACTTATCACCTCATTCCATGGTTAAGTCTAATTATGAGGCCAGTAGTGGGGTATCCAAGATACAAGTTGGATTCCATTGGATTGTTTGGCCACTTCAATCACATTATTAGTCAGTTTAATGAAAAGCAGTTTGTTCCTTCATTTAGCAGGTATTATGTACAGGTACTTGGTGCTGGAGATATAACTGGAGTAAGGCATCTCTTGGGAGCGGCTTCGAATTCTAGTGAGAGAAGACAGAAAACCATGTAAAGACTTACAATATAATGTTCTCAAGTTAGCAATGCTATGAATAATATAAAAGAGGGTAGTGAGATAGTGATGGAAAAATAAGGGTGGGACCAAGGGTCGGAGAAGTCTTCCCTGTGGAAATGACATTGTGATGCAAGATGTGAATGCTCAACAGCTGCAAGAAGATCTAAGGGAAGGGCATTCCAAGTGGGTGGATCACATAGGTGATGGCCAGGTACTTGGTGACTTCAAGGGACAGAAAGATGATCATGGAGGCATGGCATCAGGGAGTGGAAGGAGATGGGGTTAGAGGGATGGGCAGGGTCTTAGAGGTCACCAGAGCCTTGTAGACCCTGTAAGGGGCTTGGATTTTGTTCCAGTGAAATCCACTGGATATTTTAAACAAGGGATTGTTAGGAAAACTTCTGATCAAATTCAGTACTTAACAGTTAACCCAAAGTAGCCTGTCCAAATTGTAATCATTTTGCCAATATTAAATGAATCCCCCTGCTGTACATACCCCATCTCTTAGAGTAGTTGAATGTCACCAATATATTTTGTAGACATTTTGAAGACTTAAACATTGGTGCTCCTGGCAAGTAATGTGAAAAAGTGGTCATATATTTAGCTATCAAGTTTCATGTCTTTTGCTAAAAATGTAGAACCAAGAGAGCTCTGAGCATAAATACAGGCATGCTCTTGGTGTTGGGTATTTCATAACTATTCTTAGGTGCCAAATGTCTTCATCTTCATGCAATTTATAGTAATGTAAGTAATGTGTTGGAGACTAACAAGTCAAAATCTCATTTCGGATGTGTGACACTAATGTTGTGTTGACTTATTGTTTCATGTGTTAGATTTCTGATAAAATTACTAAAACACCTTCTTGAAAGGAGTAACAGGAAGAAACAGTTGGGGTGTCAGATATTCAGCTGTGTGTACTTTCTTATGGATAGGAGTTTACTGATTAATTCTTGATTGCATTAAATAGCATATTAGAGTACCTCAATTTAGGAGCATTTAGCAACTTAAAATTTTTTGATAGCAAAGGACTTACAAGTAGCATGATACTTGTTAAGAGAAAACAAAGACCAATTTTAGTTCTTATTTATTATAATGATTTTCATTTTACTATTAAAGATGTTTCTTCAACAGTAACCAGATGTGTAACATAGAAGCAGCTGCATGATATTTTCATTTTTATGCATAATATTGGAAATCTTAGACAAGGTTCATTGTCTGTTATGGAAAATGAAATGATCTTTTCCCAGTCTGAACATCTGTGTAAAACAGAATGCTAGCATCTTCTCCTGTCTCTAAGTGACCATCTGTTTTTATGGGATTTGACAGGTAATTTATTAATTTTAAGTGGTTTGTTTTAGGGAAATTTTGGCAAATGTGCATGTAACAAAGTAGTAGGAAAATATTATAAAGCTCTGGATTTTTTTAGGGCCTGTTTAAAGGTCTGGTAGAAGCTTTAAGAGTCTTTTTTCCTTTTTCCTTATGTGTTTTGAAATGGATAAAAATATTTGTCAATGAATGATGCCATAGGGACTGGATTATAGGCTTTGGTGACACATTTGACAGTCGTTCTGGTTTTGGCTAATTTAGAAATATTAACTGTACAATTAAAAAACTTATTTTTTTTCTTTCAGTACAATCTCATGTTATTTTTGTGGTCTTAATATAAAAATTAAACACAAAAAATAAGTGGTAAGTTGCTTTTTAAACTCTGTCCTCCTCCATTCCAGCTGTCACTGCACTTTCCTAGGGTCCTTCTGGCATCTTCTCAAATCTTGGAAGAAATGCCAGCTCTTTTTCAACATTCATTTGTCACTTTTAAGGTTTCACTGAATTAGCCAGGCTGAATGCAGAACGAAAAGAAATGCCACGGTTATTATGCTGACTGCAGACGCAATATGGGAATTCTGTATGATAGGCCCTCACTCATGTCTTAATACTTTATTTATTCCAATGTGCTTAGCAAGCCAGCTTGGCCTTGTTTGTCTCCAGGTAGATCAGACGGCTAGAAACAGTCCTACCTATTTTCATTTGGGAAGCTTAAATATTTTTAAGATGAGTGATAATGCCAGGCAAACAGAGCCGAGTGTCACCAGTTCTGTCTCAGCCTCTCAGTCACCGAGGGAAGCTAGGAGACGTAATCATTTTTAGCTCAGTTCCCCATTCTGTAAAATGAGTTTTATGACATTTTCTTCCCTAGTTCACTGGAATAGCATTAGAAAAATGAATGGATGTGGTGACTGTTTATTGGATGACATTTGCTGAATGTGGCTTTTTGGTGTTCAAGACTGGATACATTAATAACAGTTTTAATTGTTATCTATAACATGGCTGTCTGATAGTGATGATGATGATGAGGAGGAGCAGGAGGAGGATAGTCGTGGTGGTGATGGGTGAACAGTAACAGTAAATGGGAGGCAGCTTAGGGTACTGACTAAGCCCATAGGAGTCAGACTATCTTGGTTGAGATCCCTTTCATGTCAATTACTACTTGTGTGACCTTGAACAAGTTACTTAAATCTCTGAACATAGTAAATGTCACATTTGGAATTGGAACCTCCACCTGTCCCAGTCTGTGTTCCTAACCACCATACTGTGCTGCTTTAAGCCAAAAGCAACGAACTTTGGTCTAGAGCATTTCAAAAGGTCATCCAACAGAACATATAAAAATAGAAGAAGCCAGCAACATCCTTAATCTTCTTTATTTAGAATACTTACTTTACTTACTTTTAAAAAATACCCCATAGGATCATGAACATCAGACCAATTGGGAAGGGTAGATTAATTGACTGCCTAAGGACTGAAATTGGCACATTAGACTCTGCTACAAAACTTACCTGTTTCTGATCTCTCGAAATCAATGAATCTCATTATTATTCATAGCTCTTCCTTTAAAAAAAATGAAACACATCATTTGCAAAAAGAAAATTTTGTCCCATGCAGTCTAGGTTGTTCCAGGAGCTTACTGAGAAACTACAACAGCCCTCTGAGGTTAACTGGTACTATTCACTGAACTCTCAAGTTTCTGCCTTGTGAATCTGGTGGTGGGAAATTTGGCTGTAGTAAAGAAGGAGCCTCACTTGATCTCTGCGGAAATCATTGAGAATTACAAGTAGGATGCTTCATCCTTGTTTAAAAAATAGAAGTAATTGTTTCTTTTGGAAGTAGCATGCTATTTATTTAACTGCACAAGTAGTTCTGATAAAGTGGGTGTGATTTTTTTGGCTGGTTGATGTCAGCATTATTTTACAAATGTGGAGGAAAATCTATCAGGGAAAATAATTGAAATAAAGCAGGAGTCTTTGTGGGTTTGGTTTTTTTTTTTTTTTTTTTTTTTTTGAAATGGAGTCTTGCTCTTTTGCCCAGGCTGGAGTGCAGTGGCATGATCTCGGCTCACTGCTACCTCCACCTCCTGGGTTCGAGCGATTCTCCTGCCTCAGCCTCCCAAGTAGCTGGAATTACAGGCACCCACCACATGGATGCCCGGCTAATTTTTTGTACTTTTAGTAGAGATGGGGTTTTGCCATGTCAGCCAGGCTGGTCTTGAA